>NC_000005.10:172124960-172427990 GCF_000001405.40 Homo sapiens | reverse complement strand
GCCTGGCCAAGATAGTGAAACCCCGTCTCTACTAAAAATACAAAAAATTAGCCGAGCATGGTGGCAGGCGCCTGTAATCCCAGCTGCTTGGGAGGCTGAGGCAGAGAATTGCTTGAACCCGGGAGGCAGAGGTTGCGGTGAGCCGAGATCACCCCACTGCACTCCAGCCTGGGTGATAGGGCAAGACTCCATCTCAAAAAAAAAAAAAAAATCGTGGTAACACACACAACATAAAACTTAACATTTCAGCCATTTCTTAGCAACCATCACCACCATCCATCGCCAGAACTTTTTTCATCTCCCTAGACTGAAACTCTGCACCCATTAAACAACAACTCCCAGCCAGGCATGGTGGCTCACGGCTGTAATCCCAATACTTTGAGATACTGAGGTGGGAAGATCACTCGAGCCAGGAGTTCGATAACAGCCTAGGCAACAAAGCAAGACCCTGTCTCTACAAAAAATAATAATAATAAAATTAACCAGGCATAATGGCACATGCCTGTAGTCCCAGCTACTTCGGAGGCTGAGGTGGGAGGATTGCTTGAGTCCAGGAATTTGAAGTTGCAGTGAGCTATGATCACACCACCATACTCCACCCTGGGTGACAGAGCGAGACCTCATCTCAGAAGAATGAAAAATAACCACTCCCCATTCTACCCATTCTGGCAACCACCATCCTCCTTTCTATGTCTATAAATTTGACTACTCCAGGTACCTCCTGTAATCATACAGTATTTGTTCTATTGTGACCGGCTTATTTCACATAGCCTAATATCCTCAAGGTTCATTCATAGGGTAGCATGTGTCGGAATTTTCTCTTTTTAGAGCTGAATGATGTCCCATTTTATGTCTAAACCACATTTTCTTTATGCACGCATCCATCAATGGACACTTGGGTTGTTTCCATCTTTGGCCTCTTGTGAATACTGCCACTGTGAGGAAGTCTTTAATTCCTTGGCACCAAGCTACTAAGTATTACCTGGGTTGGGGATGTAAAAAAGGAAAGGTCTACTGTGTTAGGATTGCACTGGTTGCAAGTAACAGACACCAAATCAAACTGGTGTGAACAAGAAAAGGACTGTTTTGTCTTGCATCTGGGAAATGTCCCGGATTCAGGCTGGATCCAGGGGTTCAAATGTTGCCACGGGGTCTGAGCCCTCCTCTCTCCCTCTGGCTCTGCTTTCTTCTGTGTGACAGGCGCTTTCCATGGGAAATTCCTGGTGTAGGTTCTCCCAGCAGCCACTGAGTGGGCAAAATGGTCTGTCCCCTGAGACTGCCATCAAAAGTCCTGGAATTGGTTCTCATCCGTCTTGTGCCCATCCCTGAGCCATCATTCATCAGCAGGGCTGTGGTTGGCTGGGCCTGGGAGGGAGACATGCCCACTCCCCTCATGAAGACCAGAGGAAGGATTCCCCGTGGGAAGTCAGGATTCTGTTACCAAAAGGAGGGGAGGGGAAGGTACTAGACAAGCAGGAACATGGGATGACCACTGTGAGGGAAGCTGAACGTTGCACTCCTAGTGCGTGCCAGGTGTTGGCCCCATCTCCGTTAGCTATTGTGGCTTACCCCTCAAGGGAGATTATTGTCCTTGTTTTAGAGAGAAGGGTGGGTGGCCAGAGAGGTGAATGCCTTGTGAGTTTCTCTAGCAGCAGAGCTGGCTCTGTGACCCAGGGTGTGTGCTCTCTCACCAGCCCCCAAACCCAGGACGGGGACAAAGCCCTACGCTAGGGCAGCTCTCGTTAAAAAATTAGGTCTCTGCCTAAAAATGCAGACATCACGTTGTGTTCAGGGGTTGATTCCAATAAACCAATTAGGCTTGCTGCAGAGTCCTTGCACTGTATGTTCAGAACTTTAAAAATTGTAAACAAGAGATCAAGGATGAATTGTGTAAGCAGAATTTTTTTTTCCATCTATGGGAGTGTGCTTTTTGTTGGTTTTAAGAAAAAAATCCATTCTTTGACAATTTTTCCTTGTTTTTTAATCCCTGTTGGCAGTGTCCTTGACAGTCATTCAAACCTAGCTTAAGCATCCCCAGTGGTGGGCACCTTTGGTACAGTATTTTCCCTTTCTGACCCTCAGTTTACCCATCTGGCAGGTGCAGCCCTTCAATGAGCTGCATTCTTTGGTCCGCTCCAGCTCTAACTTCCTGTCAGTGGTGCAAAAGATGCCTTACTGGTGTCCCTGCCCCTCTTCAAGCCGTTTCCACACAGCAGCTGGAGGGATACCTATGGATATTTTTAAACGTGTACCCTGGATCCTGTCGCACGCCTCCCCCACCCCTTCAAGCTCTTCAGTAGAATGAAATCCAGACGCTTCTCTGTGGCCTGCAAGCCCCTCGTCATCAGCTGCTGCCTCCTCCCCCGCTCAGCCCCTTCCTCCCGCAGCACTGTCAGCTGTCATACTCTCCTGTTCCTCACACAGGCGAGCATTTTCCTGCTGCCACATCTTCGTTCCCACTTTTCTTTTTCCCTGTACGCCCTTTCCTCAGCTCTCGACCAGCTCCTCACCCTTCAGATCTCAGTTCAAAGGTTGCCTCCTCAGATAGGCTTCCCTTCCAAGGCCCCCTTATCCAAGTAGCCAGCCCCTCCACCTACCACCCTCATGCAGACTTCGGGGTCCTGCCCAGCATGTCGGCAGGTTTGCTGGTTTATTGCCCATCTCCACTTAACAAGGGCAGGGTCTGGGTCTGCCTTGCTCCCCATAGTATCTCAACCCCTAGCAGAGGGCCTGGCATGCAGTCGGTGCTTAATAGATGTTGAAGACTGAATGAGTGAATGAATGGAAACCATTCAAAATCTCCATGCTGGAGTCTCGGTGAAGCAGGGTGGAAAGCTAAGAAACAGATTTGAAGTCTTCTTGTTAAGTAAAACATCAGGACTGTTGAGCGTTTTTTCACATCACAAAGTCGCCTTTCTGAGATGATGACTGACTCTTACCTCCTAAAGGATGCCGTGGCCCCTTCCCTGGCTCCATGAGTTACCTAGGAACGGGGAGCGCAAACAAGGAAGAAGGGTGGGCTGGATGCCCAAATCCTTGGTGTCAAAGGAGCCTGTTTTTGTGAGCAGGGATGGGGTAGGCATTGGGTGGTCTGAGAGCAAGGTGCTGAGGTTTCATGAACTTTTTCTGTCTTCCTGGCAAGGTGCTCAGAGCTTTTCCTCTTGTGCTAATCACAACTCTGTATGCTTGATGACCCCATTTTACCAGATAAGAAAGCTGAGGCTCCAGGAGTTAGGAAATTGTGTGAGTCCAGAGCTTCTTGACTCTAGAGCCCAAGCTCCCCCATTTCTGCCATGTTTTGAAATATAATCTGTGTTGGGTTTGATGAGGCCATGCCAGGTGAACTCCTTAGCGTGGCATTCAAGGTCACCTCCAACCTTGTCCTGATTTATCCTAACATTTTTCGTCTCTTCTCACCTGAAGAACCTTCTCCTATAAGTCCATGATATTCACACTGGTGTCTGGCCCCAGCCCCTGAAGTTGTTCTATCTTTTTCTGTTTGGAATGTGAATGTTCTCCTAAGAACTCATTTGAAAAGAGACTCTGGCTAAAACCACTGTGGAAACCGCTGCCAGGCACAGTGTGGCTTCACCCTGAGCTGGTCTTTGTTCTACCCTCATTCCCCTCTACCCACAGCCACTGCCTTCCTCTCCTGCTGTCTAAATCCTACATGACCATCAGTTACACTGTGGTGGCTCCAGGCTTCAGAGATCTCTCTCCTGCCCACTTCCGGTATCAACCTGGACTGGATTACGTGGGTCAGAAACCCAACTTGAACTGGCCACAAAAGTTATTCAAGACAGTGGATGTGGCCCAAGACATAATTATTGGCCCAGGAAACTGGACAGTCCAGGAATAAATTTAGCTTCAGGCAGAGCTGGATGTAAGCTTAGACTGTGTCATCGGGATGGTGGCTCCTTTCTCAGGCAGGCTCCCCCCCACCCCCAGTGAGGATGGGTAGCCCCCAGCAGCTCCACATCTTGACAGCCTGTCAACCTCAGGAGAAGAGCTTGGCTTTCTCCAGAGTTGGAGCAAAAGTCCCAGGGCGGGCCGGGCGCGGTGGCTCAAGCATGTAATCCCAACACTTTGGGAGGCCGACATAGGTGGATCACTTGAGGTCAAGAGTTCGAGACCAGCCTGAGCAACATGACAAAACCCCGTCTCTACTAAAAATACAAAAATTAGCCGGGCACGGTAGCGCTCGCCTGTAATCCTAGCTACTCGGGAGGCTAAAGCACGAGAATCTCTTGAACCCGGGAGGCAGTGAGCCGAGATTGTGTCACTGCACTCCAGCCTGGGTGACAGAGCTAGACTCCCTCTCCAAAAAGAAACCAAACCAAAAAAGTCCCAGGACAGACTCCTACTGGCTGTGATTGGCCCAGCTCAAGTCACATGTTCTCCCTTCAACCAATCACCATGAACAGAGAATGTGCGCCCCCCCCCCCAACCCCGTATCCAAGTGGGTGAGCTGAAGGTAGGGAAGGAGGATTCCAGGAGTCAGTCATCTTCACTTATGTATGCATTGTCTCTCCTTCTAACCGTCACCTCATGGAGGACAGGGACACTGCCTGTGAAACCCCAGGGCTTCTAACAGCACTGAGCGCCTTGTGTTTCTATGACATTTCTTTGTTTCCAAACAGCTTTCACTTGTGCATATATTTTAATTGTCACAACTACCCTATAGCAACAGATAGTTTATGCAGTCCAGGAATGGGTCACAGGTATGCTGATCCCTTAGCCCTTAGGTGTCTACCTGGTGTGTCCGGGGCCACCAAAGGCCCCAGCCAGGCACCTCTGACCTCTAATAGTCACCTCAGTTTGCCCGGGCTTGTTATCAATGTATTGTTTTCTGTGCGTGCCGTGACGTGTGACACAGGTTGGAAGCACAGCCCACTGGTTTATAAAATGGTCCTTCATCCTTAATTTCATCAGCACCTCACATCTATCCTGGGAGGCAGAGGAGGCAGAGGAGGCAGAGGAAGCAGGTGCTGTTAGCCCCATTCACAGGAGAAACTGGGACTCGGGGAAAAAATAACTTGGCCTAGGTCCTCGTCGGTGGAGACAGCATGATGGGCTGGCCTGTGGAAGATATAAGATGGCCAAGAGCTGCACGTCTCCGTGACTTCTCCTGATGAAAGTCAAGGTTTTAGGAATGACTGGCAAGATAGCCAGCCTGTCTCTCACTGAACTGAGCGGGTAGTGAGGAATCCTGGCAATGCCGAAAACAGCAGCTTCTCCTGAGCTGATGTGGTGCCACTGCATCCCCATACTTGATGTCATTCATCCTTTGCACAACTCTGTTGGGGGTTATTACACTCATTTTATTGAGGAGGGAGATGAGTCTTACAGCAAGCAACTTGTCCAGCCAGTCATTGGCAGAGCTAAGGCTGAAACCCACGTCTTTCTGACTCTGAGTCTTGTGCTCCCCCTGGGTCCCAGAGATTGGGAGACCACCTTCTGGTGTTAACACCCATCTCCTCTGTTGCTCCCGCAGGTCTACATCATCCGGGTCACGTGGTCCAGCGGCTCCACCGAGGCCATTTACCGGCGCTACAGCAAGTTTTTTGACCTCCAGGTAAGGATTTGAGGTCTCTGGTGAGCTGCAGGATCGGAAAGAGTTTAATTGGACTTACATTCCACTACAGCTTTAGAGTCCAGAATTTTTTTAATTTCCCAGACTTAAAAATGACATCCATGGCTGGGCGTGGTGGCTCACACCTGTAATCCCAGCACTTTGGGAGGCGGAGGTGGGTGGATCACTCGAGGTTAGAAGTTTGAGACCAGCCCGGCCAACATGGTGAAACCCCGTCTCTACGAAAAATACAAACATTAGCCAGGTGCGGTGACGGGTGCCTGTAATCCCAGCTACTCGGAAGGCTGAGGCAGGAGAATTGCTTGAACCCGGGAGGCAGAGGTTGCAGTGAGCCGAGATCGTGCCATTGCACTCCAGCCTGGGCAACAAGAGCAAAACTCCATCTCAAAAAAAAAAAATGACATCCATTACTTTTGAGACACAAATAATGTGCTTTGTTGCTTTATGCTTTGATATTTCATATTTCCTCCATAAGAGAAAGGGTGCCTGTTAACTGCTCCAGAATGGAGGGTAATCTGGAAATCATTTCCAAATGGCTTTGGCATGCAGTGTTTGAACTTAAGTTTTAAACAATAATCGTGTTTGCTGGTGAGCTGGGTTTGTTGAGTGTGTCTAGACTTTTGGGGCCATTCAGCTCTGAAGACAGACCTGCATCTCCTGCCTCACCTTGGCCTCTCTCCACAGGCCTTTGCCCTCCCCACACACTCCTGTGCCTTCCCGGCTCACTCATGGCTCCAGTAACCCCTTCTGCCCTTCAGGACTCTCATCCCCTAGGAAACCTTGCCTTTGTTCCCTGGCCAGCGAGGGCCACCCATTCTGTGCCCCTACAGCTCTGTGTGTCTCTCTGTATTGAAGCTGTCTGCTTGTCTGTCTCCCTGCCTAGACTGTGACTATTGTGGGCCAGAACCACATCTTTCTCTTCCTGTCTGTCCTTAATAGTTTATTCAAGGCCTAACACACAGTATATGTCCAGTCAGTGTTTGGTGAATGAATGAATGAATGAACGAACACCATGTATACTACCAGTCTTATAGGGAGCCAGGCAGAATGTGAACAGCTCGGTATAAGCACATCCCCATTAGGGTAAAACAAGTCTAACCAGTGGGTTAGTAGTTTCTTCTTGATGTCACTAATGGCGTGTAACAGCAAGTGTGGGAGGTAGTCATGGTTCCTCCTCATAGGATGTAACAGAGTTATTTGGAAAACCCTCGGGAGACATTGGGAACTTGCCCGGCTTTCTGAACATGTGTCTTCTCCCAGCCTCCTGGTAAGGGGCTATGTCACCTCTCAGGCCAACACAAGTCTCCATCCTGACGTGACAGTCTTCTTTTCAGTCAGAATGCTTCTGTTGCGAGTGACAGAAACCCAACTGAAGCTGGCTGAAGTAAACAGGAGGTTTTTTCGCGGATGTAACTGAACGTCCTAGGAGAATATATCTCCCAGGCTTCAGGCACATCTTAATCCAGGGTTTTTTTGGTGTCACCTGATCTGGCTTCTTCCTCTCATTCCAATCCCTCCTTCCATGGTGCTGGCTTTATCCTCGGATCCCACATGATTGCACAATGATACAACAGCTCTGGGCTCACACCCAGCAGGAAAGGGTAAAAGTCACTTGTCAGAAATCCCAGCAAACACATTATTGTGTGTCATAGGCTCAACTCGACGCCAATCAATATGAGTGAGAAATGTCGCAGCCAATGGGCTTGCCGGGGTCCCTGCTCCACCCAAGAAGTCAATAAGGGTGGAGACTGACACCTGAAGGAGGTAGTTTCACAAACTGCCGCGAACAGAGGTGAAGTCAACATTTCCTGGCCGTCAGAAGACTGCCTCTGTCCTTTGTACATCATCCTGTCTTTTTGCCACACAGTTTCTCTCAGAAGGTTGGCATCCTTCATTATTCTGACCTAATCTGCTCCTGACAGTGCTGAATAGAGAATTTTCAGAGCTTGTGTTTCATTATTTTGTAGGGGGAGGGGAAATAATGTGTTCCTAACTGGTTTCCCGAAACGCCTACATAACAAACTGCCAAGAGTCATTGCATAATATAAAGCAAGTGAGACACCAGTTACCTAATTATTTAAAATGTAATGAATTCATTAGTGATGTTTTGTGTTCAGTATGCAATAATATCAAACAGTATCATAAACAAATTATATTTTTGCTTCTGCTCTGCAGCAAACAGAATGTAAATAAACAAAGCAGCTATAAGTTAAAGATGCTAAGATACCATCTAAAGTGAACTTGACAGGAGCGAACACTGGGGCAGGGGAAGAAAGATCTAAACCCTGGGGAAGAGGAAGGGAGGATCACAGTGGGGATGCCCAGCATCTTTCGATGCCATGGGCAGGAGGCACAGTCCTGGCTGAGAATGAATGAGATACAAATGGAGGACCCTCCACATTCTTTACCCAGATCTGTGGTGATTTATGCTGATTCACTATAGCAGGTCTTCAAAGAGTGAGTGTTAGGTAAACATGTTTGCAAGTTGCTAGACTGACTTTTTGTGCAGTGAGGGTCTAGATAGGGAGGGCTACCTGTATTTTGCTTTCAGAGGCCTCTTGCCTGCCTGACACCTCCAAGGAGCAGAAGAGGAGGTACAGAACAATAACACCTGATTGTTATCCCAGGAATTATTTACATCCACCGAGCAAAGCCCACTCAGCTAGCTTGGGCACGAAGAGAGGGGTGGGGTTGGATATATTGTTCCCTGAAACCCAGAGCAGAAAATGCAGCCAGCCTCGCAGGGGCCAGGAACCAGCTGGCAGCTCCCGGGCCATCTGTCCTTGTAGCCTCAGGATCTCCCATGGAGCCTGTTCTGGACCACTTCCTGCAGTTGCCCACTGGCCCACATCCCCCAAGAGCAACCCCCAGTGAGCACCTTCCACCTGGAGCTGCAGTGTCCTTCCCTGTTGTCAAAGCACTAGAGTTTCTGGATGCTGATTCCAGTCTCCAGAAGGGAGAATCTGATTGTCCTAAGGGCCCTGGATCATAGTTCACTGCTGAGCCTGTCAGCTGTTGCCGAGGAGGTGGGGACGTAGAGTCATCTGGAAGAGATTTAATGAGAAGCGGAGTGGGAAGGGGGCCCTGGAAGTGCTTATGCAAATGTTGTTCATTGCTGACATGTCGAGGCACGCGTCCAGGCCCTGTGCAAGGTGGACTGGGTTCTCTGAGTTCCCTGTTCCAGCGCAGCCTAAGGCTTAAGACCTTGGCTTTCAGTCAGACAGACCTGGGTGCAAATCTCAGCTTTGCCTGTTCAGGGCTCAGCTTGGGGTCACCGCTGTATGTTTCTGAGCCTCAGCCTCCTCATCTGCATAGTAGGAATGAAAGTGCCTTCCTCGTGCATTTATTGTGCTGGTTAAGCGGACGCACCTGGCTCAGTAAGCGCGTTAGCTGTCAGCCGTCCCTCTGCACAGGTGTGACTTGCCCAAGCTGATACCCTTTGGGAATGCTTGAGCCAGGGTTTGATCACGGGTCTTCCTGTCCCAAGGCCAGTGTTCCTTCCACTCTCCTGTTCCGACTCAACTTTCTTATTTCTACCAGAACTTAAGGTTTTCCTCCATGCTCAGCATAATCGGTAATAACTGGGGGGTTGCCGTGACAGGCTTCCCTCCTGTAACAAAGTTGTCTAAGGCAGGACTTCATCCAGGCTCAGAGTCCCAGATGGACGGCTGGAGTGGGAAAGTCATGGAATTCCAGAGGGTCCTGCTTATCCTGGAAGCATCGTGGAACCGGCCGCCTCCTCCCCCACACACACCCCAGCAGGGAAAGCTGGAAGAGGTTAGGGCAGGATCGCACCAGCCCTTGCGGGCCTGCAACACCCTGGAGTTAGATGATTTCATGATTCCACCCTCCCCTCCCTCTTGTCTGGCAAGCAGCCCTGGTATTTTCAGAAGTAACTTGGCCCAAACAGCGTGGGGAGAGCCGAGCCTTGGTGGAGGAGCAGCAAGGCCAGTGTGGCGTAATGGAAAAAGCAGAGGACTCAGTCAGGAGACCTGGGGCCCAGCCACCCTCCAGCTGTGTGGCCTTGGGCACACCCCTTAACCCCTCTGTGCCTGAGAGCCCTCATTGGTGACATGGGGTGAAAACAATAGAAACAGCTGGCATTTCTGGAACACTGAATGTGGGCCCCCATCCTGCTAAACATCTAGATGTAGTGACTCATTCAGTCCTTCAGACAAGCTTATCCAATTACGCAAATGAAGAAACCCAGGCTCAGAGAGGTTAAGTGGTTCGCCCGAAGTCACACAGCTAGTGAGCCTCAGAGCTCAGATTGGAAGCTGGCAGGCGACCCCAGTATCCACACTTTTAGCTGCTCTGCTTTTCTGGGGCTCCTCTCTCTAGTGGCTGCTTCACAAGGTTCTCGTGAGTTAAAACTTATCTGTGTCCAAAAGAGGCAGATTCATAGACAGAAAGCAGGTTCGTGGCTGCCAGAGGCTAGGGGAAAACGGGAAGATACTGCTAATGGGTACTGGGTACCTTTTCGGGGTGATGAAGATGTTCTAGAATGATTTAGTGGTCATGGAGGCATAACCTTATGGATATACTGGAAGCCACTACATTGAACACTCTAAAAGGGTGACTTTTATGGTATGTGAAGTATATCTCAGTGTAAAAGGGATGGTGAGTGCCAGAGCAGTTTCTAGGCTGTCGAGCACCAAGCAAATGTCAGCTATTAGGATTATTGATGGGCATGGGTGCTGCTAGGAATTGGCGTAAAGATTAGAGGAGATGATGCCAGTTAATAGAGTGGTGAAGATCCTGGGCTTTGGGATTAGACAGGGCTGGGCTTTGATCCAAATTCTGCCACTTGCTGGCCATGAGATCTTGTTTTCATCAGAACTCTTTTAGGTACAAATGACAGAAGCCCAGTCAAGATGGATTATTCAAACAGAGCATTGATTAGCTGAGTGTAACTGAGAAGTCTAAGGAAATTGGCTTCAGGTGTGGCTGGATCTAGGCACCACACATCAATGAGGACTTGGCTTTCTTCACTTCTTAGCTTTCTTTGTGTCCAGGCCAGTTGATGTCCAGCTGGTGGCAGCCACAGCCCCAGGCTGCATCCCACAGATAGCCCAGCGACTTCAGGGAAAGAGAACACCCCAACAGTTAAAGCAAAAGTCTCATTGGCTCATCTTGGGTCACATGACCAGGCTATTCGGGACCAACCTGGGGACTGAAAGTAGAATCAGTGTCCTGCCAGTGCATGGAGACTAACAGAGCAGTGGCAGATTCCCTGGAGGACATCATGGAAATGGCCTGTAGGTGATAGAAAACAATATGCCCCCTCCAACGGGGGCAGGACATTCAGGCAGAGGAAACAGTCTGCAGAGAGGCCACTGAGGAGTTGGAGCATGACCCAGGCTCCCTTGTGGGAAAAGAGACTCACAGTCACCGAGTGTGATGGCTCACACCTGTAATCCCACCACTTTGAGAGGCTGAGGCAGACAGATCACTTAAGCCCAGAAATTCAAGACCAGTCTGGCCAACAAAACAAGATCCCATCTCTACAAAAAATTTAGAAATTAGCCAGGTGTGACGGTGCGCACCTGTAGCCCAGGCTACTTGGGAGGCTGAGGTGGGAGGATCCCTTGAGCCTAGCAGGTCGAGGCTGCAGTGAGCTGAGATTGTGCCACTGCACTCTAGCCTAGGCAACAGAGCAAGACCCTATATCAAAAAAAAAAAAAAAAAAAAAAAAAAAAAAGAGAGAGAGAGAGAGAGACTCACAGTCTCTATGAAAAGGTCCTTTTTAAAAAAAAAAAAAAAAAAAGTAGAGGCCGGGCGCAGTGGCTCACGCCTGTAATCCCAGCACTTTGGGAGGCCGAGGTGGGCGGATCACAAGGTCAGGAGTTCGATACCAGCCTGGCCAAGATAGTGAAACCCCGTCTCTACTAAAAATACAAAAACTAGCTGGGCGTGGTTGTGGGCACCTGTAATCCCAGCTACTCAGGAGGCTGAGGCAGGAGAATCATTTGAACCCGGGAGGCAGAGGTTACAGTAAGCCAAGATCGTGCACTGCACTCCAGCTTAGGCAACAAGAGCGAAACTCCGTCTCAAAAAAAAAAAAAAGTAGAGACAGGGTCTCACTTTGTCACTCAGGCTGGAGTGCAGTGGCGCCATCACAGCTCACTTGCAGCCCCAAACTCCTAGGTTCAAGTGATCCTCCCACCTTAGCCTCCCGAGTAGCTGAGACTACAGGTGTGTGCCACCACGCCTGACTAATTTTTTAAATTTTTGTAGAGACGGAGTCTTGCTTTGTTGCCCCGACTGGTCTCAAACTCCTGGACTCAAGTCACCCACCCACCTCGGCCTCCCAAAGTGCTGGGATTACAGGCCTGAGCCACCGCGCCCGGCTGGAAGTTCCCCTTTATGAAGATTCACCTTCCAACTTGGTTTCCTGACTTGCTTACCTTAGAAGGGCCTGATAGTGATGCCTGATGCTCTTACTTGACATCTGACCACACGTCTCATTCACCTGAGGGTGCAGGAAATGGGATAGAGCCCTGGGCTTGAAATAAGAATACCTGGTGTCGGGTCCTTCCCTCTGTCTTACCAGCTGTGCGGCCTTGGGATGGTCACCCAGCCTCTCTGATTCTCCCTTTCTGCCCTGGCTTGGGACTACTCTGGGGAGTCCATCAGTGTGGCAAAGGAAATTGGCATCCAGGCAGAGCACTGGGGATGACTGGAGTGCCCAGAGAGCTGAGGGTAGTGCCTAGCAGAAATGTGGCTGGGTTGAGCCACATAGTAACAATATCGGCAGTCACTAACTGGAATGTGCCAGATGCCCATCTTATATGCCATCTCATTCTGTCCTCACAGGCATGAGGTCAGTATTGTATCCATTTCACAGATGGGGAAACTGAAGCTCAGAAAGACAGAGTCACATGCCCAGAAAGCAGCATGGCTGGGATTCAAGCCCAGGTGTGGCTGGATCTGAAACTTGCACTCCTAACCTCCCTGCCTCCTTGGGCCCCGGGATTGCCTTTCAATCTGCCTATTGAAAGATAGATTTACCCACATAGAGTCCTGCCTATGGCTGCCCCTTTTTAAGGCCCATTTGGCTCCTCCCTCTAAGATACAGGCAGAGTCTATCCACAGAGGGCAGTTCTGACCAAAACATGAGCCCCTCTACACTGTACCGTGCAACCTTTGTCTTCTGAGTTCCCACTGGTTCATTGTGTCCCCCAGGCCAAGGGTCATGGTCATCACTGGAGCCAGGGCTTCCCTCACAGAAGGCGCAGTTAAACATTTGCTAACCTAGACCTCGAGCTGCCACAAGGGACCCAGATGGATCTCTGCTTTCCATAAGCTTCCAGTGTAGTGGGAATAGGCACATGTTCTTTCAGATAGAGAGAAATCCAGGTGTTCACAGAGGGACCTCCCTCCTAGCCAGGGAGCTCAGACAGGGCTCACTTGCTGGAGGAGGTGACATCTGAGCAGGGTCTTGACAATGAATAAGGAGTGGCCCCTCCACCGAATGGGGGAGGGCATTGCATGCAGAGGACACCTCATGTGCAAAGGTGCAGAGGTGCAATGGAGCAGGAGTCTTAGCTGGGCATCTTCCAGAATTCCAACATTGGCAGGGGGGCACAGAACCAGCTGAGTCACTCTGCCCGTGAAGGAGCCCTCGGGAGAAATGCCAGCCTCATCTGTAAGAAGGAACACTCCCTACGGGGAAGTTCATGCTGCAGAGATCCAGAGAAGCTTTTCTGGCTCCTCTCCTGCTCCGCACGCTGTGCCAGAGCGTTGCTGCTAGGCTCAGGGGCTTACGGCTCGAGCAGTTCTTGGACGCCTCAAATCACAGGTGGAGGCTGCATCTCCATCTATGCCTTTGTCTCTCCAGAGACTGTCCCAAGTCATGCAGCAAAAACCGCTTGTTTCCAGTTTCCATTGAGCTAGGACTGACCCATCCCCTTCTTTTTTTTTTTTTTTTTTTTTTTTTTTAAGATGGAGTCTCGCTCTGGAGTGCAGTGGCGCGATCTCGGCTCACGGCCACCTCCGCTTCCCGGGTTCAAACGATTCCCCCACCTCAGCCTCCGGAGTAGCTGGGATTACAGGCACGCGCTACCATGCCCGGCTAATTTTTGTATTTTTAGTAGAGATGGGGTTTTGCCGTGTTGGTCAGGCCAGTATTGAACTCCTGGCCTCAAGCAATCCACCCGCCTCAGCCTCCCAAAGTGCTGGGATTACAGGCGTGAGCCACTGCGCCCGGCCTTGACCTGTCTCCTTCTAAGACCCTGGTCCTTCCACCTCGGCCCTCTTGGGAGTTTAACAGCCCCAAGTGTACTTTTTAAGACTATCTGCCCATAAGCCCCCATGCTCCACTGCAGAGGCCAAAGGGAAGGGAGGGTTTTCTTCCAGCTTTTCTGAGGACAGGTCTAGGGGATGGCAGAACTGAAGAGTTTTCACTCCCTAGGCAGGCATTGCCTGGCCGGGAAGCCTTCCCAGCAAGATCCCAGCCAACATCTGGCCCAAGACTCCACCA
Source organism: Homo sapiens (assembly GCF_000001405.40). Taxonomy (NCBI): domain Eukaryota; kingdom Metazoa; phylum Chordata; class Mammalia; order Primates; family Hominidae; genus Homo; species Homo sapiens. Next base: position 172,413,915 of record NC_000005.10, on the reverse strand, counting down.
ACCATATTTATCCAAATACTGCCTTTACTCCATCCTCAGACACACTTTTTCTCCCAGACATTATCTTCTGGAATTGGAGTATGCCTCCAACGTGTTGTGCATACTTAAATGGAATAGTTTTCCCTTCCCACTAAAAGCTATTACCATATGGAAGGTGTGTCACTGGGAAAATACCGTAGTTGCCTTTTTCCACACAGTTAGCAATTCTTTATTTCTAAAATAGAAAGAGGCATGATTATCTTGGGCAGTTGCAGCTAAACTCAGGTCCAGGCCCTGTTGCTGCCACCTGGTATGTAATTTTTCCTTTCCCAGAGAGTGGCTGACCAAACCAGTTAACCACTTTTTCTCATTTGTTTTTTCATTCATTCATTCATTCATTTACTCATTTGTTCTTTGCACAAATATCTAACAGGTGCTTACCGTGTACCAGTGAGGAGGTAGTGGGGCAGAAGAGAGGGCCAACAGTAGTAAGGGGGTTGAACTGAGAAAATACAGGCCTGGACTTAGGGGGAGCAGTAAGTATGGAGAGAAGCGGACAGACCGGAGGTGGTGGCAGCCTCCGTGCAGCACGTCCATCAGGACACCAGACACATTGATATTTAGACCAGCTCGTGGAGGGGCCAGAATCCTCAAAGACAACAAACCACAGATGGTAGACTAGGCCCAGGGACACCGTTGTGTTCAGGGCCCTGAAAGCCCTGCCCCAGGACCTTGTGGCTTTCTGCCAGCCTGCAGCTGCGCATGATGGCCCCAGGCCTTTCTCCACTTCCTGCTCCGGCTCCGCTGGGACTTGGGGGTTTTGTGATATTGAGGGGGTAAACCCCTCCCAAGTCCAGCCTCAATGGCTGCTGCTAACGCAAACCACGTGTGGTGGCCAGCTTCCATGGCGTGTTCTTTGGACAGCGTGTCTCGCATTCCCTCTACCGCAAGCTGATGTCTTGAAAACTGCTGATGGAGTGTTCTCTCTTTCTTCTTGGAAGCCTGTGATGTGGCAACTTGATGTGACTCCTTCTCCCTTCCTACTCCCCAAATGACTCATCTTCCTCTTCAGTTTCCAGTCCTCCTCACCCTGAGCGCCACTTCTTTTGTTATCTGGGGGGAGCGCGGGTAGTGGGTTTTCTCATTACCAAGGATGACATGGGTTAGGCTTTGAGGAGCATGCCTCTGCTCCTGCTGCTGCAGACAGCCTGGGCCTGGTCCCTTGGAGAACCTACTTCAAGGCCTTTGGATGCCTAGTGTTACAGTTCTCTGCATAGATGCAATTGGTGGCCGTAAACCTGGACACACCAAGACCAGCTCGGCAAGGAAAGCTTGCAGGGCTCTAATCCCCCAGCATCTTATCCTGAGTCCTAGTCTTTGCAACTAGCAAACTCACAGATGGCCGTTGACATTGGACACAGTGATGAAGAAAACGAAATAAAATTGGATGTGGTTTAAATAGGAGGATATTGTGATAGTCCAGCCCTGCACTGTCCGGGATGGCAGCTGCTCGTCACATGAGGGTATTTAAATGTAAATTCAAGTCAATTAAAGAAAATTTTTAAATTGAGCTCCTGAGTTGCAGGAGCAGCATTTCACCTGCTCAATAGCTACCAGGAGGCTAGTGGCCACTGGATTGGACAGCAAGATGTAGAACACCTCCATGATGGCAGAAAGTGCCAGCAGACAGCCCTGCTACAGCCACGGGGCCACCCGGGCAGTCCTGAGGGGTTTTTTGCCAACCTTAAAACACAGCCTCACAATCAAATATTATTCAGCCTTAAAAAAGAAGGAAATTCTGCCACATGCTATAAAATGGATGGAGCTTGAGGACCTTATGCTAAGTGAAATATGCCAGTCCCAAAAGGGCAAGTACTGTGTCATCCACTTATTGGAGGTAGCTACAGCAGTCAGATTCATAGAGGCAGAAAGCAGAGTAGTGGTTGCCAGGGCCCAGGGGGAGGGAGAGGGGGGAGTCACAGTTTCAGTTTTGGATGATGAAGAGGTTCCAGAGATGGATGGTGGTGATGTTTACACAACATTGTGAATGTGCTGAATGCCACTGAACTGTACACCCAAGTGTGGTTGAAATGGTAAATCTTCTCTTGTGTATATTTAACACGATTAAAAAAAAAAAACCACACAGCCTTACAGACTACTAAAAGTTATCCCCAAATAACTTTCAAAATAACATATTCAATATGGGCAGAGTGTAAGGAGCGGGGATTTCTTGCTGAGCATCTGGTGTGCTCCCCAGAGTTTCCACATAGCACTCATTTACCCAGCCCCGCCGCGGAGCAGGCTGCGTCCCTCATCCTGCAGACGGCCAAACAGGCTCAGGGATGAAGTGTCTGGCCAAAGACACACAGCTGGCATGAGGAAGCATCAGGATTGAACCCCAGGGCTGTTGGGTCCCCAGCAGTCATGTCTGTGGTTAGACTATGCAGTATTTAAACCCAGATCTGCCACCTCCAACAAATAAAACAAAGGGAGGCCTTTCAGCTCCTTGGGCCATGCTGATCTGGGTAAAATCAAGTCAGGACAAAGGGCAAGAGAGCAGCTTCTTAAGACCAGGCAGTAGAGACCCCTCTGAGGACTGAAAAACACAGCAGTGGCAGGGACTCATTGGCTGACATGTACATTCAGGCAGGGACTCCAAAGGAACCCGGAGATTGGAAATAGTCATGTTAGGGTGGACAGATTACTGGTGCATTCTTTAAAAAAAAAAAAGTTCCCTTTAATGGTGTTTCATTGTCTTAACAAATAAAATTGAGAAGGGAAAAAGTAGATAGTGTTAGGCAAAAACCTATAAATCTCTAACATACTCCACAGCTGAGACTGATTAATGGCTCTGCTTTCGAAAAGAAAGCATGCTGTTCACATGTGCACAGAATATTAAACTTACCTCATCTCAGGCTGACTTTTGTGTTCACGTGACACTCTGAAGCTGCCTCAAAGAGTGGTCTTAGGCAAAAAGAATGGAATTTAGACAAAGATGCATGGACTGGCTGGACACACCACTTAGCTGTGTGACTTCAGGCAAGTTCACTGCCCTCTCTGCTTCTCAGTTACCTCATCTGTGACAAGGGGAATGTAACATTTATGTCACAGAGTTACTGTCAAGGTCACATGAAATCGTATATGAGAGGACATGTTCACTGTGAACTGTTATATACGTGTTAGTTGTGATTACTAATTATTATTTAGTATTAGTAATGTGAATATTATTCCTCAGAGTTACTTAGCAAACATCTCCTGAAGTTGCCTCCCAAAGCGTTTGCTCAGTTGCGTTCATTGGTTCAGCCAATTTTTTTTTAATCAGTAAACTTTAGTTTTTAGAGAAGTTTTAGGTTCTCAGAAAAATTGACTGGAAAGTACAGAGCATAGCCCCTTGTCCTCGCCACTCACAACCTCTCTTCATCGACATCAAGTTCAGCCCGTTTTTATTGAGCATCTACTATGTGCTGGCATTGAAGAGCTCTTGGATTCACAAAAAGAAGGCTGCCTTTTCCAGCAAGTCCCCACTGTGGCCTCACCTGTCTCTGAATGACAGTGGACCAAGCATTTCCACCTCACCAGGCAACAGAACAGGGGACAATGACTCAAAACCACAAATAAAACCACATGTTTAAAATACTGGCAAGGATGTAGAGAAAAGGGAACTCTTACACACAGTTGGTGGGAACGTAAACTAGTATAGCCACCATGGGAAACAATGTAGAGGTTCCTCAAAACACTGCAAAGAGAACTTCCATATGATTCAGCAATCCCACCACTAGGCATTTATCCAAAGGAAAGGAAATCAGTATATCTAAGAGATAATACATCCCATGTTGATTGCAGCTCTAGTCACAGCAGCCAAGGTGTGGAATCAGCCTAAGTACCCATCAGCAGATGAATGGATAAAGAAATTGTGGTATGGGCCGGGCACAGTGGCTCATGCCTGTAATCCCAGCACTTTGGGAGGCCGGGGCAGGTGGATCACCTGAGGTCAGGAGTTCAAGACTAGCCTGACCAAGATGGTGAAACCCCGTCTGTACTAAAAATACAAAAATTAGCCAGGTGTGGTGACCCATGCCTGTAATCTCAGCTACCGGGGAGGCTGAGGCAGGAGAATCGCTTGAACCCAGGAGGCGGAGGCTGCAGTGAGCCAAGATCGTGCCATTGCACTCCAGCCTGGGCAACAAGAGCGAAATTCTGTCTCAAAATAAAGAAAAGAAAAGAAAAAGAAAAAGAAAATGTGGTATGCATACACAATTGAATACTATTCAGCCATCAAAAATAAGGAAATCCTGTCATTTGCAGCAACATAGATGCCACTGGAGGACATTATGTTAAGTGAAATAAGCCAGGAACATAAAGTTCTCACTTACATGTGGAAGCTAAAAAAGTTGATCTCATAAAGTGAAAAGTAGCACAGAGGATAACTAGAGGCTGGGGAGGGTAGGGGGAAGTGGGGAGATAGGGAGAGATTTGTAAAAGGAAACAAAATCACAGCTAAATAGGAGGAATAAGTTCTAGTGTTTTGAGTGTTTTTGGTTTTGTTTTTGTTTTGAGACAGAGTTTTGCTCTTGTTGTCCAGGCTGTAGTGCAATGGCGCGGTCTCGGCTCGCTGCAACCTCCACCTCCCAGGTTCAAGCAATTCTCCTGCCTCAGTCTCCCTAGTAGCTGGGATTACAGGTGCCCGCCACCACGCCCAGCTAATTTTTTTGTATTTTTAGTGGAGAGGGGGTTTCACTGTTAGTCAGGCTGGTCTCGATCTCCTGACCTCAGGCCATCCACCCACCTCGGCCTCTCAGAGTGCTGGGGTTACAGGTGTGAGCCACCGCGCCTGGCCAGTTCTAGTGTTTTATAGTACTGTGGGATGACTATAGTTAACAATAGCGTATTATATAGTTTCAGATAGCTGGAAAGAAAACATTGAATATTTCTAACACAAATAAATGATACATGTTTGAGATGATGAATGTGTAAATATGCTGATCTGATCACTACATATTATGTGAATCAACATTACTAATGTACCCCATGAATATATACAATTATTATGTGTCAATTAAAAATTAAATTTTAGAAATTTAAAAATTAAAATAAACTAGAAAGTGAAAACCCAGGCCAGGCGTGGTGGCTCATGTCTGTAATCCCAGCAGTTTGAGAGGCCGAGGCAGGCAGATCACCTGAGGTTAGGAGTTCGAGACCAGCCTGGCCAACATGGTAAAACCCCGTCTCTACTAAAAATAAAGTTAGGCAGGCGCCTGTAATCCCAACTACTTGGGAGGCTGAGGCAGGAGAATTTCTTGAACCTGGGAGGTGGAGGTTGCAGTGAACCAAGACCATGCCATTGCACCCCAGCCTGGGCAACAAGAGGGAAACTCCATCTCAAAAAAAAAAAAAAAAAAAAAGTGATAACCCAAAGCACACAAAAGAAAGGCAGTAATTAAGATAAGAAATTGACAGCCTGAGCAACATGGCAAAAGCCATCTGTACAAAATACAAAAAAATTAGCTGAGCATGGTGGCACACGCCTATAGTCCCAGCTGCTCTGGAGGCTGAGATGGGAGGATCACCTGAGCCCAGGGAGATTGAGGCTGCAGTGAGCCATGATTGTGCCACCGCACTCCAGCCTGGGTGACAGAGCAAGACCCTGTCTCAAAAAAGAAAAGAAATTGAGAACAGAAAAAGAATAAAGAAAATCAGTGAAACTAAAAGCAAGTTCTTTGAAACGATAAAGATTAATAAACCTGTAGCTAGCGACCAAGGGAAAAAAGAGAGAAGGAAAAAAAAAAACCCACAGTTTAAAAGTTTAAAGACTTCTGGGGCAAGGCCGTGCATTCCAGCAGCTTCCAGGATGCGCAGCCAAGCTGAGGCTGACTCACCTGCCCAGGGCATCGTGTAGAACAGCACCAAAGAGGCCGGGAGCTCCAGCCTGGGAAAGCAGCCCTGGCCTTTTTAATTGTCTTTGTAGCATTTCAGAGGCGAGGTGATTTGATGATAAAGAAGCAAGTGGTCTTCAGTCTCTGGCCCCTCCGCTTTGTTGGCTACAGGCCTTCAGTTTCCTGGACAGTCAGGTCCACCTTAAAGCAATGATCGAGGATTTAATGAGGGAATGTTTCTAAAGAATCTAGCCCATGTCTGGCAGATAGTAGGTGTTTCGTATACATATCTCTGTTCTCTCCCACTTCGGGTCCTCCCCTCCCTCCCCAAATGCCTACACAATAGCTGGTGTATTTCTCCTGGACTTTTCAAAGTTTCTTTTATTCCATGAGAGGGACAGATCTCAAGTGCCAGAGTGACTTTCCTGTGGGCAGGCTTTTCACATTCCAGCCATTACTCCACAAGGCTTGGGACTTTCTCCCTCACCATCTGCTTTGATTCCTTGACCCGTGTACTAAACAGGGTAGGTTAAGATGCTGCTTATGCAGATAACCTCACTATACAACCAGAGCATCTTGGCATAGCTCACTCAGGCCACATGTCCAGCAGAGGTCACTGGGGTCTTTGGACCTCATCCCATGACCGCGGCCAGCAGAGAAGCCAGGCTCTGGAGAGTGGCCAATCCCCATGGAAGAGGGAAATAGCAAGTGGGAAAGCATCCACCAGTCATCATCTTCCACCCTGAAGTGACACATGTCTCCAGCTCACATGGATTGGCCACATCCTACTTCAAGGGACTGGGGAAAGTACAAATCTACCATGTGCTCAGAAGAAGAACCAGAAATATTTGACAACAGCGTTAATGACTTCCGCAGCCCAGCTTTAATCCATAAAATAACGCTGCAAGTCAGTGTCCTTATGGCAGACTTAAAGATGAGGTCCTAAAAGGTTTTGTCACTTTCCTAAGACCCCATGGGGAGTAAGAAGCAGATCCTCGTGATTTTGTATGCCAAATCCGATATTTCACATGAAGTCCCTGAAGCTTTCAGAGATACGTTTATGGTACTATGAAAGGTTTTTGTTTTGGGGACTCTGCCCTCTTGTACCTCTACCCCCACAGCAGCCTACACCTCCCTCTCTTTGCACCACCTTTTAATGATCAGTTCTCTTCTCAGTCCCCTCTCTAGATTATGAATCTTTTCCTCGCTGTCTCCTGTTCCTCTAGCACAGAGCCAGGCCCAAAGCTATCTGTTGAGCCGACCTGAAGAATTCTTCCTGGGTCAGGGGAATATAGTGCCCTCATAAGCATGAACCGAACCACATTGATTGGATGCTAATGATTTATTCCTTACCTCAACCCAGAAATACTTAGGAGCAGGATGACCTGCTGTCCATGAAATCCTGGTGGCCCTGAGAGTGTTGTTCACGTTTCAGATCCTGTGGATGGAGAACCCCAGGAAAGCCGGGAATGGTCTCTCCTAACTCTGAACCTTCACAAATCTGGCGGCTGTGGATATAAACATTGTTTTCATGGGGTTTCTAGGTCCAACTGAAATTGCCTTTCCCATTAGTTTGGGTTTCTGGAAAGCTGAACGCAGTGAACTTTTAGTATATCACATCACATATTTCACATAATTTCTTTAAAATGTCCTAGATGATGTTTAGTGCATTATGAAAGGTTTTTGTTTTTGGTATTCGCCCCCCACTTAGATGCAGATGTTGGACAAATTTCCCATGGAAGGAGGACAGAAGGACCCCAAGCAGCGGATCATCCCCTTTCTGCCAGGTAGGTGAGATGGGTGCTCTCAGACTGGGACACTGGGGGCTCTGTTACAGTTCCCAGAGCCCTTGGGACAGTTTATCAGCTTGTCTTCCTTTATCAGGGGACACCATCCCACTGACCAGAATCTCAGCCATTTGTAGAAATTAACCCATTTATGCCGGAGGTTGCAATTTTTTGTATTTTTACATGAGTGAAAAATCAGACCTTGGCAGTGACCTTGAGCAGTAATATATAAATAATTCCCACAGGCTTAGCATTCCAATAATGGAACACTAGGCATAAGTGGGTTAATGACTGAGTACTTGGGTTTTGGCATTAGATGCTACACCATTTACTAGCTGATGAATGACTTTGAGAAGACCCTTTACCTCTGGGATCCTCAGTTTCTCCCATCTCTAAAATGGGAATAATTCGAACTCAGAAAGTTTTTCTAGTGAGTGCTTTCTGTTTCTATAACTATGGTATTCGTTTTCTATTCTTACATAACAAATTACCACCAATTTAATAGCTTAAAACACCCATGTGTTACCTCACAGGTCTGTGGGCCAAAAATCCAGGCAGGGTTTTTGGCCCAACTGGGTTCTGCTCAAGGTCTCATGAGGCTGAAGTCAAGATGTCAGCTGAGCCAAGCTCTTATCTGGAAGACCTACAGAAAAGTCTACTTCCAGCCTCCACGTAGATTGTTGGCAGAGTTCAGCTCGTCAGAGCTATAGGACCAAGATCTGTTTCCGTGCTGGCTGCCACCCTCTCATCCTCTAAAAGCTTCCCACATCCCTCATCACAGGAGCCCTCTCCATCTCCCAGCCAACAGTGGGGCAGCAAATCTGACTAGGGCTTCAGATCCCTCTGACTTTGCCTTCTGCCACCGGTCAGGGAAAGCTGTCTGCTTTTAAGGACTCATACAATTATTACCTGACTAATCCAGGATAATCTCCCTCTTCTAAAGTGAACGGAAGGCATATAATAGCTCGTCACATATACAAGCTTTGGGGATTAGGGCGGCACATCCTTGGGGGATATTTTAGAAAGTTTATGAACCTACCTCACATGGCTACCAGGCAGCACACCAGCTGCTGTGCAGCGTTTAATGCAATTATGCCTAGTCTCTGTTCCCAAGGCAGTCAGTCTCCATCCCTCCAAATTCTTACCAAAGAATACTATCACGGCTTCAGCTCAAAGAGAGGGGTTACCCAAACCAGTGTTACTGCTTCAAGTATAATAATAGCTCCCTACTGTGGGCCAGTCACTCAGTGCTTTACTTTCATTACCTCGTTTGCTCCTCAGAGCAGCCCTGCGGCATAGGCATTACTGCACCCATTTCACAGATGAGGAAAATTGAGGCTCAGGGAACCTATGGGCGCTTGCACAGATGGCAGAACTGGAATTCAGACACAGGTATGGCTGGCTCCAAAATTTGTGCCTGGAGTCAGACAACCTGGGTTCCAATCCCAGCATGCCCCCCTCACCAACTCTGTCACCCTGGGTAGATGACTTCATTTGCAAATTGGAGATAATGATGGTACTAAAATGATGAAGTTGTTATGATGATTCTGTAAATGCCTGGCAGGTCACTAACAGCTATCAAGCACTTACTATGATGATTTTTATGTACTGAAAATCAGCAATCTGACAATCACCCTAAGTCACAGATATTTAGAGCTGGACGGGCCCTTTAGATCCTTTTTCAAGGCCAGGCATGGTGGCTCACACCTGTAATCCTAGCACTTTGGGAAGCCAAGGTGAGTGGATTATCTGAGGCTAGGAGTTTGAGACCAGGCTGGCCAACATGGCAAAACCCCTTCTCTACTAAAAATATAAAAATTAGCTGGGCGTGGTGGCGGGCACCTATAATCCCAGCTACTTGGGAGGCTGAGGCTTGAACCCGGGCAGTGGAGGTTGCAGTGAGCTGAGATTGCACCACTTCAGCCTGGGTGAAAGAGTGAAACTCTATCTCAAAAAAAAATATATATATATATATCTTTTTTCAGCAAAGGGAACAGGTCTAGAGATTGGGGGGACTCCCTGGGTCACACAAGTGCCAGTCTCCCAACCCCCTAGTCCAGAACATAGTGGGTTCTTCAGGTATTAATGTCACTGAATGGGTTTAGAGACAGGGCGCATGTGTTTGCCAGGCCTCCTCCACTGGGAGAATCCTTTACCTAAAAAAGCTAACATTTGTAGTTTCTCCACTGGCAAAGTGTACAACCATGCTGGAATTTTCTTTCCTGCTGGAGAAAACCCCGCTGGCCAGCTGCGGCAGCCAAATGTCAGCGCTCCAAAGCGTGTGCTTCAGAGTCAAACAGACTAGCCTGTGACCTCAAGCAAGCGACATCCCCCTCTGAGCCTCAGTTTCCACATCTGTTAAAAACGGGACAGTGAGCCCTGCTTCACAAGGTCCAGTTCCTGGCACATAGTAGATTATTGGTAAAGGCAGAAACAGGGTCCTGGGACATGCCTTTGGAATCTCTTGGTTTCACATGTTAGAGTCCTCCTTAAATGACCATTCTGGATATTCAAGGTAAACTGGACTCCAAATGTAGCTTTTTTACATCAAGAAAGGAAAGGAAGGCAGTGAGTTCTAACTCTTTACTGGATAAAAGGCAAACTCAGCTCTGGAAAACTACCCAAGACAGAGAAGAACTTGAGCCGACCCTCTCCCAAGCTCTTAAAAGCTTTCATGGTTACGTAATCCATCTCCACCAAAGAATTAATGAAAATGCCGTTCCCAGGGACTTGGTCCCTTCTCAAGGCACCCACTTGTGGCTTGGAGAGGTCCTGCTGGACCCCAGGACCCCGCTGGGCCCCAGGACCCCGGACCACCCCTTCTGAGCCACCTCTTAGCTTTTCCTCAAGGCCGAGGGTGAGGCCAAGGCAGGGAAGCACGAAAGAAGCGCCCCCTCTCCTAGGGGTCAGTTTTCTGCCAAGACTGCCGCGTCAGCAGAACAAAAGCAAGTCTCATGTTAGCACAAAGGCGGGGGAGGGGAGAGCAGCCTGCACAGTTTTCCATCCCAGGAGGAGCTGGGGAAGCCAACTTGGCAGAGGATGCTGCCTGAAAAATAGGAATTACAGTCTGGCCTTCCTCCACAGTGGAAAACAAAAGCCGACCATTCCCACCAAAGGCTGTGCTCGCCTCTGAACACCCTTTCCACTCCAGGAAGGCAATCGGCTCACCCTCCTTCCCTGAGATGCACACAGAAACACCTCATGTCAGGCACAGGCCGGGGCCGCTGCCCATGGCACCTCACCAGGGAGGCCCTGGCCAAGGAGGTGCTGGCTCCCATGCCTACCACTGGCCTCACGGTTCTGCCCCACAGCCAGGGCCTGAGCCACAACTCGGGCTCTGCTGTGGGTAAATGACAAATTGGCCTGCTGGAGGCAGGTTTAAGAAAGCTGGGAGTTGAGGAAAGAACGTGCACTCTGAATTGCAGAGTGCATGAATCATCTAAAGTCTAAAGTAATTGCCCCTTTGCAAGCACCTACTAAGGGCCACCCCGGTGCTGGGTGTCATGGAGACAGCTTCTAAGAGCTAGGGGCTGCTGTCCCATTTCACAGATGAGGAGACTGAGGCTCCGGGAGGTAAATGCCTTCCCCAAAATTCCCCCTATTGGGGGAACCCACCCCCGATAATTCAATGTGGGTCCTTTTCTATTTTCCCTAAGTGTCGGCTGGTCTGAGAAATAAAGGGAAAGAGTACAGAAGAGAGAAATTTTAAAGCTGGTGTCTGGGGGAGACATCACATGTCGGCAGGTTCCGTGATGCCCTGCAAGCCGCAAAACCAGCAAGTTTTTATTAGTGATTTTCAAAAGGGGAGGGAGTGTACGAATAGGGTGTGGGTCACAGAGATCACATGCTTCACAAGGTAATAAAATATCACAAGGCAAATGGAGTCAGGGTGAGATCACAGGACCGGGGCAAAATTTAAATTGCTAATGAAGTTTCGGGCATGCATTGTCATTGATAACACCTTATCAGGAGACAGGGTTTGAGAGCAGACAACGGTCTGACCAAAATTTATGAGGCAGGAATTTCCTCATCCTAATAAGCCTGGGAGTGCTACAGGAGACTGGGGCTTATTTCATCCCTTACATACAACCATAAAAGACAAGACGTTCCCAGAGTGGCCATTTCAGATACCTCCCCCTAGGAATGCATTCTCTTTCTCAGGGCTGTTCCTTGCTGAGAAAAAGAATTCAGCGATATTTCTCCTATTTGCTTTTGAAAGAAGAGAAATATGGCTCTGTTCCGCCCAGCTCTCAGGCAGCCAGACCTAATGGTTATCTCCCTTGTTCCCTCAACATTGCTGTTATCCTGTTCTTTTTTCAAGGTGCCCAGATTTCATGTTGTTTAAACAATTTGTGCAGTTAACGCAATCATCACAGGGTCCTGAGGCGACATACATCCTCAGCTTACGAAGATGATGGGGTTAAGAGATTAAAGTAAAGACAGGCATAGGAAATCAGAAGAATATTGATTGGGGAAGTGATACATGTCCCTGAAATCTTCATGGACATTTGTTGTTCTGTATGTTCAGAGATTGCAGTAAAGACAGGCGTAAGAAATTATAAAAGTATTAATTTGGGGAACTAATAAATGTCCATGAAATCTTCACAATTTATGTTCTTCTGCCACGGCTTCAGCTGGTCCCTTCGTTCGGGGTCCCTGACTTCCTACAACATCTCTCCCTTTCTTTTTATATAAATGTGCCATGGCGATGAAGGCTTGTTCGTTCTCTCAATTTTGATGCCGGATTCTTTGACTGGTCCGGCACACTAAAGATAAGCCAATTAAACAGAGAAACATAATTCTAAGATTTACTACAGTGGAGCCCCCAATAGACTTAATCCAAGTCGTGGGGTTTAATCCAGAAGATTTTCTGCCACCTGATCTAACGCCTCAGCTCCAGGCACAATGGATAAATGAGCTTGAGAGGCTTCAAAAATTTGTTTCTTTAATTTAGTTATGTCCAATGATAAATTATCTTCCCTACCTAGAAGGTGTCCTTTGACCATTTCCCATGAATGATCAGTCTCATTGTAGGAATACGGGGTGATACAGAAATCCGAAGTATTCCAATCACACTGCATTTGAATGTGATGTTCGAGACTCACCACCCAATCTCCAAGCCAAATAACAGACTGTCTTAAATCATTAATTTGATTAGCCAATTTTTGATCAATGCCTTGTTGAGAATTCCACATTTGGGTGGAATTGGCTTGCCAATCGTTAACAAAATGAGCCGTTTGAATAGATTGATGTAACGCCATTCCAGCAGTGGTGGCCAGTGCAGTGACTATAATTAGGCCTATGATCACAGCGCTTAAAGTGAAAACAAATCTCTTAGATCTTTTTAGAATTTGCTGTAACACTTCATTAATTAAATGTATTGAGGGGGAGGATTCCCAAGGTCTGGGCAAAGTTACCAGAATGCAGATTCCTTCTCGAGCCCGAACCAACATTACACTTTCCCTGGAGTCAAAATGGGAGTTAATACAAGTGTATAAATGACAATTAATGCATTGGACAGTTTGATTGTTCGTCCAAATTTTGATATTTCCTACTAACAGCATGTAAGGAAGCTTAACACAACTCTGTGTGGGAACAGTCAGGTTGGAGGTAAGTAAAGCAGAATGTCTGGATCTATGGTGATACTGAGAGAGGGGGACGGTAGTGGGGACAACAGACAGAATAGTTTTCCCTTCCCATACTTGCAGTCCAGACATGGCAAGAGCCAATTTCCAAAGTTCTGGGTGTTCTGGGCTCAGAATGGGGAGTATCATATGAGGCCTCAGGGGGGTAATGCCTTTATCTTCCCATTTTAAGGGAAAGAACAAGCTGAACCTCCTATGCAAAGTAGAATGATGATTCTCGTTCTCCCGATAAGAAATAAAATAAGTAGCCTCCAGGCATTCCCTTCTGCCAGAGGAGCAATTGTTTTTTAAATAGCCCTTTGGTGCCCAGTCTATTACTAAACCATATGAGTCATTTTTTAATATTACTGCATGTGAGTTAACACAGTCTTCTGAGATTAAAGTTTTAGATGGGCCCTCAAAATTTTTAGGGCATGGTTTTCCTCAGGTTTATATTGAAAGTATGGGGTATCTCCCAGTACTCCCCCTTTCATTTGTTTCAAAGGAGAAAGGGAGAGGCCGGAGACCAAATGTCCCGGTTCCTCTGTAGCTGATCTCTCTGGAAGATAAGTAGCCCAGACTTGAGTTTCTAGATGGATACAACCAGGTGCATGTTCAAGGCACAGAGGGGGGTATTTATCACCCGTGGTAACATTAAATGCAGTTCCTTCTTCTCCTGGTTGAGCAGGGCAACAGTCATCTGTAGCTCCAGGCATCCACACACTATCATTAGTGTAGATTTCTGCAGGAACATCTATCCAGGTGAGAGGTCGAATAAGTGCAGGAAAAGGCACATAAGCCCAATAAGAATAATTTTGTGTAGCAGGTAAATCAGTGTGAGAGGAAACTGGTGAGACAGAAAGTATAAGGAGGAGAATAATTAAATAAAACCCAGTGTAAGCGAGATTGAGTGCTGAAGGAGGAAGAGAAGAACAGAGGGATGTTATTGTCAGGCTAATAGAAATGGTGAGATTTTTAGGTTTGTAAGGAGAAAAAGAAAGGCAATCAGGAAAAGTGGAATTAGTTAGATGGGTCTCCATTGCCATCAAGGAGGATTGAATCAGACCCATTGTGATTTGGTGTGCCGGCTTCTAAGGAGTTGGCACAGATCTCACCACGTCTGAGGGCAGTCTCTGACGCGGACGTCTTTTCCCTGCGGTTTTCTTTTGATGATCTCCTGGTGAAACACAAGCATATCCTCTTTCCCATGTTAAGTAGAATAAGAGACAATATTTAAAGGTTTGGGGAAATCCTGTAAGGCAGTATTTATAGCAATTAACTCAGCCTTTTGAGCAGAGGTATAAGGGGTAGAAATAAGCTTGTTTGTAGGACCTACATAACCAGCATTTACATTTCTGGAGCCATCAGTGAACACTGTAACGGCCTCAGGAATGGGCTGATCTTTGGTTAATCGAGGGACCACCCAAGATGTCATTTTTATAAAATCAAACAATTTGTTCTTTGGATAATGATTGTCAATAATGCCAATAAAATCAGCCAAGTGAATTTGCCATAGTATGGAATGTTGAAAGGCAGCTTGAACTTCAAGCTGTTTTAAAGGAACTTCAGTTAAATTCAGATCAAATCTGGAAATTTTAAGTATTCTACACTGAGCCTGTCCAATTAAGGTGGCCATTTGATCTAGATAAACAGACAAATTTTTGACACAGAATGAGGAAGAAAACACCACTCCACTAAATCATTATGTTGAACTATTAGTCCAGTAAGGGAGTGTAATGAAGCGAAAACCAGAAGCTGAAAAGGCTGAAACGGCTGTACTCTAGATAACTGGAATTTCCTCTACGAATTCCAGTTCTAGTGAAGCCTCAGGGGTCAGTCCTGGGACTGCGGAGATTGGAATCTCCCCATGGTGTAGAAAACAAGTTAGACAGCACATAGGTTGGAATACCTAAAGTAGGTCTTAAATAATTAATGTTACCCAAAAGTTTTTGGAAGTCATTTAAAGTTTTCAAAGAATCTTTCCTAATTTGAACTTTTTGAGGTTGAATATGTTGTTTATCGACCACCATTCCTAAATATTGAACAGGAGTGGTCTGTTGAAGTTTATCCTGAGTGATGTGTAATCCAGCCTCTGTAACACGGCGGCTCAAACTTTGATAACAGTCAATTAATTCTTTATCAGTGGGGGCAGCAATTAAAATATCATCAATATAATGAAGAATATAGGCCTGGGGAAATTGGGCTCAAACTGTTGAAAGCACTTGCCCAACATAAAGCTGGAAGATTGTAGGGCTATTTAGCATTCCCTGAGGAAGTACTTTCCATTGATAATGAACTGCAGGCTCCTGACTATTGATAGATGGTACAGTAAAAGCAAATTTTTCACAATCCAATTTATGTAAAGGAATATGAAAAAAACAATCTTTAAGATCAATAACTATGAGAGGCCAATTTTTAGGTATTAAAGCATGGGCAGGCATGCCGGTTTCAACGGCCCCCATAGGTTTAATTACAGTGTTAATAGCCCTTAAATTGGTTACCATCCGCCACTTGCCTGATTTCTTTTTTACCAGAAACACAGGAGAATTCCAGGGGGAAGGAGAAGGTTCCACATTTCCAAGTTGTAACTGTTCAGAAACCAAGTGAGTTAAAGCCTCCAGTTTTTCTTTAGAGAGCGGCCACTGCTGAATCCAAACAGGTGTGTCAGATTTCCATTGTAAAGGGATAGGATCAGGAGGCGTGGCAGCGGCCGCCACTAAAAAGGATAACCTAAACCCGCCCTGTTTTCTTTTACAGTAACTGGGAGGGGTTTAGTAATCCTTTCATGCTTTGGACCGAGACCGAGCCCAGGAACAAACCCCATGTTTTCCATCATATGCTGACTGGGAGCACTATAAGAGTTACGTGGAATATTAATTTCAGCCCCCCATTGTGCCAGTAAATCTCTACCAAAGGGAATTGGGTTCCCACATGCACTTAGGAAAAAAGAAAGACCATGTTGGGTGCCAGATATCGGGGGAACCCGCCCCCAATAATTCAATGTTATTTCACGTAGGTTCTTTTCTATTTCCCTAAGTGTCGGCCAGTCTGAGAAATAAAGGGAAAGAGTACAAAAGAGAGAAATTTTAAAGCTGGGTGTCCGGGGGAGACATCACATGTCGGCAGGTTCTGTGATGCCCCCCAAGCTGCAAAACCAGCAAGTTTTATTAGTGATTTTCAAAAGGGGAGGGAGTGTACGAATAGGGTGTGGGTCACAGAGATCATGTGCTTCACAAGGTAATAAAATATTACAAGGCAAATGGAGGCAGGGCAAGATCACAGGACCGGGGCAAAATTTAAATTGCTAATGAAGTTTCGGGCATGCATTGTCATTGATAACACCTTATCAGGAGACAGGGTTTGAGAGCAGACAACGGTCTGACCAAAATTTATTAGGCGGGAATTTCCTCATCCTAATAGGACTGGGAGCGCTACAGGAGACCGGAGCTTATTTCATCCCTTATCTGCAACCATAAAAGACAGACGTTCCCAGAGTGGCCATTTCAGAGACCTCCCCCTAGGAATGCATTCTCTTTCTCAGGGCTGTTCCTTGCTGAGAAAAAGAATTCAGCAATATTTCTCCTATTTGCTTTTGAAAGAAGAGAAATATGGCTCTGTTCCGCCTGGCTCTCAGGCAGCCAGACCTAAAGGTTATCTCCCTTGTGATACTTTGTGATACGTATTCATCTACATTTTTTTCTTTCTTTTTTTGAGACAGAGTTTTGCTCTTGTCACCCAGGCTGGAGTGCAATGGCATGATCTCAGCTCACTGCAACCTCCATCTCCTGGGTTCAAGCGATTCTCCTGCCTCAGTCTCCTGAGTAGCTGGGATTACAGGCATGTGCCACCAGCTAATTTTTGTATTTTTAGTAGAGACGGGGTTTTACCACGTTGGCCAGGCTAGTCTCAAATTCCTGACCTCAGGTTATCCACCTGCCTTGACTTCCCAAAATGTGGGGATTACAGGCGTGAGCCACCGCACCCAGCCTAGATATTTTTTTAATTGGTGAAAATGAGCAAAAAAAAAAAAAAAAAAGGCTTTCTCTCTTTTTTTAAATTTACCTTGTCTACCTAGTTTCCAAATAGTGTCCTTTTGCACCAGAGCAAGTTGTCCAGTTGTTTAAAATGTTGGATTAGCTACATGGTCTTTTAGGGTGCAAATCTCCTTTACCACTTTGCATTGCAAATCTTTAAAAGTCAGTAGGGTTGTTTTTCAACATTCCTTCCAGTTCTGTCATATGAAAATTCTTACTATACTAGCCTCTTTTTTTTTTTGAGACGGAGTCTCACTTATTCTGTCACCCAGGCTGGAGTGCTGTCGTATGATCTTGGATCACTGCATCCTCTGCCTCCCAGATGCGAGTGATTCTCCTGCCTTAGCTTCCTGAGTAGCTGGGACTACAGGCACATGCTACCACACCAGGCTGATTTTTTTTTTTTTTTTTTTTTTTTTTGTATTTTTAGTAGAGACAGAGTTTTGCCATGTTGGCCAGGTTGGTCTCAAACTCCTGACCTCAAGTGATCCACCCACCTCGGCCTCCCAAACTGCTGGGATTACAGGCGTGAGTCACCACGCCCAATCCTTACTAGACTTTTCTATGCCATCCTATCCCTGCCTGCCCGAGCTTGATCTGTGGAGATAGCCATCTCACCAGAAACCGTCTTAGATCAATAGTAATCTCTCTTCACCTTGCCAGCCTCTTGACCCAAATTCCTCTTTTTAACCAACCTCCTAGGACCAGAAATAGAGAGAGCTCTTAGTAGGTCTCCATGCTCTGCTCTCCAGAGCAGCTTTGGTCCTCCCACACCTTCCCCTTGACCTACCCATAGATACCCCCGGTTGCTCTGCACGAGCTTGGTAGAGGCTTATCTCCATCTCCCATGTCTTTGGCCCTCCTTTGTATCTTATTTCTGATTTCCCCCACCCCTGACTGTGTGGTAGATTCAGAATGGTGAGTCATGTGGTCTTAACCCTTAGTGCATATGCTTCGCCACTATCTCCCCAAGAGAGGATATCCTGTGTAAACTCTCTGAGAACCCACTGATTTGCTTTAAACAGGCATCGCCCATGACATTTCAATGTCTTGGATATTTCCAGAGATCTTCAGTGGCATCATGTATATACCCGTGTTTTCCTGTGACCCACATTCTCTACCCATGTGTCATATTGGTGGTTCATAGCCCCATGCCCCAGAGTTTCGGATGTTGTGAAGCAGGTCATGGACTCTCAGTTAATATTTGGTGAAATAAGAGAACTCAAAACCCTTCTCTTACGAACACTAACTGGGGAAGGAACTGGAAGGATCTGTCCTCTTTGCAGGTGGAAGCCACATTCATACATTTATCAAACATTATTGTCACAAAATGGACTGAGACGCAGTCAGTTCCTATTGGTGCAGAGCACATGATTGGTAGGACAGAAGAAGTGCTATAAAAATAAATAATGTGTGCAGTCAGAAAGAGCCAGGAACTCTTAACCCCTATGAGGGATGGTGGTGGGGATGCATGGGGAGGTGTCCAGGCAGAGGGGAGGGCTCAGAATGGTAGAGCACGGGGGTTTAGGGAACATGAGGAAAAGGCAGAGGGTGAATGAGGAGAAGGGAGGAGACTGAACTATTGCTGAGGGCATGTCTGTTTGTCCACTGTACTGTTCACCCAGCCAGAATCCTGGAGTTGGACAGGACCTCACATGCTCGGGTCCAACCTTCTTTCTTCATCAGGTAGGAGCGGCTTCCTTCCACAGTTGCTTCCAGCCTCCCTTATCTCACCAAAACTTATTCCGTGGGTCCCATTCCCCCAAGCCCTTGTGTTAAAGCTGTGAACAGGGTTTAGGGGGACCTCACATGGGCTTATCCAAGCCTCACGGAAGTCCAGTGGGGGTACCTTGATCGCAGCCAGGAATTTTGGCACCACTCAGACCTACCCTAGGAACCGCCATGTCCACACCCTCTCAGGTTGCTGAGAGCTTGTCCCTGTTCCCTGACAACACTGTCTTTGCTCTCATCTTCTGCAGGTAAGATTCTCTTCAGACGAAGCCACATCCGGGACGTGGCTGTCAAACGCCTGATACCAATTGATGAATACTGTAAGGTAAGGCTGAGAAATGCCCACGCAGTCTTCCCTGTAGGTGTATTCTGTTTTCTTTTCTTTTTCTGGCTACAAGATGCTCAACAATAAAAATTTGTGCAATTCAAAGGAATGTAAAGAAATTAGGGGG
The DNA here is from genome assembly GCF_000001405.40 of Homo sapiens. NCBI lineage: Eukaryota > Metazoa > Chordata > Mammalia > Primates > Hominidae > Homo > Homo sapiens. Next base: position 172,394,435 of record NC_000005.10, on the reverse strand, counting down.
AAAATCATTCATTATCATTCAACTTAGAGGCAACAGTTAGTTATTAAGGGTTTTACATATTTCCTTTCCACCTTTTCTTTATGTGCATTTCTTAATGATGTTGAGACCATTCTGTATGTGTAATTTTGTTGCTCTTTCTCTTTTGCCATAATTATTATGTGAGAATTTCCCTACTATTAAAACATCCTCTTGACTGGGTACAGTGGCTCACGCCTATAATCCCAGCATTTTGGGAGGCCGAGGCAGGTGGATCACTTGAAGTCAGGAGTTCGAGACCAGCCTGACCAAACATGTTGAAACCCCATCTATACTAAAAATACAAAAATTAGCCAGGTGTGGTGGGACACACCTGTAGTCCCAGCTACTCGGGAGGCCGAGGCAGGAGAATCGCTTGAACCTGGGAGGTGGAGGTTGCAGTGAGCTGAGATGGCACAATACACTCCCACCTGGGCAACAGAGTGAGGCTCTGTCTCAAAAAAAAAAAAATCCTCTTAAGCCTACTTTTAATGACCACGTAGTATTCCATTATACATTCATGCTTCCAAAGTTATTTAGCCAATCCCTGTTGTTTGATGGTGCAGCAGCTTCCTGTCCCTTGAACGTCCTAAACAACAAGAGACCTGCCTTTTGGTTATATTTCATTTGACTTGAGGCTATAGTCAGGAAAGGAGCATGTTTTTATATTGTTTAGCAGCTTTTCTTTGGTATTTGTTTCTCCAAGTTAAAATCACTAGCGATTCTGATGGGAGAGGGGTAGGAATAGCAAGAAATGTTTTTTAAATGGAGCAGTGAACAATCTCCCCCTCAGATCAGGAACAAAGCAAGTATGTTTACCCTTACATGTCTGTTCTACATTTTACTAGGGGACTAGCCAGTGTAAGCACACAAAAAAGAAAGAAAAGCCATCCAGATTGGGAAGGAAAGAGTATTGACTCTTGACTCACAGATGACACGATTCTCTATGCAGAAAATCATAAGAGATCCATCAAAAAAATATTAGGACAAATCAATGAGTTTAGTAAAATCAGGATAAAAGCTCAATATACAGAAAACAATTGTATTTCTAAATCCTAGGAACAAATAATCCAGAAATGAAATTAAGAAAACAGTCCCACTCCCAATAGCATCAAAAAGAATAAAATACTTAGAAATAAATTTAACAAAAGAAGTGCAGGGTTTATATAAAACATTTCAATGAAAATTAAAGAAGATCTAAATGCATGGAGAGATATTCCATACTTGTGGATTGGAAGACTCAATATTGTTAAAATGGAACTCCTCCCAGAATGAATCTACATATTCAATACAATCCCTGTCAAAATCTTTTCTATAGGCTTTTTTATAGAAATTGACAAGCCAATCCTCAAGTGTATGTGGAAATATAAAGGATCCAGAATAGTCAAAACACTTTTGAAAAAGAACAACGTTAGATGAGCCATATTACCCATTTTGAAAACTGCCTACAAGGTGCAGTAATCAGGATAGTATGGTACTGACAAAAATAGGCATGTAGATCAGCGGAACAACATTGAGAGTCCAGAAATAAAATCCTACAAAATGTTTGATCAGCTGATATTCCACAAAGGTGCCAAGACAATTCACTGGCAAAAGGATAGTTTTTGTTTGTTTATTTGTTTTTGTTTTTGTTTTTGAGATGGAGTCTCGCCCTGTTGCCCAGGCTGGAGTGCCGTGGCGCCATCTCGGCTCACTACAACCTCCGCCTCCTGGGTTCAAGGGATTCTCCTGCCTCAGCCTCCTGAGTCGCTGGGATTACAGGCACCCACCACCATGCCTGGCTAATTTTTTTTTTTTTTTTGTATTTTTAGTAGAGACGGGGTTACACTATATGTTGGCCAGGCTGGTCTCAGACTCCTGACCTCAAGTGATCCACCCACTTCGGCCTCCCAAAGTGCTGGGATTACAGGCATGAGCCACCATGCTGGGCCGAAAAGGATAGTCTTTTTAACAAACAGTTGAGATAGTCACCTGTTGCATTCGTTTCCTAGGGCTGCATAGCAAAATACCACAAACTGGTTGGCTTACAACATCATTTAGTTTCCTACAGTTCTGGAGACTGGAAGTCTAGGCAGCAGGGCCTTCTGACCTCTCTCATTGGTTTATAGATGAAATGCCTCTTCTCCCTGTGTCTTTACAAGGTCTTTTCTGTACCTTTCTATGTCCTAATCTCCTGTTCCTGTAAAGACACAGTTATATTGGATTAAGGCACATCCCTAGTGACTTCATTTTACTTTAAATTACCTCTTTAAAGATCCCATCTCCAAATATATTCATATTCTAGGGGCTTGGGGGTTAGGTCTTTAATATATAAATAGGGGGTGGAGAGCAAAACACTATAACCCACAACAGCTATACATATGCAAAAAAAAAAAAATGAAGTTAGACCCTTATCTCAAAATGAAGTTAGATCCTTATCTCATACCATGCATGAAAATCAACTCAAAGTGGATCATAATCCTAAATATAAGAGCTAAAACTGTAAAACTTCTAGAAGAAAACATAGGAGAAACTCATCACGACCTTGAGTTGGGCAGAGTTTTTAGCTATGACTCCAAAAGTGTGAGCCTTTAAAGAAAAACTGATAAAAATTGAATTTAATTTAATTGACTTATAGACTTCTGTATCTCAAAAAGTACCATTAACAAAATGGCCAGGCCAGTGGCTCATGCCTATAATTCCAGCACTTTGGAGTGCCAAGGCAGACAGATCACAAGGCAGACAGAGGTCCAGGGTTTGAGACCAGCCTGGCCAACTTGGTGAAACCTCATCTCTACTAAAAATACAAAAACTAGCCGGGCTTAGTGGCACACGCTTGTAATCCCAGCTACTTGGGAGGCTGAAGTGGGAGGATGGCTTGAATCCAGGAGGTGGAGGTTGCAGTGAGCCAAGATCGTGCCACTGCACTCCAGCCTGGGCAACAGAGTGAGACTCCATCTCAAAAAAAGAGAAAGAAATGGCAAGCCGTGGACTGGGAGAAAATATTTGTTAATCATATATCTGATAAAGGATTTGTATTGAACATACACCAAGAACTCAATAATAGTAAGACAACCCGATTTTAAAGACTTCAATAAAAATTTTACCCAAGAAGGCATAGGAATGACTAGTAAACACATGAATAGATGCTCAATATCATTAGTCATTATGGGAATGCAAAATAAAACCATAATGAGATACTTATACAGCCACTAGAGTTGCTTATAATCAACAAGACAGGACAATACCAAGTGATGGTGAGAACATAGAGTAACTGGAGCCCTTAAGATAGGAAGCTGCAAGCCGGGCGTGGTGGCTCACGGCTGTAATCCCAGTACTTTGGGAGGCTGAGGCGGGTGGATCACCTGAGGTCGGGAGTTCGAGACCAGCCTGACCAAAATGGAGAAACCCCATCTCTACTAAAAATACAAAATTAGCCAGGCGAGGTGGCGCATGCCTGTAATCCCAGCTACTCAGGAGGCTGAGGCAGGAGAATCGCTTGAACCCGGGAAGTGGAGATTGCGGTGAGCCGAGATCGTGTCATTGCACTCCATCCTGGGCAACAAGGGCAAAACTCTGTCACACACACACACACACACACACACACACACACACACACACACACAAAAGACGGGAAGCTACTTTGGAAGACAGTTTGGCAGTTTCCTCAAAAGTTAAACTTGTCATATGACCACTCTTAGGTATATACTCAAGCGAATTGAAAACTTGTGTCCACACAAAGACTTGGCTGCAAATGTTCATGGCAACATTAATTCATAATAGCCAACAACTGGAAGTGATCCACAAGTTCATCAGCTGGTGCATGGATACACAAAATGTGTAATATCCATACAATAGACATATCTTTTTATTTGGCAATAAAAGGCACTGGGAGCGTGCCACAGTGGCTTGAGCCTGCACTCCCAGGACACAGAAGGCTGAGGCAGGAGGATTGCTTGAGTCCAGGAGTTGGAGGCTGCCATGAGCCTTGATAGTGCTACTGTACTCCAGCCTGGGTGACAGAGCAAGACTCCAGCTCTAAATAAATAAATTAAGCAATGAAACACTGGTAAATGCTACAAGCTGGATGAATCTCCAAAGCATAATGCTAAGTGAAAGAAGCCAGATGTGTACAACTACATATTGTATGATTCTGTTTATATGAAATCTGCAGAAAAGGCAAATTTATGGAGGCAAAAAGCAGATCAGTGGTTTCCCAGACCTGGGGGTGGTAGAAGAAACAGAGATGACCTGTAAATTAGGTTGGGGGACATTTTTGAAGTGATGGAAAAGTTTTGAAACTAGATTGTGGTGATTGCTGCACAACTCTGTAATTTACCAAATAACATTGATATTGTGCACTTATAATGGGTAAATTTTATGGTATGTAATTTATGCCACGGTAAATCTGTTAAAAAGTATTAGTCCAGGCGCAGTGGCTCATGCCTGTAATCCCAGCAGTTTGGGAGGCTAAGGTGGGAAGACTGCTTCAGGCCAGGAGTTTGAGACCAGCCTGGGCAACATAGTGAGACCCCCATCTCTACAAAAAAAGTGTTGAACAGAAGGGGGCAGTGTGGGGACAGATGATCCCTCTCTTGGCAGGAGATATCAAAGAAGGTCAGAAAACCTCTCCTGATTGGCATCTGCTCTTTGCCAGATGGGACCTTGTCTTATCTCTCCAACCACTTTGAGGAGTAGGCTTTATTTTTATTATTTTGAGACAAGGTCTTGCTCTATCTCCCAGGCTGGATACAGTAGGGTGACCTTGGTTCACTGCAACCTCAGTCTCCTAGGCTCAAGTGATCCTCCCACCTCAGCCTCCTGAGTAGCTGGAACTACCAGCACATACCAATTTTTTTTTTTTTTTTTTTTTGGTAGAGATGAGGTTTCACCATGTTGTCCAGGCTGGTCTCGAATTCCTAGGCAGGAGTAAGTTTTATTATTCCCATTGTGTAGATGAGGAGGTGGAGGCCCAACAAAGTTACTTACAATAAGATTTTAGGTTTGAGTGTTAGAGAGTTGGACTCAAGCCTTTTACACCTCCACACTCACATACCACTTATGGCCTCTAAGAAAGTAAAAATGCAAGGCCGGGCATGGTGGCTCATGCCTGTAATTCCAGCATTTTGGGAGGCCAAAGCAGGCAGATCACGAGGTCAGGAGTTTGAGACCAGCCTGACCAATGTGGTGAAACCCCATCTCTACTAAAAATATAAAAATTATCCAGGTGTGGTGGTCGGCACCTGTAATCCCAGCTACTCAGGAGGCTGAGGCAGGAGAATTGCTTGAACCCAGAAGGCAGAGGTTGCAGTGAGCCAAGATCATGCCATTACACTCCAGCCTGGGTGACACAGTGAGACTCAGTCTCAAAAAAAAAAAAAAAAGAAAAAGTAAAAATGCAAAAGGCCAAGATATTCAAATGTGTGTTTCTTAGAGCCAGATAAACCCAGACTCTTCTGTCTTCTAAGTACCTGATGACAAAGGAAGGGCCAGGGCTAAGGGGCAGCCATCAGCGCTGCTGTTGCCTCCCAGCCCTCAGAAGAAGGTTCAGCTCTTCCTTGTCACTTTCCAAACCTCTAGAGCCTGAAATTCCAATTCTGGAGATGATCTTCTTTTGTCCAGGCCCTGCTGGCAAGGACTATAGGGTCACCTTGCCTAGCCGGGAAGTTCCAGTTCATAACTTCCCCAGAATCTGTTGTCCCTCAGCCCAAATCAGCCTATTCTGCTTCTTGCCCAGCCCACCTGACTTCTCTCCAGAGTCAGACTTTCCTTGCACCCAGGGCTTCACCAACTCCTGGACTTTTGGTTTTGAAAAGGAAATTTAAAATCCGAGAGTAATACAGGATAGCAGCAGCCTGATGCTTGAAATGGTACAGAGATAATGAATTCACTTGGACTAACCACAGGGAGGGAACTGCTTATGTTAAATGAGCCACGGGGAAGTTACTACCCCCTGCTATTAATGAAACATAATAAATAGAGTGGATATTTGGAGTTTTTTGGCCAGATTTCCTGGGCTCAGCTTCAAGGGAACTGATGAAATGATCCCTTTCTTTTATAGACTACATAGGCTGTTACATGACATTTGGGTATCTGTTACTGACATTGTTGTGAACCAACTGAAGCCAATTTGATCTATCATAACTAGCTTTATTTTAGTAGAAAATGAAGGTCTCTAATAGAGATAGATGAGAGCTATAGATGATACCCCAAATTTAGCTACCAAGTTTATATTACAATGGAAGAAACTTTCTGCTCTACCAGACCTATTGTAAAGTTACAGTAGTTAACATAGTGCAGTATTAGCACACGGATAGACAGACTCTTGAAACAAATAGAAAACCCAGAAACAGATCCATGTGTATTTGGATGGGCACTGTGATACTGACAAAGGCAGCCTTGCAGATCATTCCTCAATAAATGGGTATCCACATGGGAAAAAAACAAAAAAGATAACTTATCCCTGCCTCACACCACACATGAAATCATTTCCAAGAAAATTAAAGACATAAATGTAAGAGGCAATATTACAAAATGTTTTAGGAGATAACATTAGGAAAATATATTTATAATCTCTAGGTATAGGATTTCTAAAGATACAAAAAGGATACCAAGCACAAAAAGATTGGTTTATTTGAATACATTAAATTTAAGAACTTCTGTTCATCAAAAGACACAATGAAAATATGACTTAGCTGAATCCTGTCACACATACAAGTATTTATTATCAAGCCACCTCATAAATAGCCACTCAAGTTTTTCTGGAAGCTCCTTGAAATCCCAGTTGTCTGTCTGACATCTCTTTGCATGAATGATTCCTCAAGGCAGATGCAACCACATTCTAGAGGCAGGATCAGCTCATCCTAACCGTGGTCTGACAGTAAAATCCTCAAGAAGAGGCTGAACCCTAAATCCTAGACCCAGGGCCCCGTTCTGAAGGGTGTACGGTACTGGGCTCACCAGGTTCTGTTTGTGCAAGGGCCAGAGTGTCTGAGAATATTTCTAGGAACATTTCACCAGTAGAAAACAAAAATTCTAACAACAGTTAAGCTAATGAATAAAGGCTGTGGCATTGATCCACAATGAAGACAGCTAAAGCCCTGAAGCAGCCTTTTCTGAAGTGTGGACTTCTGATTAGAGTCTTTCACTTGCACCAGTGTTCATTCTCAATGAGGGGACTTCAGGTAGTAACTAAGCATCATACGGTGTAGCTTAAATGGAACACACATGCAAACATACACACTTGTGAGTGTGTGTGCCCATGCTGTAGTATTTTAAACTATGGGCAACATAACAGTAGTATTTACCAGGCTCCAGTCACTTGAGACTTCCCTTCTGGAATTCTGTCATACACCACCCACCTATATTATTATTCATATTTTTCTTCAACTCACTTTTTGAACTTCTTCAGATTATGAGACTGGCTTGCTGCCTACTGTGCTGAGGGCTTCCTGACTTTTTGAACTTCTGAAAACAATATGTCTTCGAGAAAACTTTATATCACAACCATAACATAAAACTGGTATCAGCTCACGCCTGTAATCCCAACACTTTGGAAGGCCGAGGCAGGTGGATCGCTTGAGCCCAGCAGTTTGAGACCGGCCTGGGCAACGTGGTGAAACCCTGTTTCTACTAAAAAGACAAAAATTAGCCAGGCGTGGTGGTGCACGCCTGTAACCCCAGCTACTCAGGAGGCTGAGGTGGGAGGATCTCGAGCCCAGGAGGTGGAGACTGCAGTGAGCTGAGATCCCACCCCGTGCTACAGCCTGGGCCACAGAGCCAGACCCTGTCTCAAAAACAAGCAAACAAACAAAACAAAACAAATGGGTATCATGTGCCTGCCATAAAAATAAAAACAATAAAACAACAACAACAACAGAAAACGTTTTTAAATCTGGCTAACTGCTGTTACCTGCCTACCGGAGGCTCTGCAGAGCCCGTCCTGCTCTCAGGAAGCAAGTTAGACAAGTGTTACTTCTCTGGGGCATTCTTTTTTAAATTAAAGAGGGTTGAAAGAGAATTGAGAAAACATGAACCTTCTCCCTAGCCAAGATATTGTCATTTAACATAATCATCTGGCTGCCTCTGAAATCGCCTTTGGAAACACTATATTCTTGTACCTGGGACAGTATAGAGAGCCAACAGGGTTATCCAGTGTCCATCAAGCAGCTAATATATGATGGAAACCATACAACCACTTCCTCACTTATTCTATAGCACAGCCCTCCAAGATGGGTGTTCTTTATTTCCGCTTTACAGATGAGTAGACTGAGGCTCAGAGAGGCAGTGAGACTTGGCCAGAATCTCACAGCCAGGAAGTGACGAGGCCAGAGTCAGGAGCTGGTTCTCTCTGACCTTTATTGTTACCCTCTGCAAGCAGGACTTGCTCTCCTCTCTCGTGCCTGCATCAGCCACATCTGTCCAAAGCGCCAGGATCCGTTCCAGAACAGGACTGAGTTTGCTGGAGCTGTGGTTCTTTGTCACTACTGACAGGACTTAGGACTATCCTGGAGTCTTTCAGAAGCAGAATGGTTTCTCCAGCCCCGGGTCATTTTTTACTGGTAGCCAAGTCCATCCCAAATGAAATGGGCCAACATCAAAGCATTCAGCCCTGCCTTTTATTAGTAACTTGACTTCTTTTATGGTTTAGGGGTTTGGTTTGGCTTTTACTTCCTAGGCATAGCTCAAAACCAGAAGAGAACTTGGCATCATCAGGAGGTTTCCATGGGCCTCGTTGTCCCTTCCCCTTCTGGTCCATTTGGGGCCTCTGCCCATCCTGGGAGGCCCCCTCCAGGCAGAGACAGTGACCACCTCCAGGGGCCATTCCCCACACCCACCCAAGTCTCCTCTAGCAGAGACACATGGCCAGCTCCGGGCTGTTGCCTCGTGTTATTTAGGGTCTCCCCAGCACTGTCTAGGCACGTAGGGAAGGTGAAGGAGGAACAGCTGCCACCCTGCCGCCTTTTGTGGATTTAAGGTAGAGGTTTGCAGTCAGCCTTTCCTGGACTCTCTAGACCAAGCCACCTCAACAGAGCCTCCATTTCCCCATCTCTTAAATGGGCCAGCCTTCCCAGGGTTACATAAAGTGACACAGATGAACACGTTTCAGGAGCCTCCCAGTGCTAAGCCAAGGTCGAGGAGTGCTGTTATTGTAGTCTTGGGGGGAAGCCACAAGATATTTGCACACAAAGCAGCCAGGACACACCACAGTCCAGCATATAATCAGCTCCTTCATTATGTGGCTCCAACTGCAAGGGCTGCAGGATTTCAGAGGAAAAAGAGGCCCATGGGGAGGGGGGAGCAGACAGCAGCTCATCCAGGCCAGGAGAATGACCACTCACTGCTTGGAACCAGAAAAAGAAGGGGGACCAGAAACAGGAGGTGAGGGAGGGAAGGGCCTGCTCCTGTCTCTGGGACTCCCTGATTCAACTCTGGAAACAGTCCTTAAGGATTTGCTGCAGAGCAGGAGCTACTTAAAGGCTAATTTTAAAAATCGGTGAGCCCTTTAGTCACCCCTCAGAAGGGTGGAAGGGTGGACAGTGACCAGGGAAGGTGCCCTACTAGACCATCCACGTCCCTCATGATGTGTTTATCCATTTTGAGTCTGGAGCAGATTGCAGCTCGGGGACTTAAAGTTAGAGCCTGATTCAAAGTAATGTAGGGTTGGCAACCCAAGTGTCCATCGACAGGTGAATGATAAGCAAAATGCGGTGTATCCAGACAATGGAATATTACTCAGCCTTTAAAAGGAAGGAAGTGTTTACGCCTGCTGCAAGCATGAACCTTGAATGGATGAGCATGCTAAATGACATCAGCCAGACTCAAAAAGACAAACACTGTATGATTCCACTTATATGAGCTACCTGGAATCATCAATCCCTAGAGACAGAAGTAGAATGGTGGTTGCTGGGGGAGGGTGGAAGGGTAGTTGTTGTTTAATGGGTACAGAGTTTCAGTTTTGCAAGATGAATAGAGTTCTGTGGATGGATGGCGGTGCTGGTAGCACAGCAGTGTGAATGCATTAAATACTTAATGCACCGTACGGTACACTTGAAAATGGGTAAGATGGTAAGCTTTTTACTGTGTGTATTTTACCACAATTTAATTTTTTTAATGGGAGAAATAATTGTGTAGGGTCAACATATCCCCAAAGCCCTGTAAAAGGTGCCACACTGGAGGCCTCCATTCATCTCTCCGTTGGTCCACGAGAGCCCAGTACTGCTGCAGCGTCGGCACATCACTTTGGGAGTTGGGTGGTGAGCTATTAAGGGCTGGTTATATAGAAAATGCAAGACACAGGCCGGGCGCAGTGGCTCACGCCTGTAATCCCAGCACTTTGGGAGCCGAGGTGGGTGGATCACGAGGTCAGGAGATCGAGACTATCCTGGCCAACATGGTGAAACCCCATCTCTACTAAAATATAAAAAATTAGCCGGGTGGGGTGGCGTGCGCCTGTAATCCCAGCTACTAGGGAGGCTGAGGCTGGGGAATCACTTGAACCCGGGAGGCAGAGGTTGCAGTGTGCTAAGATAGCACCACAGCACTCCAGCCTGGTGACAGAGCAAGACTCTGTCTCAAAAAAAAAAAAAGAAAGAAAGAAAGGAAATGCAAGACACATCTCTTCTATCCCCAGACCCCAGAGACTCAGGCTCAGCATGGTGAGAAGGCTCATGAGAGGCACCAGGGAACTGAGGCCCTCTAGGAGAGAACAGAGTCCAGCCTCATGCAGAGCACGCACTGCTTGGGCAGCTTGGCTGGCAGAATCACCTGTGCAATTCATGCATATGCACACGTGTTCTCTGCACAGGTGTGTGCAACAAAATGTATGCGTGAACCACCTGAACCACCCTCAGATCTGCATCCTCATTACCCTGGTCCAGGGCCCGGGCCAAAGGAGGCTTAAGTAAATATTTGTTAAACTGAGCTGTTTATTCATGATGGCCATGTCTGAGTTTCGGATCCTTCAACGAGCAGAGTGTACCCTGCACTTCTGTTGTATTTGGCACAGAAACTAGTGCAGTGCTGAGCACAAAGAAAATTTTTGCTCATTGAATCATTGAATGAATACCTGTTAGTAGATAAACCAGCTTTGTGGAGGTTAGTAAATAAACCAGCATTGTGGAGGGCTACACAGCCAGTGAGTCACTGGGGCAGATTAATGTGGAATTTGGCCAGTGGAAGATCTGTTTCAACCCCTCATCAACTTGGAGACTTTGAACCTCTATCCAAATCATAAAACAGTCCCTTCACTTTAATGCTTCAGATTCGTGAGTTAAGACATATATGTGAGCATGTTGGAAATAACCTAAAGATTCACCAGTAGACGAGTTGAATAAAGTATGACACAGCTGTACAAAATCCAGTATCCAGTATAGATGATGTTATAGAAGAATAATGAAATGAGCCAGGTGCAGTGGCTCAAACACCTGTAATCCCAGCACTTTGGGAGGCTGAAGTGGGTGGATCACTTGAGGCCGGGAGTTCGAGACCAGCCTGGCCAACATGCCGAAACCCTGTCTCTACTAAAAATACAAAAAAAAAAAAAATTAGCCAGGCATGGTAGCACATGCCTATAATCCCAGCTACTCAGGAGACTAGGGCACAAAAATCGCTTGAACCCAGGAGGCAGAGGTTGTGGTGAGCCGAGGCTGCACCACTGCACTCCAGCCTGAGTGACAGAGCAAGATCCTGTCTCAACATAAATAAATAAGAATAATGAAATGGCATGAAGTTGACAATTTATAGCTAAGTGAAAGCATAGGTTTACTAAATAGCATGTACAGTATGGTCTGATTTTGCCTAAATATGGACATATTACTTGAACAAATATGCCTATAATATATGCGTGTATATCATACATTGTGTGTGTGTGTGTGTGTGTGTGTTGTTCTCCAAACCAGCAGCATCACCAGGAAACTTTTTTAGAAATGCACATCCTCAGCCCCCTCCGCAGAACTACTGGATCAGAAACTCGGGTGGGGCTCCACGATCTGTGTTTTAATAAGCCCTCCAAGTGATTCTGGTGCCTTCCCGAGTCTGAGAGCCACTGGTGGTATATGGCATTCCTAACACCCGTCTCCTTCCTTTGCTTTTTGGGTTTGCTTTTGTGTTTGTATGTGTGTGTGTTTGAGACAGTCTCGCTCTGTCACCCAGTCTGGAGTGCAGTGGCGCGATCTCAGCTCACTGCAACCTCCGCCTCCCAGGTTCAAACAATTATCTTGCCTCAGCCTCCCGAGTAGCTGGGATTATAGGCGCGTGCCACCATGCTCAGCCCCCTCTCCTCCTTTGCACTCACCTGCGTCTCTCTTCTCCAGGCCCTCATCCAGCTGCCCCCCTACATCTCTCAGTGTGATGAGGTGCTGCAGTTCTTTGAGACAAGACCTGAGGACCTGAATCCCCCCAAAGAGTAAGTTTGTTTGTGGGCTTCCCCAGATGGAGCCCCACAGCCCTCCCTCCTGCCAGTCCAGCCACCCCCAAGTAAAGCAAAGTGCAGCCAAAAGTGGGTTTCGTCGGCTGAGCCCCTGTGAGACCGCACTTCACTTAGCCTTCAGAGTTGCTGTAAGTGGGTAGCGATCGTCCGTTTGACAGGTGAAGGAAACTGGCTGAGTGCCACTCCTGTCATCCCATCATACTCTCCACCTGCCCACAGCACTTATCGAGGTGTGTCGGAACTGAGCAGGCTGAGCCCGTGAGGCAGGGGCTGAGCCGTAGATTCATCTAGCTTCTGTCCACAGAGGTGGAGGTGGGTGTGCTCGGGAACTGCCAGGGATGTGAATGCGGGAGCAACCCAAACCAACGAAGACCCCACTGCCGGTGAGCAACGGGGCCGGGATTTCATCCTGACCAGCCAGGCTCCGAAGCTCTCCAAAATGCCCACCACAGCCCTGCCTCCCTGTCACTTCTCCCTGCAGTGGACAGGCCACTTGCCCAGACGCCTGTCGCTACACAGCCAGCAGCCCCAGCCACACAGTGCACACCACATAAAACTCTAGCACCGCCTGCTTACCCGCACTTACGCACCAACACTCTGGCCGGCCCGGGTGCTTTGGGGAAAGCAGGAAGGGATCTGGCTAACGGAGAAATAGCAGTGGGGAAAAGAGATCAGCCCAAGGTGCTGGGAGTGTCCTGGGGTCACAGGAGCAAGAGCGGGCAGAGTTTGGGGTCCGTCTGGGCTCATTCGAGAAGGGCTGAAAAGTACCAGCCAGGCTCTGTTCCAGAAGTAGATGCTGCTGCTCTTGGCGCTGCGTTCGCTGGATGCCCCAGGCAGCAGCCGTAACCAAGGCTGAGTTTGCTGAGCAGCCAGCGTGGCGGGCAGTGTGCCAAGCACTGTATGTGTATCAAGAGAGAAAGACACATGCTCCCTTTTGGAAATGATCTGCTGGAATCACAAAAATTTTTTAAATAGACTTGTGAGGAGAAAGCATGAAAGTGTTTTAACAAGTGAAGTCAGGCCATTTATATTTATACACACACACAGCGACCTCCAAAATCGAGTTCACAGACTTCCGAGTACACCACTCAGGACTGATGGTTTGCTAGCACACAGATGAGTAGACCTAAGTTTCTGCAATAAATATATCCCAATATGCACCATTTCCTGTGACGAGCACGGAGCGAGTAAACACAGCTTCTCATAGTGAGCGCACAGAAGTGCGTGGTTTTGGAGTGAAGGGAGACTGTAAGAGGCAACAGTAAACCTTTGAATCGGATGTCACAAGGGAATGCCTTACCAACACGGGAGCCAAGACACAGTTTCATAAATTTGAAAATAATCATAAAGATACAGAATAATATAAATCTGATAATTTGGGGTGTTTCGCTCGTGCTGGCTAATGTTTTTGTTCTTAGTGTCTTTGGCGTTGGTGTCTGGTAAGCATTTCCCAATTTGTGTCGCCATCATGAAATATGGGGAAATAGTCTCAAAGCACCTTTGTCTCCAGTCCTCCTGGGCTTACAGGATTGAACTGCCATTCAGGCTCATAGCCTCTGGCTTCACTTATAATTTCTACACAAGGTAAATCAAAGGATACAGAGCTTATTGTGTTCCCTTTCCACTTCATTTTCTCACGAAACTGCCCAATAAAAACTGTCATTCCCTCACGCCTGTAATCCCAGCACTTTAGGAGGCCGAGGCGGAAGGATTGCTTGAGCACAGGAGTTCAAGACCAGCCTGAGCAACATAGTCAGATCCTGTCTCTACTAAAAATAAAAAAAAAATTAGCCGGGCATAGTGGTACGTGCCTGTAGTCCCAGATACTCAGGAAGCTGAGATGGGAGAATTGCTCGGGCCAAGGAGGTTGAGGCTGCAGTGAGCAGTGATCGCCGCCACTGCACTCCAGCCTGGGTGACAGAGGGAGCCTCTGTCTCAAAAACAAAAACAAAAAAACCTGTCATTCCTCTCTTACAGATGAGGAAGCTGAGGTTCAGAATAATAAAAGGGACTTTTAACAAAATGATAATGAAAGAGAGGCACAGTTTGGAAGAGGTGAAGGTGAATTTTCCCCAGGTCAGCCTGAGTCTGAACCTAAGCTCAGTCCCACACAAGAGGCTCACTTGATAGAAAAGAGCCTGAGTTTGGAATCTAGTACACCCAGGTTCGAATCCTGCCTCTGCCACTCCTGGGCTTTGTGGCCATGGGCCTCCCTCACTTTGCTTCTGGGCTTCCACTTGCTCTATTGTGAAATGGGAGTAGCTGTACTTTGTAGGGTAATGTTGAGGACTGAGTGACTGCCACAGGGAAAAATTCTAAGACTTTGCCAGCTGCTCAGGAAGTGGCGGCTCATGGTAGTGCCCCTCTTGGAATGACCAGACATTGTTGTCTTTATTCCAGCGCTGTCTCTTAAGAGTTGATCAAGATGCCCAGCCTGATATACCCTCAGCAGGGAAAATTGCCTGACTACTGTCTTAGTCTGTTCCACCTGCTATGACAAAAATATCACAGACTGGGTGGCTTAAACAAAAATGTATTTCTCACTTTCTGGAGGCTGGAAATCCAAGATCAAGGTGCCAGCTATTTCAGTGCCTGGTGAAGGCCACTTCCTGGTTTGCAGATGTGTCCCCACATGGGAGAGAGAGAGAGAGAGAAAGCCAGCTCTCTTATGTCTCTTCTTTTTTTTTTTTTTTTTTTTAATTTTTTGTAGAGACAGGGTCTGGCTATGTTGTCCAGGCTGGTCTGAAACTCCTGGGCTCAAGCGATCCTCTTACCTTTGTGTCTTCTCATAAAGGCGCTAATCCTATCCGGGGGGCTCCACGTTTATGACCTAATTACCCCTAAAGCCTCCATCTCCAAGCACCATCACACTGGGGTTAGTGTTTCAATATATGAATTCAGTTTATAGAAGCCACTTTCCTTTTTTTTTTTTTTTTTTTTTTGAGACAGAGTCTTGCTCTATCACCCAGGTTGGAGTGCAGTGGCGCGATCTTGGCTCACTGCAAGCTCCGCCTCCCAGGTTCACACCATTCTCCTGCCTCAGCCTCCCAAGTAGCTGGGACTACAGGCGCCCGCCACCATGCCCGGCTAATTTTTTGTATTTTTAGTAGAGACGGGGTTTCACCGTGTTAGCCAGGATGGTCTCGATCTCCTGGCCTCGTGATCCACCTGTCTTGGCCTCCCAAAGTGCTGGGATTACAGGCATGAGCCACCATGCCCGGCCTATAGGAGCCACTTTCAAGCTGGGTAAGATTGGGCAGGTTTTTCTGCCCCTTGCCTCAGTCTCCTCTTATGTAAGATGGGCCTGATGACACCTCCCTCACAGAATTGCTTGGGGAATCAAATGAGAAGATGTGGAGAAAATCACTTGGAACTGCTCTACAGACCATATTGCCCAAGGGCAGAGGAAGGAGCAGACAGCAGCCACGAGGGTAGTATTGGCATTGGTGTGCATTCCTTGGGCCCCTGGATTCAATGATAGCCAGATTTTCTTCTACTTTAACTTTGGGGAGCATCTTGGACCACTTAGAGAATCCAAGTTTAACTTTGGGGAGCATCATGGACCACTTAGAGATTCCAACAAAAGCTTTCTTCCCTCTTCCTGGAAGAGCACCTGCAGTTTCAGGAGGTCCTTATTTGTGCAGAATCCTGTACATGGACCTGAGGTGAAGAAGCCCCGCGCTGGCGGCCCTTCCCAGTGTTAGTGCTGGGATGCCTCTGCCCTCTCCCTGGCAAGGGTGGTTGCAGTGGCCCCAGCCTCTGAGCAAGCATCAGACCAACTTAGACACACAGAGGGGAGAGGGCCAGGCCAGGGGCAGCTGCTGTGCTTGGGAGGAGTCTGGTCATCTTCATTCAAGAAGGAAGGACACTCGGGGACAAAGGGTGTGAGCCAGCCCTCGAGAGGAGGTGGGAAGTCCCGGAGGCTGCATGGTGGCTTTGTGGTACTCTCTGGCTTCCTCTCTTTGGTGGCAGAGGCAGCCTCACTAGCTTGCTGGCTTGGGCTTGTAGAAATAGCGCAGGACAGGAGCTCTCAGCCCATGCTGCATCCAGCCAAGGGCACTGGCATTGTTCATTCATCAGCCAGATAGGGAGGGCCTGCTGACTTTCACAGTGGTGGGAAAAGCTGTGTGAACATGTGGGTACACAGGCACCCATGCATACACAAATAGAACATCCACTGAAAATACAAAACACAGCCCAGACTGTACCAAAGAAAGCACCAAGTAACAGCTGAGATAAGCTAGCATGCTTATCTCATATCTTATATACGTCCATCATGCTGGAGTATATGTATCTGGTTCTGAGAGCCTTCCTGAAAAGAAAGGGAAGGTTCAAATCTCTTTGTCCCTTCCCAGCTGTGTGACCTTGGACAAATGACTTGACTTCTCTGAGCTTATTTTCTCATCAGTAAAGCGGGCGTCACTACCCTGGCTCACAGCTTGGTTGTGAGGACTAAGCAAGACCCTGCCCATAAAGGATGGTGTCTGGCACAGGGCAGGTGCTTACCTAGTGATGCCTTCCTGTCTTTAAGCCAGGATTTGAAAAGGAAGGAAGGTGGTTGCCAAGGGCCCAAGGGATGGTTCTGGGGCCACAGCAGGCAGTCTCAGCTGGGTCCTGGTTGTTGGTTTAGGGATGGTGAACTTGAGGGTTATACCCATTGGGGTTGGTCTGTTGGTCAGGATCCTGAAGGTCAACCCATGTTAGGGCTTGACATGGACTTTGGGCGTCTTTCCTAGCCAGCTGGTGCTATTGGAGGAGGGTTTTGGCCGCCATGAGTAGGAAAACTTGGGAACACCCCAAGCATGTCACACCAAGAAGATGACCCACCTGCTTGAGCAAACGCATGCTGTGGCTGCCTGAACCCAAGAGTCCCCTGCCGCCCCCACTCCTCTGCTCTGGCTGGGACAGTGGAAGCAGGGGTGCATGGCTCAGCAGGAGCCCGGGTCTTAAGCCCAGACCACGGCTCAGGTCGCAGGCCTGGATGGCAACTCTGGCAGCTGGTGCTTTCTGTAGAAGCAGCCTGGTGGAACCTTCGTTAGTGTGTCTTGATGCAGCAGCCAAGAGGGGAGCTTCAGTCACTGGATGGTCCAGGTGGTGGTCAGGAGAGTGGGCTCCAGCCAGACTTCCTGGGTTCCAGTCCTGGGCCTGGTACCTCACCTCTCTGGGCGTCAGTATCTTCATCTGCAAAATGGAGTAACCCTCAAAGGGATGTATGCGGACGCAGTGAGGCAGTCCAAGTGTAGCTTTCTGACCAGGACCCAGTGAGTGCCAGTGAAGGTGAGCTAGGACATTCCACTCTGACCCTCACCCTTCTCTGCATGGGCGCTGTGAA
Organism: Homo sapiens; assembly: GCF_000001405.40. Classification (NCBI taxonomy): domain Eukaryota; kingdom Metazoa; phylum Chordata; class Mammalia; order Primates; family Hominidae; genus Homo; species Homo sapiens. The sequence goes on along the minus strand of NC_000005.10, from coordinate 172,376,679 downwards.
GGTCAACCTCAGTGATGTTATCCCTGGAGGGAGGACATCACCACCAGCCCAGCCCGACCTGGCCAGACTCTGCTGCGCCTCCCAGACATACAGGAGGACTGTAGCCCCTGCTCTTGGGCTTGGCTCCCTCACTGCTCTCTCCCAGGTTGCTCTGAAGCATTATTACATGGTGGTTAAAAACCCAGACACATTGAGTAGACATTTCTCCAAAGAAAATGCACAAATAGCCAGTAAGCATATGAGAAGATCCTGGCATCATTATCCATCAGGAAATGCAAATCCAAGCTACAGTGAAATATCATTAGATCCAATTCACACCCACTAGAATGGCTGTAATCAAGAAGATAGATAGGCCAGGCATGGTGGCTCATACGTGTAATCCCAGCAGTTTGAGAGGCCAAAGCGGGCAAATCACCTGAGGTCAGGACTTCAAGACCAGCCTGGCCAACATAGCAAAACCCCGTCTCTACTAAAAATACAAAAAGAGCCAGGCGTGGTGGTGGGCGTCTATAATCCCAGCTACATGGGAGGCTGAGGCAGGAGAATCGTTTGAACCTGGGAGGCAGAGGTTGCAGTGAGCCAAGATCACACCACTGCACTCCAGCCTGCGCAACAGAGTGAGACTCCACCTCAAAAAAAAAAAAAAAAAGAAGATACATGACAAGTATTGTCAAGGATATGAAGAGGTTGGAACCTTCATACGTTGCTGGTGGGAATATAAAATGGTGCAGTCACTGTGGACATCTGTGTGGCACTTCCTCAAGAAGTTAAACCTGGAGTTACCATATGACCTAGCAATTCCCCTCTTAGGTATATAACCAAGAGAAATAAAAATACATGTCCATACAAAAACTTGTACACAGATGTTCACAGAAACATTATTCAAAATAGCCAAAGAGTGGAAACAACCCAAATGTCAAGCAACTTAGTGAGGAGTAAACAAATTGTGGTTTATCCAGACAATGGAGTATTACTTAGCAACAAAAAGGAATGAAGTGCTGATACATACCATAACACAGATGAACCTCAAAGACATTATGCCAAATGAAAGAAGCCAGACACAAAAGGCCACACATTATATGATTCTATTTATATGAAACATCCAGAATAGGCAAATCGTTAGAGACAGCAAGCAGGATTTGTGGTTGCCAAGGCCTGGAGGAGGGGGAATGGGAAGTGACTAATAACAGGTATAGGGCTTCTTTTTGGAGTGATGAAAGTGGTCTGGTGATGGTTGGACAACCTTGTGAATATACTAAAAACCAGTAAATTGTATACCTTAAAAGGATGGGTTTTGTTTGTTTGTTTTGTTTTGTTTTTGAGACAGAGTCTCGGTCTGTCTCCCAGGCTGGAGTGCAGTGGCATGATCTCGGCTCACTGCAGCCTCCACCTCCCAGGTTCAAGCGATTCTCCTGCCTCAGCCTCCTGAGTAGCTGGGATTACAGGTGCCCACCACCACACCTGGCTCATTTTTGTATTTTTAGTAGAGATGAGGTTTTGCCATGTTGGCCAGGCTGGTCTCCAACTCCTGACCTCAGGTGATCTGCCTGCCCCAGGCCTCCCAAAGTGCTGGGATTACAGGCGTGAACCACCGCTCCTGGCCTAAAGGATGAGTTTTATGGTTTGTCAATTATATCTCAGTTTTTTAAAAGTTAGTTCGATCTGGGTTCCAATTCTAGCTGTGCTACTTGCTAGCTGTGTGACCTTGAGCAAATTACTTAGCCTCTCTGTTCCTCGTCTGTAAAATGGGAATAAGAATAATACTTATTTCCTGGGATCGTTGTGAGTATTGAATGAGTGAACTACAAATGCCTAGCAGGGTGCCGGCACTGGGTCTAGCACCATTTAATAATATTAGCTAATGCTACTGTTGCCACAATGTCCATCCCAACCCAACCACTGCAAACTTCATTACTCATGAGATAACTTAAAGTGCTTTGTAAGCCCTAATTTGTAATGCTGCATTTGTGATACAGTTGCTTTCCCCACTCCCCCCACCAAGATGGAGTCTTGCTCTGTCACCCAGGCTAGAGTGCAGTGGCACGATCTCGGCTCACTGCACCTCCACCTCCCAGGTTCAATTGATTCTCCTGTCTCAGCTTCCCGAGTAGCTGGGACCACAGGCATGTGCCATCATGCCCAGCTAATTTTTGTATTTTTAGTAGAGATGGGATTTCACCATGTTGGCCAGGCTGGTCTCAAACTCCTGACCTCAGGTGATCCACCCGCCTCAGCCTCCCAAAGTGCTGGGATTACAGGCGTGAAGCACCATGCCTGGCCGATACAGTTGCATTTATAAACTCTGACACGGGTGACGACGGTAAGGGACTCACTATTCATTATTCCCTGTGAATTCTAGCCCATAGTAGTGTCCCCTCTCACCACTTGGGAGGTGCACTGTGTTCACTGCTGTCCAAACTTCTGCCCAGTTTTAATGTGTTCCCTGTACACTTACTGCCAAGCACTTTCTGCCCCATGTCTATGGCTTAGGGGACCCCAAGAAATGGGGCAGGGACCTCTGCTGTGCCTGATGAGGTAGGCATCAGGCTCAGTGCAGTGTGAGGACCTAACTCCTATTTTCAAACTGCAATCCCCTTCGGCTCCTCCCCAGGGCTTCCAGTCTACAAATAAATGGAGACACTGGTCCCCAGGGCACCAGAGCACTTATCAGGCAAAGGGGGAAAATTAAGAGAAGTTCTTTCTCTTTGAAGAAGTCAGGGTTCCTCTAGTTGGCCTGGATTTTATTCATTCACTGATGATGTTGTGGGGGGTGGAGAATCTCAGTTTCCCGGCAGAATAACTCACGTCAATACATGGCAAGTACTGACTCGTTACTCTTCCCACCCCCTTTCTTTCCTGTACAGGGAGCACATTGGGAAAAAGAAATCTGGTAAGAATATTTTCTATTTTCTTCTCTTCGTTCAGTTTTCGGCAAACTCCAGCCGAGCACCAACTGTGCACCAGGCTCTGGGTTCCATGCTGAGGATACAGTGATGTGGATGGGTGGATGGTTGGCAGGAGGGAGGGAAGGGAAGGAGGGGTGGCTGAACTGGTGGAGGGATGGATGGATGGATGGATGGATGGATGGATGGATGGATGCTTGATTGATTGGTTGATACCCCATCCCATTTCCCAAAAATAGTATTTGAGGTTGTTTCATCCAATATACCAAAAAACTGCCAAGTGGTTGAGACTTGGAGTCTTTCTCAGAGAATGCCTTCATGGAGAAGGGGAGGCAGACTTCTTCCTAGCCATGCTATCGGGAGTTAAATGCCTTTGTTCCACTTTATACAGAGCAATATGGTAGCTGAGAGCTAAGAGCATTCTTCTCAGGTGTGATAAGGGATCGGAAAGGAGGGACCCTGGGTCTTGATGAAGGATCAGAAGGTTTCCATAGAATGAGGGGCATCCCGGGCTGAGGGGATCGCCAGGCACAGGCTGGGAAGCAGGAATGTGCGGTAGATTTGGGCCATGTCCATTTGACATCCTTGGCGCCAGACCCCAGCCCTTTTTGGGCAATGACAGATGCAGCGTCAAGCGACTCCCGTCCCTATTGCCATTCTCCCTAAAATACATTATATTCCCTCCTAATAAGCTTTCCATTTCCTGGATGACACAACTCTTCTCTCAGAAGCAATTATGGAGAAAGAGAAGGTGGGAAATTGCGTATGCACAGAGGAATAATTGAGCTCTCCCCTGGGGTTTATACATTTATATAAACAGTGGCCCAACTTTTTCTTCCTGCCACCCAAGATCATCCTCCACATCTGCAAAGGCCCCGGCCCATACCTTACCTGGAGCCAATGTGGACTTCGGAACTTCCAGAATCCAGCGCTCTTTAATTTCCTAGGGTGCCAGGAGGTTTGAAGGGGTTGATGAGGATCAGGGGTGCGAACAGAGATCCTAGAAGTGAAAAAGGATACCCCCTCTCATGGGCCTCAGTTTCCTTATCTGTAAACTGGGGTTGATATAGCAATCTGCCTTGTGGGATTATTATAGGATTTATAATCATATTTGTAAGGCACCTAGAATAGTGCCTGGCACATTGTCAGTAATGTATGCTTGATGCCGTTTTTATTACTACTACTGTTACTTAAAATACATGGGTGCCCCTGACCAGCAGTAGTATATTAGTTCATTCTCACACTTCTGTAAAGAAATACCTGTGACTGGATAATTTATAAAGAAAAGAGGTTTCATTGGCTCATCGTTCTGCAGGCTGTACGGGAAGCACAGTGGCTTCTGCTCAGCTTCTGGGGAGGCCTCCGGGAGCTTTCCATCATGATGGAAGGCAAAGGTGGAGCAAGCAGTTTTTATATGGCAGGAGCAGGACCAAGAGAGAGAGGGGCAGTGCTACACACTTTTAAACAACCAGATCTCCTGAGAACTCCATCTCGAGACAGCACCAAAGGGATGGAGCTGAACCATTCATGAAGGACCCACCCCCATGATCCAATCACCTCCCACCAGCCCCCACCTCCAACATTGGGGATTACAGTTCGACATGAGATTTGGGTGGGGACGCAGATCCAAACCATATCAAGTAGAAATTCCAAATTCAAAAGCTCCAGTACCTTTGCTGCCCCTGGGTACGGGCCCTGTGGTCAACTTCACAGGCCCCACAGTCATTCTCTCTGCCTCAGGGAATGGCGTCGAGAATTAACTTCAGCCTTTTCCCAACCAGTCCATTTATAGCTCCTCTTTCTAGTTTAATAGGTACTGGCCAGAGCCATGGCATCCTGCTAAAGCTGCAAATAGTTCCCGAGCCCCGGGGATAATTATATGTTTCTCAGAAAAGAGCAGAGAGAAGAGGAGCTGCCACTCTTGGGCTGGCAGAGTTTCTGGTTTCGAGTATGCAGAGACTTTCCCTAGAAGGAATGGGTGTGGGAGGGTAGAGAAGAGAGGAAAGAGACAGCTCTGGTTTGTGACAAACACAAATGTCCAGTCGGAACGGGCTTGATGAGGGGATTTGTCTGGAAAAGGGAGAAAAAGCTCTAATTTGTGGTGACTGCTGTTACGTCATTCACCTGAAATGATGGGGATGGATTTATTTATAGTTCAACTGGTTGGAAAATAGCATCTTTCTTCATTCAAACTAAGAATCCAAGCTGGGATTAGCCTTATATCTTATGTGACCTTTGAACACTTCCTTTATTTTAGAATAAGCCTTTTGGATTGAATTTTGAAGGGATCTAACATTGACAGACTAACTCCTGAGATTTCTACACCAAAACTCTGCTTTGGAGAAGGCTTATCTGCCTCTGGCGTTTCCCAGTCATGGCTGGCTGGCTGGCTCCTACAGACTTTGGCTAATGTGGTCTCAAATTCTGCTCATCCTGCAGAAAATGAATCTTCTCACTAAAAGTCAAGAGATCATGCAATTATTTGAGGAACATATTTCTTCCTGATTTTTCTAACCTTTACTTAAAAGCATTCTTTGTTTACTGACTCTTTCAGCAAGATTGACAGTATAGTGAATTTTTGGAAGGAAAATCCCCTTTACCCTTCATCTTAAAAATTCAAGACATGTCATCATGAAGAAAAAATATGCCCAAACAGAAAACTTCTGTGGTAGATAAGGCACTGTACCTCTTGAGAGTATTTTATAACACTTGATAATAAAAATCACCCTTCCAATGTCAGACTTTCCTCTTTCTCATCCCCTCTTCTCTCATATTTCCTGCTGGGCCACAAAAGTGATAATCCTTGCCTAGGAATCCTTTGATTTCACACTTGGCAACTCCTAGAATTTAGCTTTAGTTGCCTGCCGCAACATTTAGAGATTGCAATTATTATGGCATTATAGAGCTTGGCTGCAATATCACGCTCCACCAGTAGGTGTCTTCACTTAACAACTAAACGTCCTGAAGCCTAAGTGGAGACTCCTGGTAGATCAAATGAATGAACCTTTTTTCATCAGTTTCAATAAGTTGAGTGCTCTGAGTGAAATGAAGCAACTTGCTCTGAAAGAACTGGTGCTGAAAAAGCAACTCCATGCATTCTCTGAACCACTTCATGGCAGAGAACTACAGTCTAAGCTACTGCCATGGAAAAACAGCAAGGAGATTGTAGTCTTGGACCTGGCCCCAGAGCAAGTCTTGGAGGAAGTGCCAGCCCTGAGCCCTGTGCCACTCCGGGGTGTGCTCCAGCCAACCCAGAGTCACAGCCCAGAGCGCTCTCCCCTCCTCATTTCCTGGCTCTCTGTCTTGCTTATAGCAAATCTCATGATTCCTTGGTTCTGTCATTCTGTCACTGCTCATAGTTTTGCCAAATCCCATTGGCACACTGGTTAGGAGGGTTAGTGCAGAAACGCCCAGCGCATTCATCAGAGTCCTGAAAATTGTATGTGGTGCAACTGTGCCACCATCAGGTGTTAAAACTGGGTGGCAAAAGTTGAGCTTCTTGGACAGAGTAAACCTGACTTAACTGGATCTTCACTTAACTGAAGCCTTCTTTCTACTTATAGTCAAGAAGGAGTCATCTTTAATTTATAAGATTATAAATTTATAAGGATGCCTGGAGCCTTGTGTAGAGGAGGAAGGGTTTCTAGAAGTCTTCATTTATCCTGTGTTCATTCATCCCACAAATGTCTGTTGTACACCTGTGCTGGATGCTGAATGAACAAGACAGGTACAGTTATTCATTCAATATTTATTTAATGTATAATTAATTTATAATTTATTTAAACACCTACTAGGTGCTTAATAAATACTAAATGAGTAACTATCTGTACCTGGTAGTGCTCTGGGTCCCCAGGTGGAAACCATTCTCACAGTCTGGTAGCAAAGAGACCTGTATAAACAAAACGAAATGTGAAGGAAGGCATTTGAATGCTCCCTGAGATAGGAAGTCATTAAAGCTGGGGCGGGGTGGGGAGGGGTTGGGGTTTTTTTGTTAGTTTGTTTGTTTTTTGAGATGAAGTCTCACTCTGTTGCCCAAGCTGGAGTTCAGTGGTGCGATCTCGGCTCACTGCAACCTCCACCTCCCGGGTTCAAGCAATTCTTCTGCCTCAGCCTCCCGAGTAGCTGGGACTACAGGCACACACCACCATGCCTGGCTAATTTTTGCATGTTTAGTACAGACGGGATTTCATTATGTTGGCCAGGCTGGTCTCAAACTCCTGACCTCATGATCCGCCCACCTCGGCCTCCCAAAGTGCTGGGATTACAGGCGTGAGCCACTGCGCCCGGCAAAGCTGAGTTTTAAACTGTTCCTTCCTTCATTCAGACACTTACTGAGCCCTAGTAAGAAGCCACCCATGTTCTAGGCCAGGGGTTGACAAACTTTCTCTAAAGGGTCAGACAGTGAATATGTTAGCCTTTATAGGCCACATACAGTCTCTATCACTACTACCACCAATAATAATAATAATTCTTTCTCATTTTCTCATTCCTCTTCTCCTTCTTTACAGCTCTTAAAAAATATTTAAAAAAAAAACAAAACAAACAAAACAAAACAAAACAAAAAAAATACATAAAAACATTCAACCAGGCGTGGTGGTTTACACCTGTAATCCCAGCAGTTTGGGAGGCCAAGGTGGGCAGATCACCTGAGGTCAGGAGTTCGAGACCAGCCTGGCAAGCATGGCGAAACCCTGTCTCTACTAAAAATACAAAAATTAGCCAGGCATGGTGGTGCATGCCTGTAATCCCACCTACTCAGGAGGCTGAGGCAGGAGAATTGCTTGAACCCAGGAGGCAGTGGTTGCAGTGAACCGAGATTGCACCATTGTACTCCAGCCTGGGCAACAAGAGCAAAACTCCGTCTCAAAAATATATATATATATATTTTTTTTTATATTATATATTTAAAAACATATATATATACTATATATTATGTATTATAAAAATGTATTTTATATATTTAATATACATATTATATATGTGTATTATATATTAAATATATATGTATATTATATATTAAATATATATATATTACATATATTAAATATATATTTTATATATATATAATATATATATATTTTATATATATAACATATATATTTTATATATATATAATATATATATTTTATATATATAACATATATATTATATATATATATAACATATATATTATATATATAACATATTTTATATATATATATAACATATTTTATATATATATAATATATATATATTTTATATATATATATAATATATATATATTTTATATATATATATATAATATATATATATTTTATATATATATATAATATATATATATATAAGCATTCTTAGCTCCCCTTGCACCAAAACATATCACAGGCCTACGAGCCGTTAGGCAGTATGAATATAGCAGTGAACAAGAGACTGTCCCTGCCCTTGTGGCACTTCTATTCTAGAGTAGAAAAGTAAACAAGGAGACAAGTAAATATACAGAACCTATGACAGTTTTTGAAAGCACTGTGGAAGAAATAAAACTGAATGAGGCAGTGCAAGGCAGGCAGGGAAGGTCTCATTGATAAGATGCCACTTGAGCAGGAACCTGAAGGAAAGGAGAGCAAAGGCTATGCACATATCTGGAGAAGACTGTCCCTAGCAGAGGGAACAGCAAATGCAAAATTCCCTGCAGTAGAAACAGGCTTTGCATGAGAAGGACTGGCAAGGATGCTACTGGTCAGAGCCTAGCAACCAAAGATATAAGTGAATTAGGTTTGACTGCAAGTAGCAGAAAATCCAAAATAATTGTGACTTAAACAATTGAACTTTTTTCTTCTTAGTTCAAATCCCAAAGATAGTCCAGGAGTGATAGATTGTTCAATGGTAGCAGGGACCCAGGCCCCCATCTTGCTGCTCTGCCATGCAACACCAGCATTCCCAAGGTTGCTTATGACCCAAGATGGCTGCTGCAGCACCAGCCATCACATTGACATTTCAACCAGTAGTAATGAGGAAAGGGTGATGCAGAGCCAGTTACCTCCTGTAAGGACTCTTACCAAGCACATGTGCACAATTCCACACTTATATCCCATTGTCTGGGGCTTCGTTACATGACCACTCCCAACTATAAAGGAGTCTTATTCCAAGTGGCCCTGTGCCCTGCCAAAACTCAGGAATTCTATTACTATAGAAGAAATAGAGGATGGGGGATAAGTAACCATCTGCGCCACATTGGGGAGAGTGAAGGAGATAAGGTCTAATAAGGTATCAAAAGGCCAGGCGCAGTGGCTCACAACTGTAATCCCAGCACTTTGGGAGGCTGAGGCAAGTGGATTGGTTGAGCCCAGGAGTTCAAGACCAGTCCGGGCAACATGGTGAAACCCCAAATCTATTTGAAAAAAAAAAAAAAAACTGATGAGAGGGGGATTAGACAGGGCCCTGTAGGCCACAGAGGGTTTTCACAAGTGAGGTAAGGACCATCACAGGGACTTCACCTTTGAGAAACATGTTCTGACACATCTTTTAAAAGGATCACTCTAGCTGCTATATTGAAAACAGATGGCAGCCGGGCGCAGTGGCTCAAGCCTGTAATCCCAGCACTTTGGGAGGCCGAGGCAGGCGGATCACTTGAGGTCAAGAGTTCGAGACCAGCCTGGCCAACATGGGTGAGACCCCATCTCTACTAAAAATACGAAAATTAGCTGTGTGTGGTGGTGCATGCCTGTAGTCCCAGTTACTCGGGAGGCTGAGGCGAGAGAATCGCCTGAGCCCTGGGGGCAGAGGTTGCAGTGAGCTGAGATCGTGCCACTGTACTCCAGCCTGGGCGATGGGGCAAGACTCTGTCCCCAAAAAAAAAAAAAAAAAAAAATGGCCGGGCACGATGGCTCACACCTATAATCCCAGCACTTTGGGAGGCCACAGCGGGCAGATCTCCAGGTCAGGAGATCAAGACCACCCTTGCCAACATGGTGAAACCCCATCTCTACTAAAATACAAAAAAATTAGCCAGGTGTGGTGGCATGTGCCTGTAGTCCCAGCTACTCAGGAGGCTGAGGCAGGAGAATCACTTGCACCCGGGAGGCAGAGAGTGCAGTGAGCCGAGATTGCACCGCTGCACTTCAGCCTGGCAACAGAGCAAGACTTCGTCTCAAAAAAATAAATAAATAAAATAAAATAAAATAAATAAATAAATAAATTGCAGGGTCAAGGCTGGTACCAGGGACCAGTTAGGAGGCTAAGAATAGGTGGTTCCCACTGAAATAAGAAGGAGAGGTTGAGACATCCCAGGCAGAGAAAATAGCCTCTGCAAAGGCACCTTTGTGCTTTGCAGGTGCACCAGGGATGAAGTGGCCAAAAGACAAGATCAGAAGGCAAGCCGAGCCCATGGCAGGTGCTGAGCAGGGAGTGGCATGATCAGAGTAGCATTTTTGAGCAAGCATTCTGGCTGCTGTATGGAGGGCAGACTGGAGGGGCAGGACAGAGACCAGTTACAGGATCTGCCTCCCCTCCCCTCCCCTGGCCCCAGGGAAGCCCCTCTCAGACCCTGGGGCAGAGGGTGTGGCTCCATGAGGACATGGTGAAGCCAGGTGATGGAGCACTGCACAGAAAATCTGTGTGAAACCTGCGGCTCTGTGAGGAAATCCTCACAGCCACTCCCTGACCCCACACCAGCCAACGACTGCCTGCCTGGAAGACGTGGGCATGTCTCTTTGAGCATTAACCTGGGCAGCAGGTGCAGGCACCAACCTGGCTGTGAAGTGGGTGCTTTTTCTCTTTCCTTTCCAGTTCTTTCTGTCAAGCTGAGGCACAGGGAAACACACTTACCTGGTCCAGCTCACCTGAGGGCCCAGACAGAAGGGAAACTGCAATCCTGGGGTTTTGAGCCCTCGGGCAGGCTGTATCCTGGGGTAGATGCTGGATTGGATTCAGAGAAGAGTGAGTCTAGTGACCAGGACACAGGTAGTCAAGAATCTTCAAAAGCCAGCATCCTACATTCATTCATTCACTGGACAGCACCTTCAAAGAGCTAGTAAGTGCCAGGTGGTTCAGAGGCAGTCAAGGCCACTGCCCTCAAGAAGCTCATTGTTAATGGGGCCAGCAGGAAGGGGACGTGAAGCAGCCCACTCTCAGGCCACTGCTCACGTGGCTGGGCTGGCTTGGGGGAACTGTCATCTTGAGTCTAGAAAAAGTCGGCCCTGCCACCTGACCTCGGGGGAAGTGGAGGATGAGGAGAGGGCTGGAAATAGCAGACAAGCCTTGAGACACCCAGAGATGTCAGACTGAGCCTGACCAGGCCCTCGGGGAAGGAGAGCCCGCAGGCCTCAGACCACCCTTCTTCCTCCGTCATCTTATCTTTTCTCACTGTCGTGCCCCAACACCCAGAAGAGCCTGGAGTCAAGTGGACAGAGTCCAGCTTTGTCCATAGCCAGCTGTGTGATCCAGAGAAAGTCACTTAACATCTCTGAGCCTCTGTGTTCCTGCCCACAAAATGGGGGTGGCAGTACCCAGCTTGCAGGGCAGCTGTGTTGGGATGGTTTCTGTGCTGTCTGTAGGCTGTGATAGACCCTCATTGAGGCTGCTTCCTGCCCGATCTTCTGAACCATCAGCCTGCATCTTCTGTTTCTTTCCTGCTCTCTCTTCCTCTGTTCTCCTCATGCTTTCTCTATGCAGAGTGCAAGCAGCAGGGTTGTCCCCAGCCCAAAGGCCCTCCCATTTCCCTGTTACCCTCAGGCAGGGAGGGGGAGTGGCCAGAGCATGGGCACAGAGCCAAGAAGCAGTACCCTTCACCCAGCTACAATGCCCTATTCTGCTTTTTCACATCAAAAATCCAGACCTCATGGTTCTAACAAGGGGCTTCTGTGCTGCTTCTGGTTGCAGAGGCTGGAGTGCAGTGGTGTGCTCGTGGATGCTTAACTACCAGCTCTCCAGTGGAGAAGCCCTGCTTTGTAGCATTTGCCAATTTCTGTGGTGTAAATACTCCCACCATGGCCAATTTCGAGCTACCAACAAGACACCACCCAACAGAGTGGGGAGAGATGCACAAAGTCAGCTCTGTGCGCTGGCTGTCCCACACTGCTCCACAATTGGGTGGTTTTGGTTTTGTTTGGTTTTTTTGGTTTTTTTGGGCGGGGAGCGGAGGACGGAGTTTTGTTCTGTCACCCAGGCTGGAGTGCAGTGGTGCGATCTCAGGTCACTGCAACCTCTGCCTCCCGGGTTCAAGCGATTCTCATGGCTCAGCCTCCTGAGTAGCTGGGACTACAGGCGCGTGCCAGCATGCCCAGCTCCTTTTTGTATTTTTAGTAGAGACGGGGTTTCGCTATGTTGGCCAGGCTGGTCTTGAACTCCTGACCTCAGGTGATCCACCCTCCTTGGCTTCCCAAAGCGCTGGGATTACAGACATGAGCCACCACGCCTGGCCAATTGGGTGTATTTTGACACAAAAATGTGGGGTTTCCTGGATATTTTAATGATTTATAGGAACAATAGGAAAGACTATTTTGAATCAGGACTTTTAGAATACCAGGGCCCTCCTGTGACCGCAAATGTCTGGCTGCCCTTCCCCCACATTTAGCCTGCTGCTCTAAAAGTCACCCAGCTGCCCGCTTCTCTCTGGGGTCTCTGAACTCAGATGTCCTTGCTATTTAAATCACCTGTATTCTGCATTATCTTTTCATTTATTTGTCAGATATGTCTTAGCGCTTAACCAGGGCCACACGACTCCCAGGAAGCTGTCCACCCTGAATCCCATGGCACAGCCTCCCTGGAGCACCTCTCTACTTCGTTCCCTCCTACTGCCACTGCCCTGGTTCAGGCCACCTTCGCCTCTTCCTTGACATCTTCATGTCTACCAGCTAGTCTCCTGCTTTCTTTCTTGCCAACCTCTGATCCATTCTCCACATGGCAGCCAGAATTATCTTTTTAAAGATGTAACTCTTGTCATTCCTTTCTCAAAGCCCTTAATTGACTTTCTACTTCAAGGTTAAAAGCAACCCAACTTCTTTACTTAGCCCCAAAGGCCCTGCCTGATCTGACCCATGCTTGCCTCGGGGACCTCACTCAGAACCACTCTTTCCATGCACTTCCTCACCTAGCCTCCTTCCAGTCCCGAAGACCCCAAGTCCTTTCCCATCTCAGAGTGTGCCTACGCTGCTCTTCCCCCATTCTCTTCATGACCCCTCCTCCTCTCTCGGGTCCCTGCGTTATGTCACCTCCTTAGGGAGGTCTTGCCAGCCACCCCGTTAAATGTAGCATTGTCTTTCCCCTTCATTCTCTGTCCCAGCATCCTGGTTGTTTCCATCAATTTTTCATAAACTAACGCTTACATAATTCTATATCTTATTAATTATATATACTTATGTACATGTCTCTCTCTGTGACTAGATTGAGTTACTTGAGGCTGGGAGTCACAGCTGTTTTATTCACCGTTGTACTCTTTAGAGTATCTGGAACATCACTGGTGATTTCATAGATTAATAGGCGAGTGATTTTGGATGGGTGATGAGATGGTTGATGGATGATGGTGTTTAATTTGATATATCATGAGTGGATAGATGGTTGAATGGACGGCAGATAGATGAATGTTTGGATGGATGGATAATGGAGGATGGATGGATGGATGGATGGACAGATGGATGGAGGGATGGCTAAGTATGAATGAATGAGCTTTCCCTCTAGGCTGTCAACATCTTCAGAGCAGGTACCATATCTTAATCAACTCTGAACCCCCAGTGCCTGCAAATAGCACTTGGTCAATTTTGGTGGTTGAGTAAGCACATGAATAGAACAATGAATGGATGAAGTCACCCTTGAGATGAGTCCTGTAACTGCTGCTTTTTTATTTGGAACGTCCTCTTGACCCGCCCTACTGCTCTGACTCCTGCTCTTTCATGCATGAGTGGTGGCCAGATGTCATGTCTGTTTCCTATCCACAGGGGGTGACCAAACCTCAGTGGACCCCATGGTCCTGGAGCAGTATGTGGTGGTAGCCAACTACCAGAAGCAGGAGAGTTCGGAGATCAGCCTCAGCGTGGGGCAGGTGGTGGACATCATCGAGAAGAATGAGTCAGGTGGGGACCTAGACCATCTCCCTCTCCCACTACCCTGCCACCAAGCCCCTGGGACATGAAACATTTGGAAACTCAGAAACTGAAATGGCCAGTCCAGACTGGCCAGTTCCCATAGATCCTGCTGAGGGTCTCCTAGAAAGAGGCCCCTGTTTGATCACTGTGCTTGAATATCCCACCTGGCCACCACTCACCATTATCCTTTTGGCTCAGATGGTACCGATTTGTTCTGACGTTGACATTTTATAAACATTCCTTCTGGTTCTAAAGCACTGGCAGACAAAGTCCAGCATTCACTGGAAATGTGCTCTGTTGATTTGCCTTTGCTTACCCATGGGAGTCTCCGAGAAGGCTCCATTGCTCTGGGCTCTAATGGGACAGGCGCATTCCCTGTCTCCTTAGCCTACCTGCCCATCACAGGGACCACTGGTCATGAACACTGGCTGGGTCTGGGACAGAATGTGGTATGACTGAGACACTTAACCTGGATTTCCATCAGAATTCCACATTTCACAGTGGTTCAGTGCCTTCATTCTCTGACTGTTCGTTTTCTTATCTACAAAATAAAAACTTCTGCTCTTAAGAGTGATTGTAAAGATTAAGTGAGATAAGATACAAAGAGTGCTTAAACTTGTGCTTAGCACACAGTAGATGCTCAAAAAAATGTGGGTTTCCTTCCCGTTTGCCTTCCTTAGCTACAAAGCAGCCATTGCACCCCATTGAAGGCAAAGAGCAGGAAATAAGCAGATCCTCCCTGGGAAAATGCAGTGGAAACGACTGGGTTTGTTGTGGCTAACATGTGACGTTAGCTAATCCTATCATTAGTGGGTCAGTCTCTGTGACAGCCCAATGGCGAGTTGAGGTCCAAAGAAGAGGAGAAAGATGATGTTTCTAACATCATCTGGATGGTGGTGGCATTAGTCACGAGACCAGCGCCAGCCAGCCAAACTTCCTTGGTTACTCAACATAGGAGTTGCCATCCCTGCTTCACAGCTGATGCAACCATGACTCCAAATAACTCAGTCACTCACCCCACATCTCACAACAGCCTGCAGAGCCAGAATTCGAAACCAACTCCAGCAGCCCCTAAGGCCATGTGACTTTCCAGTTCCTGAGAATGAGTGTGTGCAGATTGTATGATGTGGCTAGGACACAACCATGGGGACGTAAAGACAGGAGCACCCACTGCCCTGGGCCCCCAGCTTGCAGGAAGTCAGGAAGCTTGGGTGACTGGGAAGAAGTGTGGGGGCCAGGAAGAGTGTTGGTATGTCCAGAGGGCAGCAAGAAGAAGGGAGAGGGTGAGTGGGTACATCTTCAAGTAGCCAACACACTGATGACATTTATTTTTAATTATATTGTACTTATCCAAGTAATACGTGGATACATTATTCTTAGAAGATTAATGATGAAACTAAAATCTATTTTTTCTACCAGCTTCAACCCTAACCCCCTTTCTGAACCCTAGATAGCCCTTCTATCCATTAGGTATGAATCTTTCTTGAAAATGTTATATACACATGTGTGTATGTGTGCGTGTGTGTACGTGTGAACATATACACTCACACATACACAGGTACTCATTCATACATATATACTTGTACATATACAAACACATCATATTTTGTATGTATATATATGTATTTTTGTGGGTTTTTTAAAAACCCAATGGTGTCATTGTATACATTTTGATCTGCAACTTTTTTTAGTTACTATCTAGCTCCTCTGATACTTTTTCACATCTGCGTAGTATTCAGTGCCCGAGTGAGCCATGTTCATATATTCATATTCGTACTCCAGTGTGAACATGTCTGTGTGCACGTCAGTGTTTCTTTAGGTTAGATTCCAACAAGTGAAACAGCTGGACCCTAAGATACACATATCTTTTTTTACTTATTTAGTTTTTTTGGAGACGGAGACTCACTCTGTTGCCCCGGCTGGCATGCAGTGGCACGATCTTGGCTCACTGCAGCCTCCACCTCCCGGGTTCAAGTGATTCTCCTGTCTCAGCCTCCCAAGCAGCTGGGACTACAGGCACATGCCACCATGCCTGGTCAAGTTTTGTATTTTTAGTAGAGACAGGGTTTCACCATATTGGTCAGGCTGGTCTCGAACTACTGACCTCAGGTGATCCACTCGCCTCAGCCTCCCAAACTGCTGGGATTGCAGGCGTGAGCCACTGTACCTAGCCAGGACACACATATTTTAAATTTTAAGATACCACCAACTTGTCTGCTTCCAAAACAGTGGCTGTTTTGATTTATCCTCCCTCCAGCAGTGTGTGAGGCATTAGTGAAAATGGTTAAGAGCTCAGAGACCGCCTTGGTTTGAATCCTGGCACTGCTGCTTTCTATCTTTGTGACTTTGAGAGAGTTGCTGAGCCTCGGCTTCCCCATCTGTAAAATGGCAGCAATAATAATACACACCTCATAAGGCTGTGGTGAGGATCTAGCAAGCTAGGAGTGGACGTGCAGCACTTGGGACAGTATCTGACACATCACTGTTGCCATTGCTATCATTGTGTTATGACAGTTTCCTTATCTTCATACAAATATTTACAAATACAAATATTTAGAAAATCGTAGACCCACCATGCATGAGCCACCACGCCCGGCCGACAGCACATATTTATTATCTAATAGTCTGTGGGTCAGAAGTTCAGCATGGTCTCACTGGCCTAAAATCAAGGGATCGACAGGGCCCCATTGCTTTCTTTAGGTTCCGAATAGGATCTGTTTCCTTGCCTTTTCCAGATCCTGGAAGCCGCCTTGGCTCATGGCCCTTTCTTCCTTCTTCAGCGCCAGCAATGTTGCACCTCTCTGTGTCTTTCCTCAACAGCCACATCTCCCCATGACTTCTGCCTCCTTCTTGCATATTAAGGACCCCTGGGATTACATTAGGCCCACCCAGAGAATCTGGGATAAACTCCCTATTTTAAGGTCAGCAGATTAGCAACCTTAATTCCCTAGTGCCACGTAACTTCATATATTTACAGGTTTGAGGGATTCGAACACAGACATCTTTGTGGGGAGGGGGTCATTATTCTCCCTCCCACAGGCCCCATGCAGGCCTTTCTCATTGGGGAATGTCTGAGCCGGGGTGAGAGGCCTCTGAAGCAGATGCTAAATCTGCATCTAGGCCTTTACAGTCAAACAGCCCCGTGCACACGTCACAGCTCTACCGCAGCCACGTGAACTTGGACAAGTCGGTTTGCCTCTTTGAGCCTCAGTTTCCTCATGTGTGCAGTTGGGATGATAATGTGAAGATTGTATTTAATGCAAGTGAAATGATGGGTGCATCACACATCTTAGTGAAGGTGAACGTTCTTTATACTTTTTTTTTTTTTTTTTTTTGAGATGGGGGTCTCACTCTGTCGCCCGGGCTGGAGTGCAGTGGCACAATCATAGCTCACTGCAGCCTTGACCTCCTGGGCTCAGGTGATCCTCCCAACTCAGCCTCCCGAGTAGCTGGGACTACAAGCATGCACCACCATGCCTGGCTAATTTTTAAATTTTTCGTACAGACAGGGTTTTGTCATGTTGTCCAAGCTGGTCTTGAACTCCTGAACTCAAGCAATCCATCCAAAGTGCTGGGATTACAGGCATGAGCCACCGTGCCCTGCCTCTTTATTGTTGTCATTTAGGATGACTTTACTCTTCCCTGTCCCAGGCTCAGGAGCAAGTTTCTGGACCTGCTTTTAGCAGTTAGCAGGTAACATTGGTAGTTGTGTTCTACCAATAAAATGGTAACTTTAGCCTTACCCTGTGCATTCACTGGTACAGTGGCTGAATAGATTATTATGTTCTGACCCCCGGCCTCATGCTTGATGCAACTAACATCATTCTGCACTCTTGCTTCCCCAGGTTGGTGGTTCGTCAGCACTGCCGAGGAGCAAGGCTGGGTCCCTGCAACGTGCCTCGAAGGCCAGGATGGGGTGCAGGATGAGTTTTCTCTGCAGCCTGAAGAAGGTAGGGAGGAGCTCGAGCCTCTGCTCACTGGGGAGGACCTGTGCAGTCATCGCCTATACTGGGTTGCCTTTTCATCCAATCTCTTCTTTTGGCCTCTGCCTCTGCGTCTCAGCAGCTCACTGGCTGAGGCTCCATGGCCTGTGAACCAGAAACCAGGCCATGGTATTAGAGCTGAGGGGCAAGCCCGCCCTCTCTTAGGGGCCTTTGGTAGCAACCTATGTGAGCCTGGCCAGAGCTCGAGCCCTAACCCTTTCATGGGACCCCAGGAGGGCCCCAGCCTGATCGCCAAAAACAGTTCACTATTCCTCCCTCGAATTATTCTGGCGGCCAAGGTGCTGGAACTGCTTCAGCTCATTTGCAAGACATTTGACCCCATCTGTTTAAAAACCTCTGCCTTCTCTGTGGGTTTAAGTGGTCCTGACCAGGGGTCCCCCTCCACTCACCCACAGACACACTTCCGTTGTTTCCCAGAGAACCTTCCCTATGCATGTCCTGAATGGTGACTCCTGCCATGCCAGAAATGCTAAGTCCCAGCCAACTCCCTTTCCCCGCTAGAAACATTCCTAAAACTAGGGCAGTTAGTGAGTTCACTTCACTCATCAGCAGGGGCTTAGGAATCAGACACACCTGAATTTTAATCTCAGCTGTACCACTTCCTGGTTGAGTGGCCTTGGGCCAGTAATTTAACCTCTCTAAGCCTCAGCCTCTCATCTAAAAATGGAAACAATGATATCTATATCATAGGACTTTTGAAAAAATTAAATGAGATCCACATGCAAAGAACCTAGAACAATAAATGACCAGTAACAGTTATTATTGTATCAGCAATACCTGACCTAGAGTTGAGTTTGTTTGGCTTTTAGTTGACTGTTAAGAGAAAGCATGGAGCCACATAAAGCATATCTTTATTAGAAAAGAGGATGAGGAGAAGGGGGAAATTTCTGTGCCCAAAGGTTAGCAAAGCATTGACATATGGTTTTTGCATTCAGTTGTATTACAGCTAACGCCCCTCAGTAAAACATCTGTTGGTTTGCTCTGTGTTTGTGAGGCCCGCCAGGCACTGTGGGGGGTAACACAGGGTTACCATCAGAATCAACTCAGATTAAGGGGTCGTGATGTAGTGCATGGAAACTAGAGCCCTTGAGACGGTGAATGATGACCACCGTGAGAGCGCCTCTGTCAGGCACTCATTGCTGTCCCCATTTTACAGATGAGGAAACAGGGTCTGAGAGGTCGGGAGACTTGCCCAGGGTCACACAGCTAGAAGATGGGAGCGAGACCACATTTTCCTGAGTTTGTACATTTATTTTCTTCCCTCGACCACAGGTAGTACTTTCTTTTTTTTTTTTGAGACAGAGTCTTGCTCTGTCTCCCAGGCTGGAGTACAGTGGCATGATCTCGGCTCACTGCGACCTCCGCCTCCTGGGTTCAAGTGATTCTCCTGCCTCAGCCTCTCGAGTAGCTGAGATTACAGGCATGCACCACCACGCCCAGCTAGTTTTCGTATTTTTAGTAGAAACGGGGTTTCGCCATGTTGGCCAGGCTGATCTCGAACTCCTGACCTCAAGTGATCTGCCCACCTTGGCCTCTCAAAATGCTGGGATTACAGGCATGAGCACTGCGCCTGGCCCTTTTTTTTTTTTTTTTTTTTTTTGAGATGGGGTCTCACTCTGTTACTCAGGCTGGAGTGCAGTGGCATGAACACGGCTCACTGCAGCCTTGAATTCCTGGGCTCAAGTGATCCTCCCACCTCAGCCTAACACCTCTTTATAATCATGCTAGGAATGGAATTATGTCTACTAGAAGCCTCTTCACCCAAGTTCACGGTTAATACTCAGGAACTTGGTCTCCCTAAGATGCCTGGGGCTTGGATTAGACTCAGAGGTAATGCTCTCCTGGATGGGGACATGTGCTTGGTGCCACCTTTGCCTGTACACATTGTGGTGCTTTCTTCTCACCTCTGCCCTCTGCCCTTCCTCCCACATGCTGCCTATCCAGTCTCATGGAGGTATTGGTCTCTGCCCCGGCCGGTGGGCCGCCGCCGGACTCTGGGGGACTTGTATGCCATCAGCTGGCGTCAAGGTGCCTACCTCGGAGTTTTCTTCCCCGTTTGGTGTTTGGACCCAGGTCCCTGCACCTGCATGAGCCTCCCTGCTCTGGGACCACCCGTGCCTGTTGCATGTGAGAAACAGTGATGTCGTCTGTCTTGTGTGACATGTATGTTGTTGGCATGTGGGTTTGGGAGGAGTGAGCCTTGGGTATTTCTTGGCCTTGGGGATTTAAAGTTTCTCAGGTTAAAAATGATGCCTGTGGGTTTCTATAAGGCTGAACCAGTGACCTGTTCCTTCATTCAGGCTCATTTGAGTTGCAAGGGAAAGAAATCCATGTAAACCGGGTTAAGCAAAAGGGGAAGTGTATTGACTTATATCACTAAAAGCCCAGGGTAGGGCTAGCTTCAAGCAGAGCTGGATCTGGGGGTTTGAAACTGTCATCAGGATCTGGGACTCTCTCACCACCTCTCTGCTTGTTGGCACCATTCTCTCATGATGACAGCAGTTTCAAGTACCTTTAAGGGACATCACCAAAGAAAGAGCTTCTCCTTTAACACAAGTCCTAGGATTGTTTCCAGCTGACCCAGTAGGGTCACTTGCCATCCATAAAACCAGTCACGGTGGGCGGGAGTTGCAACACTTTGGCCAGGCCAGGGTCCGACACCTACTCCTTCCCTCCAGGAGGTGGTGAGCTTGGCCTCACCTAAGCCATGGGGACAAAGGCTGGTAGCACCACCAGAGGAAGGGCAAATGCACGCTCGGGAGGAAGCCCCCGCAGGCCTGCAGTCTACAGGGTCTTCCACCCTCTGCTGTGTGTGCAATCACTGAGCAATCCATGGATGCCAGAGAGGGACTCGGGTGATAGAAAATCCATCCATGGCTGGGCGCGCTGGCTCACACCTATAGTCCCAGCACGTTGGGAGGCCGAGGCGGGCGGATCACGAGGTCAGGAGATCGAGACCATCCCGGCTAACACGGTGAAACCCCGTCTCTACTAAAAATACAAAAAATTAGCCGGGCGTGGTGGCGGGCACCTGTAGTCCCAGCTACTCGGGAGGCTGAGGCAGGAGAATGGCGTGAACCCGGGAGGCGGAGTTTGCAGTGAGTGGAGATCGCGCCACTGCACTCCAGCCTGGGCGACAGAGCGAGAATCCGTCTAAAAAAAAAAAAAAAGAAAAGAAAATCCATCCATGCAACTCAGCTGAAGGATGCAGGACCCCAGGAGTCCAGGCTCAGAGAACTGACTGCACTCTTTCTGGGACCCGGGTGGCACCCTTTCCCACCTGGACCAAACAGAACTTCTGTGCATCTGGGGTTGGATTCTTCCCTCCACCCCTCCCAGCCCAGCAGCCTAGCCTGCAGCTTCCGTGAAGGAGGGGAACGGCGGACTGTGCTGAGCACAGGATATGTGCAGCTTGAGTCAGCTCGGCCCCCGCCGAGCAGGTCAGCAGGCTAGATCAATAAATAAATAAACGCCCTGTGTGTTTTCCGCCTCCCTCTGCACCAGCTGGGCAGGCCGCGGACGGCATGTGGTATTTTCCCAAAGAGATAGCGACTGCAGCAGCATATTAACCATGACACCAGGCCACAGCTGGCTCAGGCACTCAACCAGGGGCGGAAATGTAACCAAAACAGGAGAGCCCTCTCCTCTCCTTGCTGGGCTCCCTTGAGACACACATCCATTTTTCTCCATTTCAGCTGCCAGAGCAGATAACACTGGGGGTGGGAGCTGTTCTAGCTCTGTGGGACACCCTGCCAGAGTGCAGCGATGAGCAACCCGCCCTGCCGAGCCCAGGCCCTCCAGGGCTACTGTGGGAGGGACGCAGCTGGGGGCAGCTCTCAGGGAGGAGGGTGAGGCCATAAGGATGGTCCCACAGTTTCAGGGGTCGGGGGACCGCAGAGAGTGTGGTAGAAGACATCCCAGTCACACGAATGAAAGTTGAAGCTTCGAGCATGGTTGGATTCAAAGACTTGAACATGATTAATAAAAAGTGAAGATCAGCTGCCGGCAAGGTAATGAAAATTGTGCACCGTGTCCGCAGTAGTGATTTCAGCCTGAAACCCTCCACTGCCAAAGTTCAGCTTCTCCCTGAACTCTCCACCTGCAAGAGCTAGTAAGGAGCCACAGACAGCTTAACCTCCTCTGTGTGAGCAAGGTGGCTCCCACCCAGCCTTCAGGTCTTGCTCATTTACTGCATATTGACTGATTTGCTAAACATTCCAAGCACCATGCCCAGTGCTGAAGACACAGGAATGAACAAGACAGACAAAGAACTGCCTTCCTGGAGCTCATATTCCAGCAGAGGAAACAGACACACACTGAACGAAACACAATAAATAAGCCAAATACATGTCGTGTTACAAGGTAATTCCTAGTATGGGTGGGGGGCAATAAACCGGGATAAGGGGCATGAGAATGCCATGCATGGAAGTACTGTATAAGGTGGTCAAGGAAGGTGAACTCGAAGCACAGATTGAAGCAGGTGAGGCTGAGTGTGTGGCGCTGAGGAGTTTCAGAGGGATCGAGATCTACCCTTTGTCCTGTGTTCTGTTGCTGCTTGCACAGGGCTGTCCAGGGCTAGGTCAGGGCCAGGGGGGGTGCCCAGAAATCTCTGAAGGAAATCCTCCCTCCGACGGGCAAGGGCATCACGGGGATTACGGCATCCCAAGCCTCTTGGTGTCCTCTTCTGACCCCAGCTTCCTTTTGTCCCCACAGAGGAGAAGTACACAGTCATCTACCCGTACACAGCTCGGGACCAGGATGAAATGAACCTGGAGAGAGGGGCTGTGGTGGAGGTCATCCAGAAAAACCTGGAAGGCTGGTGGAAGATCAGGTACCAGCCGCTGCCCCCCACGGTTGCTGGGTGGGTTTGGGGTCACGCTGGGTGGGTTTGGGGTCACAGGGACTCTGGCCTCACAGAGGTCGGTAAGTGATTGCATCTGGGCGAAGTTTCCGCCTGAACCATAAAAGGATACTTCTCCTCTGTGTTGTGTGGCCTCCCTCCCTACCCATATCCTTCCCTAAAAGTCCATGATAAGCAAAACTTTCTCCAAACACACTGAACCACAGATAGCAGCAACCCCATTAAGCAAGGCTGGTTTCCACCTCCAGATGTTTCTCATAATGAGGAGTTGGAGGCCAAAGCTGCCCCATGTGAGTGACAGCCCCCTCCCGCCCCATTCTGAGAACAAGATGGTGCATAAACACTCATGGACTGTAATTCGTCCTAGGCTGATAATCTGCCCTCGTCTCTCAAAGTCCAATGGTAAAAGCAGGGCGTCTGCATTCCAAACACCTTTCACAGCCCTTTCACCTATGTGATGATATCAGAGCCTCCCAGGCAGGCAGGGTGGCCAGCTCGTCCTGCCTTGCCTGGTTTTAGTAATGAAAGTCCTGGGAACCCCTCCTTGATCACCCCCAATAGGCAGGATGTGACCATGGGAAATTAGGGCAAGAGAGGAAGCCGAGGTCCCTGCAATCTAGTGTCTGCGCTGTGATGTGTGGCGGGACATTCGGGCCATTTCCAGGAGGCTGAGCATGTAGCACTGCATTCATTCATTCATTCAACAAACGCACACCAAGAATCTCTGTTGGGCCCAGCCCTGTTCTGGGAGCTGAGGAGTCAACAGTGAGCAAGATACAATAGCTCACACCACCTGGTACAGAAGACAAACTCATAAACGGTGATAGAGCAGAGGGTTGGCCATGTTGGAGGGATGCATGGGGACTTTGGTACACAGAAGAGGGGCTCCTCAGCCTGGGGGTCAGGAAGGCTTCCTGAGGGAGATCTCAGAACCTAAATTTGAAAACGGATAATGATAGTAATAGTGTATTAGTCTATTTTCATGCTGCCGATAAAGATATACCCCAGACTGGGAAGAAAAAGAGGTTTAACTGGATTTACAGTTCCACATGGCTGGGGAGGCCTCAGAATCATGGCGGGAGGTGAAAAGCATTTCTTACATAGCATCGGCAAGAGAAAATGAGGAAGAAGCAAAAGTGGAAACCCCTGATAAATCCATCAGATCTTGTGAGACTTATTCACTATCACGAGAATAGCATGGGAAAGACTGGCCCCCATGATTCAGTTACCTCCGCCTGAGTCCCTCCCACAACATGTGGGAATTCTGGGAGATACAATTCAAGTCAAGATGTCGATGGGGACACAGCCAAACCATATCAAATAGCAGGCATGGGCCTGGCACGGTGGCTCATGCCTGTAATCCCAGTACTTGAGGAGGTAAGGCAGGAGGATCACTTGAGGCCAGGAATTCAAGACCAGCCCGGGCAACATAGCATGATCCCATCTCTACATAAAAATCTTTTAAATTAGCCAGGCATGGTGATGCACGCCTGTAGTCCCAGCTACCCAGGAGGCTGAGGCAGGAGGATCACTCGAGCCCAAGAGTTTGAGGCTGCGATGAGCTATGATGGTGCCACTCCAGCCTAGGCAGCACAACAAGACCCTGTCTCTAAAATTTAAAGACATTAGTTTTTTTAAACTTTTTAAAAAAGGATAACAAACATATATTGAATAGTATGTTATCTTGCTGCATAATAAATTGTCCCAAAAGTTAGTGGCTCTGGAATTCAGCAGTGGCTTAATTAGACTCAAGGTCTCTCCCGAGGTTATAGTTAGGATGTCAGTAAGGGCTGCAGTCATCTCAAGATCTGACTGATGCTAGAAAGTGACAGTCAGGATTTCAGCCCATTCCCTTCTCACCCCAGAGCCCAGTCAGCACTGCACATCGCCTCCCATCTTATGGCTCTGTGTCCCCAAACAATGAACTATGTCAAACTGAGCGTGTGGGTTATATACAGCCTGGCACTTTCTAATTAGGATATTCCCTCTCAGAGCATATTTTAAGATTGATAGACACTAAACTGCAGATTTCTACCTCCTTTTAAATTTGCTTCCAGTCAAGAGAGACCTTTTTTTTTTTGCATTAAAACCCAATGCTATTTAGTTCTTAAATTAATTCTTGACAAGAGATTCAGCCCTGCCATTGGGTCTGTTCAACTTTCCCCAAAGGTCTGGCCACCTGTTTTTTTGGGTTCTGGTAAATGTTTAACAACCAGCTCTCCAAGGAAAAATACTCTGAGTTACAGTGTTTGCCAGTTGCCATGGTGCAAATACTGCCACCATGGTCAATTTCAAGCTATCAGTGTGATGTCACTAAATGTAGAGATTGGGAGAGATGTGCCCAACTGGCTGTCACAGCTGGTGTGACTGACTGCAGCACACCCCTGGTCTAGATTGGCCCCTCTGGTCATTGCTGTTAAACTGAATTCTGGCCAAGCGTGGTGGCTCACACCTGTAATCCCAACACTTTGGGAGGCCGAGACAGGAAGATCACTTGAGTCTAGGAGCTCAAGACCAGCCTGAGCAACATAGCAACACCCCATCTCTACAAGAAATAATAAATAGCTGGGCATGGTGGTGTGTACCTGTAATTCCAGCTACGTAGGAGACTGAGTTGGGAGAATCGCTTGAGCCCAGGAGTTCAAGGCTGCAGTGAGCTATGATCGAACCACTGCACTCTGGCCTGGGTGACAGGGAGACCCTATCTCAAAAACTGAATGTCTCCTGCAGAGGATTAAGAGATGATGACACTCATTGAAGTCCCTTTTGGGAGGACACTGAGCTGCTCTGTCAGGGTCTCGATCACTCTGCGGTTTAGTGATGGCCAGCTGCCACTTGGCGAGCCCTGGACCCAGCCCTCAACCTGCTAATCCCATATGAAAGCATGTTTAATCTCCACGTTCATCAGCGTGAACAGATCTCCATCTGTCTATGCCAGGCTTTGGCCCCAGAGCTGGGGCTGCTGGGAAGAGGCAGCAAAGCACAGAGATTCAGAGCCCAGGCTGGTGCCCTGCTGGCTGGGTGGGACATGGTGGGTGCTGTAAGAGGGGCAAGTAGAGGCCGGGTTGGAAAGGCCTTGAAAATACCAAGCTCAGGGCTTAGGCATCATCAAGAGGAAATGCACAGTGTGTGCCAACCTCTTGCCCTGGGCAGTCACAACCCGTCGTTCCTGCTCCCTGGGACCTGTCATGTGATTCCCAGTAGGAGCAAGGCTTCTTCCCTTGGGCCTGGCGGAGCAGTTTGACAGCATCCTTCCTCCTCTTCACAGGTACCAGGGCAAAGAAGGCTGGGCCCCCGCCTCCTACCTAAAGAAGAACAGTGGGGAGCCCTTGCCCCCGAAGCCAGGCCCTGGCTCACCCTCCCACCCGGGTGCCCTTGACTTGGATGGTGTTTCCCGGCAGCAGAACGCGGTGGGCAGGGAGAAGGAGCTGCTCAGCAGCCAGAGGGACGGGCGGTTTGAAGGCCGCCCGGTGCCCGACGGTGACGCCAAGCAGAGTGAGTGACACCCGCCCAAGCTCCTGATAATCAGGGCCCCTGTGTGCCAGCTCTGTGCTCAAGGCGTCTCACATCGTCCCTCATCCTCACAGCAGCCCAGCTGCTCCCCCATCCTCCAGATAAGAAAACAGAGGCCCAGAAACCCCGGGTAACTTATTCCAGATCATTCAGCCCGTGAATTGCAGAATCTGAGTCAAGAGGCATTGCTGGCCGGGCACAGTGGCTCACACCTGTAATCCCAGCACTTTGGGAGGCCGAGGCAGGCCGATCACCTGAGGTCAGGAGTTCAAGACCAGCCTGGCCAACATGGTGAAACCCCGTCTCTACTAAAAATACAAAAATTAGCCAGGCGTGGTGGCAGCTGCCTGAAATCCCAGCTACTTGGGAGGCTGAGATAGGAGAATCGCTTGAACCCGGGAGGCAGAGGTTGCAGTGAGCCAAGATGCACCATTGCACTCGCGCTCCAGCCTGGGCGACAAGAGTGAAACTCCATTTAAAAAAAGAAAAAAAAAGGGGAGGCGTTGCTTTCCCATCCCAGGTTGCATTCTTTCTGCTATCTCACAGTGGTCACACTGGCTACTCTTTTTCAAGCACCTGCTACATGCCAGAAACCTTCTAATTAGTCTAATCGACTCCTCATAACTACCTTTGAGGGAATTACTACTTTTTCTGTTTTACAGATTGGGAGTCTGAAGGGTGAGAGGGTGTGCCCAAGGCCCCCAGCTAGTAGACGGCAGGGGCGGGGACTTGAACCTGGGGAGTGCTGTGCTCTCTATTGCTCCATGTGGCCTCGTTTCTAAGCCAGAGGAAGAAGATGGCCTTGTGGGCTCTACTCCAACACAGTGCCTCTCCCATCTTGCTTTTCAAAGCCTCCTCGTGTATATTTTACCATTTAATGTTCCCAACACACCTGAGAGTAGAGTTCATTACTGTTGTCGGCCTGGTCACACTGGCTACCATACCATGTCTGCATGGGCACGCTGGTGCCCAGGACTTACGCACAGTGCCCATGATCCTGTCTTGGCCGTGCAGGGCAGGTGAACTCTGTTGAGAAAGGACTTCCAGCTACCCACAGAGATGAGGCCACTGCCCCTGGCGGGGCTTCTCCAGCTGTTTTTAAGTGGCAGTGAACTTCTTGAGTCCGTCAACCAAGTTTCGTACTTTGCTCAGCTGCCCTGAGAAGTCACTGATCATGTTTTCTCACATGCTGTGGCAGGGGTTCTGGCCATCCCCGAGTTTGTGTGATTCTAATCTGTCAATCATGGCCAAGAGGTTAGATGTATTCCCATTAACTCTAGAGGAGCAAATGAAAATCTGCAGCCTCAATGTCTTTGTTAGTATATAGGTTCAGGCTGGGCACAGTGGCTCACGACTGTAATCCCAGTGCTTTGGGAGGCTGAGGCTGGAGGATCACTTGAGGCCAGGAGTTTGAGACCAGCCTGGGCAACATAGTGAGACCCCCCTATCTACAAAAAAAAATTTTTTTTAATTAGCTGGGCGTGGTGGCACACACCTGTAGTCCCAGCTACTAGGGTGGCTGAGGCGGGAGGATCACTTGAACCCAGGAGATTGAGGCTACAGTGAGCTGTGATTGCTCCACTGCATTCCAGCCTGGGCAATAGAGCGAGACCCTGTCCCTCAAAAATAAATAAATAGATAGATAGATAGATAGATAGATAGATAGATAGATAGATAGATAGATAGATAGGATAGATAGATAGATACATAGATAGATACATAGATAGATTCAGATGCTAAAACAAAGACACCCCCCTACCACCACTGAATATACACATATACACACATCCAATAAACGATCTAGATATGTATTTCTTTCTCACAAAACAGTCTGTGTATATGTTCAGGGTTAATATGGCAGCTCCAGGCAATCAAGAGTCTTATTACTCCACATCTATCTTGTTGCCCTCATCCCTCGGTCCAGAACGGCTCACTACTAGTCCAGCCAATGAAAAGCAGTGCATTGCACTCCAGCCTGGGTGACAAGAGCGAAACTCCATTTAAAAAAAAAAAGGCGTTGCTTTCCCATCCCAGGTTGCATTCCTTCTGCTATCTCACAGTGGTCACACTGGCTACTGTGTACACAGCTCAGAAGCCACACACTTTCTACTTTGTCTTACATCCCACTGCCAGAACTGAGTCACGTGGCAATACCTGGCTGCAAGGGTGACTGGAAAATGAAGTCTATATAGACAGCTAAGTGTCTTGGCCAATACTCTGTTGCTATTTATTCTAACAGAAGACAGGTAAATGGGAATTTAAGGGATTAGCAGTCTCCTCCGCACCCCAACGCCAAACTACCCTTCTGTATGGACCCGTGCTGAACCTGGCCAACATTCTGCCTTTAGCCAGGAGCCTTGGACCACTGCAAAGTCCTCATCCTCCTGGCCCTGAGACCCAGAGCCAGGGCAGCTGCCTCGAGAGTATAAACCCCTGAGTCATCGGCCCAAGTGTGTTTGGTTCAGTGTGTTTGTGTATTGTTGCGTTTGGGTTGTTCTAGAGCACAAAACCAGGTGCAGATAACATTCACTGCATGCCTGCCACATGCCAAGAGCTTCACAGATGTTTCCTTTCATCCTCACCGCTGCCCTGGGTGACACACATTATGCCAGTTCTACAGATGAGGGCCTTGTGGCTCAGAGAATCCAATCATCTGTCCAATGCCAGCAGCTGTGAGCCTCAGAGCTGGATTGGGACCCATCTCTGTGTTATTCTGAAGACTTTGCTTTTTGCCCTTTCTGGAGAATTTCCATGACTTGAGGATCCAGCACCATCCCCTTTCATTCCTGTGTAGAAAAGATGCAAGAAAAGCTACGTCGAGAGAGTCCTGAGCCAACTATGAGCCACGCGTGAGCAGCTCCTTCCTGCCCAGGCTGTTCTCACAGGGAGGGTTGCAGCAGCATGCAGACGCCTGTGTTCAATCTTCTGCAGGAGAAAATAGACCCGACCTGGCACCCAGCTCAGGAATCTCATCTGTAGCACAAGATGTAATAAGCTCTCATTTCTCCATAGGATCACCAAAGATGAGGCAGAGACCCCCTCCTCGCCGGGACATGACCATTGTAAGTGGATCCTCGCTACTGGGGAGTGGCCACTGACTTGAGGGCTGTGAGGGGTGTCCACTAGCCCCTCACACACCCCTCGCCCTTCCAGAAATGCTCTCTTTCCTGTCCACACAACAGCCTTGTGAAGCAGGCTGTAGAAATGCTAGTCCCACTCGCAGGTGGAAAGACGGAGGTGCAGGCAGGTGAAACAGTTTGCCCGCGGGGCCAGAGTGCTCCTGTGACAGTTGGGCCTCAGGACCTGCCTTCTGCTCCCTGGGCCCTTCTCTTGGTCTTAGATCAGTCTTCTCAGGCGACTTGAGGCCCAAGCTGAGATGAGACACAAATATCATCTGTGGTCCCATTCTGATATTCTGCGCTCATAATCCATTATGTAAAATTCTCTAGGTACCTTTTTAGCCAATACTTTGAACCCAATGGGTTGTTGTTGGGTTTTGGGGTTTTTTTTATTTGTTTGCATTGGTTTTTGAGACGGGGTCTTGCTCTTTTGGGGTTGTATTTTTTTAATGTCTGCTATTTATCAAGCACCTGTTGCGTGCCATGCAGCGTGCCGATTGCCTCACAACATTAACTAATTTAATACTTGAAGCAACCCCACCAGGTAGACACTGTTATGCCCACTCTGCAGGAGAGAAAACTGAGGCTCCAGAAGGGGGTGATTTGCCCAAGGACACTCCCACCATCAGTGTTTCCAACCCAGATAGATCTACTAATAAACTTAAGCTCCCTCCACAACCCTCACTGCCTCTTATTTCAGAGAATATTGTCTTGCTCCAAATTCTCATGATTGTACCCAAATGTCCCGTGTTTCTTCCCATCACCCTAAAGCTGATGGGCCAGTGAGGTCTCACCGAGGAGTGACAAACTGCGTGGTCCTATTTGTGTTGTCCCTTAGAATCCAACTAGGTCCCCAGCACCCCCTTAAGGGTGATTGCATGCCCCAGGCCCTTAGACTCCCCCTGACACAGGGTCGCAGGAGTGCACTTAGCCTTGGAGATAACCCTGTGTGTGATCGTACCAGCCTCGAGGCCTCAACCTGCCGAAGCCGCCCATCCCGCCCCAAGTGGAGGAAGAGTATTACACCATCGCCGAATTCCAGACAACCATCCCAGACGGCATCAGCTTCCAGGCAGGCCTGAAGGTCGAGGTGAGTGGCCCTGGTGTTCCTTTGCCTACTTGTGATTCCTGATTCCAGGCATCACCTCCTACTTCTCCCCTGTCACCTCCTACTTCACTGGGTGGGTGGAGGTGGGGCGGAGATTAACAGCTTTATGGTTCACATACCATACAGTTTACAATTTTAAGTGTAAAATTCAGCGGCTTATGATATTCACAGGGTTGCACAACCCTCACCACTGTCTAATTCCAGAACAAAAAGAAACTCCTTACCCATCAACAGCCACCCTCCATTTCCCCTCAACTTGCCAGCCCCTAGGCAGCCACCAATCCACTTTCTGTCCCCATAGATGTGCCTGTTTTAGACATTTCATATAGATGAAATCCCACAGTATGTGGTCTTGTGTGACTGGCTGTATGCCTTTCTTTACCACCTCCCACCTCCGTTCTTGCTTCTCCTCTCTCCTTTTCTTCCCACTCTCTCTGTTTGTCTACTTTGTTCCCCAGATTCTCTTCCTGCATTTCTCTTTCCTTTCCTCATGGGGTTAGAGCTTCAAGATATTTCTTTCTCATATTTGCAAGAAAACCTGTAAGTAAGGGGATGGCAGCTAGGGCCAGGGTTTGGAAACCTTTGGCAAAGATGGTTCTTGAGACACTTTCAAAAGCAGGTGAGCCAATCACAGGTATCACCAAATTCACTCTGTCATGTGTAAGAGTTGGTCAGACCCTCCCCACCTCACCTTGGGAGGCCAAGGTTCAATTTATTCATCTCTGCAACAAATAAAATGCTCCTGGATCTCCTACTATGGTTGTGTGTGGCGGCTGCTTTTCTAGGCCCTGAAGAGTTGTCGTCACCATCCTCTTTCCTTTAAAGAACACAGCTCTGGTCCCTGGCACAGAGCACTGTCTGATGGCACAGGGCAGTAGACACCATTGATCAGTTCACTCCAGCATACCTCTTTAGGGCCCCTCCCTTCCTTCCTGGCTATATTCCAGGAAGGACTATAGCCTGCCTGCCTGCACGCCTTCATTCCTTCCTTCCCTCCTTCCTTCCCTTCTTCCTTCCCTCCTTCTTTCCTTCCCTCCCTCCTTCCTTCCTCCTTCCTCCTTCCTTTGTTTTCCTTCCCTTCTTCCTTTCCTCCCTCCTTTCCCTCCTTCTCTCTTTCCTCCCTCCTTCCTCCTTCTTTCTTTCTCTCCCTCCTTCCTTCCTTTCCTCCATCCTCCTTCCTGCCTTTCTTCCATCCTCCTCCTTCCTTTTCCCTTACTCCAGCTTGCCAGCAGCTCCACCAGGCACAACATCTGGCCCAGGCCTTGCTGTGTACTACAGTCGAGAGGCTAGTTCTGCATCCTCTGGCCCCTGCTTCCAGAGGCATTGAAGTATCTTCATGTTTCACTAGAAGGAAATCCTTTTGTGTTTTCACTTTGCTATTATCTGAGTGAAGGGCTAAAGGGATGAGATTTGGGAAAATTCTGAATTGTGTTTTAATCCATTATAGAAAAATCTGCCCCTTCATACTCTTTCATTGTATACACATGTATTGAGTGCCTCCTTTTTTTTTTTTTTTTTTTTTTTTTTTTGACAGAGCCTCGCTCCTCTGTTGCCCAGGCTGGAGTGCAATGGCTCAATCTCAGCTCACTGCAACCTCCGCCTCCCAGGTTCAAGTGATTCTCCTGCCTCAGCCTCTCTAGTAACTGGGATTACAGGCGCCCAACATGACGCCCGGCTGATTTTTGTATTTTTAGTAGAAACAGGGTTTTGCCATGTTGGCCAGGCTGGTCTCGAACTCCTGACCTCAGGTGATCTGCCCACCTCGGCCTCCCAAAGTTCTGGCATTACAGGCGTGAGCCACTGCACCTGGCTAGATGTTGTTTTCTTATGATAGATCCATATGCTCTGTTTTTCTCTTCTCCAGTTTTGCTTCCTGGCTCATTGCAACATTATCTTAGCCTTCAAAATTCATTAATGGAACCACAGCATTCTAGCAGTAGGGCTACC
This sequence comes from Homo sapiens, assembly GCF_000001405.40. Lineage (NCBI taxonomy): Eukaryota > Metazoa > Chordata > Mammalia > Primates > Hominidae > Homo > Homo sapiens. The sequence continues at coordinate 172,344,170 of NC_000005.10, read as the reverse complement.
AGTAACACCTTAGTTACTTGTCTAGGCTGTTTATCTTCAGGATGTGTTATGATAATGATGATGATGATGATGATGATGATATAGGCACCTCTTCTGTGTCAGGTACCTTACCTCCTTGATAACTGATCTTCACAGAAGTCCCAAGAGGTCAAAATACCAGCATCATAGGGTTGGTTGGTTAGTTTGTTTTTCTTTTTTTTTTTTCTATCAGCATGTTTTATAGATGAGACTCAGGGGGGTTAGGTAAATTATTTGCCTCTAGTAACACAGCTAGTAAGCAATGGAGTTGTGAAACCAGGTCTTTCTGGTTTTAAAGCCCACACTCTTTTCTTTCCCCTCATTCTTGTGATCTTTTTTTTTTTCTTTGAGACGGAATCTTGCTCTGTCACCCAGGCTAGAGTGTAATGGCATGATCTTGGCTCGCTGCAACCTCCACGTCCTAGGTTCAGACAATTCTCTTGCCTCAGCCTCCCAAGTAGCTGGGATTACAGGCGCCTGCCATCACACCTGGCTAATTTTTTTTTGTATTTTTAGTAGAGACGGGGTTTCACCGTGTTGGCCAGGCTAGTCTCGAACTCCTGACCTCAGGTGATCCGCCCGCCTAAGCCTCCCAAAGCGGTGGAATTGCAGGCGTGAGCCACCGCACCCGGCTTCTGATCTTGCATTTGCTTTTATTCCTAGTAGTTCTTGGCTTCCCTCTAGTAAATGAAAACGCCCATTCCTCATGGTTCAGAACACACATGTTCAGAGCTTCTACCACAATACTTTGCAAAGAGTGTAAGCTTGACAAATCTTACTGATACATCTAATATTGATTACCCTATTTTCAGTTCCTCACATACAGACTTAAGTATTAGTGTTGTTGAATTCATGGATGTGCTGACGATGACTCGTATGCCCAGTGTGGCCTGTAATTTTTACCAGAGCTATCAAGCGTTGATAAGATGCCAGTCATCCTCACATAAACAGCTTACATTTATCAGTGGCCTTTCCTGGAGATTCCAGTGGGACTCATTAAGTGCTGCCTGTCAAGTGCATCCCGCTGGCTCAGTGACCTCCACTCTAATTTAATCGCAGCAGCATTATTTACCAAGTGCTGTTGTATGCATTAGCTCTTGCGGCTGCAAAAATTCTACAAGTGGGTGTTAAATTGTTCTTACCATTTTCCTTCTGTGATGTGGAATCTGAGGCACGTGGCTTGCCCCAGGCCACTCAGGCAGTAAGTGGCAGAGCCAAGACTAGAACCCAGGACTGCAGGCCCAGGAGCCCAGCATTTGCGTCCTGGCGCTGAGTCTGTGGCTGCCATCCCTCTCCCAGAAGGGCCACAAAGTACCCGCAGCCATCTTTGCTCCTTCTGCAATTTCTTACCCCGGACACAGCCCTTCTCCAAGCAGGGTCTTTTTTTTTTTCGAGACAGAGTCTTGCTCTGTCGCCCAGGCTGGAGTGCAATGGCACGATCTCGGCTCACTGCAACCTCTGCCTCCCAGGTTCAAGCGTTTCTCCTGCCTCAGCCTCCCGCGTAGCTGGGATTACAGGCGCATGCCACCACACCCAGCTAATTTTTTGTATTTTTCGTAGACGCAGGGTTTCACCATGTTGGCCAGGCTGGTCTCAAACTCCTGACCCAGGTGATCCGCCCGCCTTGGCCTCCCAAAGTGCTGGGATTACAGGTGTGAGCCACCGCGCCCGGCCAGGGGTTTCTTTTCTGAGAGGCAAGATTAGGTGACTCTGAAGCCCACCCCGCTGCCTTTGACTCTCCTCCGATCGACGGCCCTTCTACAGGACCCGCTGTGTGTTCCTCAGCTCTCCTGAGGCTCCGTTCTGCATGCGTAAAATGAGGTGACAGTTCCCCACTCACAGGGTGTCATGAGCGTTCATCAGATCTTCCGAGTCCAGAGAGAGCCTACCAGGGAATTGCAGTGTACATCTGTGATGGCTGCCATAACAAAATACCAGACTGGGTGGCTTAAACAACTGCAGTTTATTGTCTCACAGTTTGGGAAGCCAGAAGTTCAAGATCAAGGTGTCAGCAGGTTTGGTTTCTCCTGTGTCCTCTCTCCCTGGCTTCCATATGGACACCTTCTTGCTGTTTCTCACGTGGTCATCCCTCAGTCCCTGTGTGTTTTCTAATCTCCTCTTCTTATTTGGACATCAGTCATATTGAACTAGGGCCCATGTATTAGGCCATTCCTGCATTGCTATAAAGAAATACCTGGCTGGGCACGGTGACTCATGCCTATAATCCCAGCACTTTGGGAGGCCGAGATGGGCAGATCACGAGGTCAGGAGATCAAGCCCATCCTGGCTAACACGGTGAAACCCCATCTCTACTAAAAATACAAAAAAAAAAAAATTAGCCGGGCACGGTGGCAGGCGCCTGTAGTCCCAGCTACTTGGGAGGCTGAGGCAGGAGAATGGCGTGAACCCAGGCGGCGGAGCCTGCAGTGAGCCGAGATAGTGCCACTGCACTCCAGCCTGGGCAACAGAGCGAGACTCTGTCTCAAAAAAATAAATAAATAAATACCTGAGACTGGGTAATTTATAAAGAAAAGAGGTTTACTTGACTCATAGTTGGGCATGCTGTACAGAAAGCATGGTGCCAGCATCTGCTTGCCTTCTGGGGAGGCTCAGGGAGCTTTTACTCAGGGCGGAAGGCAAAGCAGGAGTAGGCACATCACATAGCAAGAGCAGGAGCAAGAGAGAGTGGCAAGGAGACACCACACACTTTTAAACAACCAGATCCCATGGGAACTCATTACCAAGGGAAGGACACCAAGCCATTCATGAGGGATCTGCCCCCGTGACCCAAACACCTCCCACCAGGCCCCACCTCCATCATTGGGGATCACATTTCAACATGAGACTTGGGTGGGGACATACATCCAAACTCAGCCCACCTTAATGATCCATTTTAACCTTAACCACCTCTTTAAAGGCCCCATTTCCAAGTACAGTCACAGTTGGAGGTATTGGGGGTTAGGGCTTCAACATACGAATTTGGGTAGGGGGACACAATTCAGCCCATAATAGCGAGCACACCTTTCACCTGTGTGAATTCAGCCACGCAGTGCTGGACAAAAAAGAGACAGAGAACAAGATCTTAGACAACATGAGTGATTCCACCCACCATTCCAGCCAACAGGCGTGTATCCCACAGGGAAGTAGGGACACGATGAAAATCTACTCTACTCCACCAGCTCCAGGTCCCCTGTATATAAACACGAGCATCTCTTTGAGCTGACTGTGATTCCTGTGTTCAAAGATAGATATTTTTCAGGCCAGGCACAGTGGCTCACACCTGTAATCCCAGAACTTTGGGAGGCCGAGGCAGGCAGATCGCTAGAGACCAGGAGTTCGAGATCAGCCTGGCCAACATGGTAAAACCCCATCTCTACTAAAAATACAAAAATTAGCCAGGTGTGGTGGTACATGCCTGTAATCCCAGCTACTTGGGAGACTAAGGCATGAGAATCGCTTGAACCTGGGAGGCGGAGGTTGCAGTGAGCTGAGATCATGCCACTGCACTTCAGCCTGGGTGACAGAGCAAGACTCTGTCTCAAAAAAAAGGTAGGTCTCTTTCATGTGTTGTGGACTCTATAAATGCCAGCTAACTTCTTCATCCGATGCTCAGCCAAAGAAGCCAGGATCAAGGGTAGCTCTGACTTCTGCCTTGTCTTTAGAATTGTAGCAGACGCTGCCGGTGCCTCTGATCCACCTGAATTCACCTGCGCCTACACACAGGTCCCTGCAAGCCGACAGCTTCCCAGAAGGGGAGAGGAGTTAATACCCTGGGTAGGGAGGAGCTGAGAGTCAATAGATAAATGCACGCATCCCCAGAGGGACCCGTTCTGAGGCACTGTCTTTGTGGTCTCTCAGAGGGTCCCTGGCAGATCAAGCCCCATGGCCCCGAGCAATAACTTGCTCATAATTGGCCTCTCCCTTTCCCTTCTTTCTCTGTCTACTTCCTTACTTGTATTTCCTAGGACCAACTCTCAAATTAAGTACCTATACCCAAGGCCACATCTCATGGACTGCTTTAGGGGGAGTCCCATACGACAAGACTCTCCCCCCATGTAAGATATTCCCGGAACATGGTAACATCTCCATTGGTGGTCCCTGTAGACCTTGTCAGAGGAGCTGCTGAGTACACAGTGACAGCTTCTAGAGCTCCAGTTGCACATGGGTTCTGCCAAACCATTCCATCTGCTGGCCCTGGCATCGTAGCCAAGTGCCTTTCTCTATCCTCCCTTGCAGGTGATCGAGAAAAACTTGAGTGGCTGGTGGTACATTCAGATTGAAGATAAGGAAGGGTGGGCCCCGGCCACCTTCATTGACAAGTACAAGAAGACGAGCAACGCGTCGAGACCCAACTTTCTGGCTCCCCTGCCCCACGAGGTGACCCAGCTCCGGCTGGGGGAAGCAGCAGCGCTGGAGAACAACACGGGCAGCGAAGCCACGGGCCCCTCCCGGCCCCTGCCTGACGCACCGCATGGTGTCATGGACTCGGGGTTGCCATGGTCTAAAGACTGGAAGGGCAGTAAGGATGTCCTGAGGAAGGCATCTTCAGACATGTCTGCGTCAGCAGGCTACGAGGAGATCTCAGACCCCGACATGGAGGAGAAGCCCAGCCTCCCTCCGCGGAAAGAATCCATCATCAAGTCGGAGGGGGAGCTGCTGGAGCGGGAGCGGGAGCGGCAGAGGACGGAGCAGCTCCGGGGCCCCACTCCCAAGCCTCCGGGCGTGATTTTGCCGATGATGCCAGCCAAACACATCCCTCCAGCCCGGGACAGCAGGAGGCCAGAGCCCAAACCTGACAAAAGCAGACTGTTCCAGCTGAAAAATGACATGGGGCTGGAGTGTGGCCACAAGGTCTTGGCCAAGGAAGTGAAGAAGCCCAACCTCCGGCCCATCTCCAAATCCAAAACTGACCTGCCAGAGGAGAAGCCAGATGCCACTCCCCAGAATCCCTTCTTGAAGTCCAGACCTCAGGTTAGGCCAAAACCAGCTCCTTCCCCCAAAACGGAGCCACCTCAGGGCGAAGACCAAGTCGACATCTGCAACCTCAGGAGTAAGCTCAGGCCTGCCAAGTCCCAAGACAAGTCCTTGTTGGATGGGGAGGGCCCCCAGGCAGTAGGGGGCCAAGACGTGGCCTTCAGCCGAAGCTTCCTCCCAGGAGAGGGGCCTGGCCGCGCCCAGGACAGGACGGGCAAACAGGATGGTCTCAGCCCAAAAGAGATTTCCTGCAGAGCCCCTCCGAGGCCAGCCAAGACCACAGATCCTGTGTCTAAGAGCGTGCCTGTTCCTCTCCAAGAGGCTCCCCAGCAGAGACCTGTGGTCCCACCCCGCAGACCACCTCCCCCAAAGAAAACCTCTTCGTCATCCAGGCCGCTCCCAGAGGTCAGAGGTCCACAGTGTGAAGGCCACGAAAGCAGGGCAGCTCCCACCCCAGGCCGTGCTCTCCTCGTCCCTCCAAAAGCCAAACCTTTTCTCTCCAACTCTTTGGGGGGCCAGGATGACACGCGAGGCAAAGGCAGCCTGGGGCCATGGGGGACCGGCAAGATTGGAGAAAACAGGGAGAAAGCAGCTGCAGCCTCTGTCCCCAATGCCGACGGCCTGAAGGACTCTTTGTATGTGGCCGTGGCCGACTTTGAAGGAGACAAAGACACCAGCAGCTTCCAGGAAGGGACAGTGTTTGAAGTCCGGGAGAAGAACAGCAGTGGCTGGTGGTTCTGCCAGGTCCTGAGCGGAGCCCCTTCCTGGGAAGGGTGGATTCCTTCCAACTATCTCAGAAAGAAGCCGTAGCCGACTCCCTTTCTGCCTAGAGGGCCCGCTGGTCCTTGCTGGCTTTACCCACGTATTTAATACGCCTCTTAATTTATCATTCTCCACGCAGCTTCCAAGGCAGACAGACTCTGGGGTACTGTGACTTCTTGCCTCCCATGGGTGGAGAGTGAGTTTCGGACACCTCGGGCGCCCCTGGGCCTGATCCCTCCTATCACAGCATCACTGGAGGCTCAGAACCCACAGCCTTTGCTTTCTGTCCATGTCAGCATCCCTGCCTTAAGAGAACTCCTCCTGGCCAATGGCATTGCCACCCAGCAGTGGGACCAAGACTCTCCAAGACCTCCAGGACTGGATCCCATTGCCTGGAGAAACTCCAGCAAGGGTCTCTCATGGCTTGGACATGGCACAGTAAGGGGCAGCCAACCCAGTCCATGATGACTTTTGCTCCAACTTCTTCATGTTTCTAAAAGCCCAGTGGCTTTATTCACTCCTCCTAAATTGCCTGCTACCAGAAGGAACTTCATCCTGAAGAAATGCATTCCATTACCAGTTCCAGGGAAAGTGTCCCCTTCCCCAAAGCCTCAGGCCCGTGGGCCTCTGAGGTTCCACTGGATGCGGCTCCCCCAGGAGTGGGCCTGGAGATCCGCTCAGCCGCCCTGCCTCCCACCTTCTATCTTGGGACCGTGGTCAGCCCTGAAGGGTGGTTCCAGCCCCGCGTATGCTGCGCTTTGCTGCTGCAGGCTCCGGTCCCTCCAGGGCTTTTCAATGAGAGTTCCCACCCCAACTTGGAGCATTTCATTTTTGCCTACCTAAAGCAAGAATCTCAAAGTTTGTTTGAATAAGAGGCCCATTCACAAGTCGTGCCCTTGTGAGCACCCCTTTGCTGAGTGCCTCGTGGGTGCCAAACACTGTACTTGGCGCTTTGCATTCATGCTTTGACCCTCACAACCTCCCTTTATAGATGAGGAAATTCACGCTCCATGTGCCCAAGGACACACCAGCCAGGAGGAAGAGGGAAGAGGATTTGAGTCCAGGCCTGCCTGACTTCAGTGCCTGTGCCCTCCCCTCTGTAAAAGACAAACCAGGCAGGGAAGAGATAGAAGCTGGCTAAGTGGTGGCCAAGTGGCTTCATTGTGAGGGGGGTGAGGGGGCATTCGTGGCTGCTCCCACACCCACCATCCCTCCAGCCCACAGCAGCCTATACCAAAGGCTGCCCTGGACTCAACAGCTGCATCTCCATGACAGGAGAATGCCAGGGTCCTGGTGGTTGACACAGAGCCCTGTTCCCTCTTCTAAGCTGTTGCCCCCTGGGGAATAGAGCTTATGGAGCAACGGGAGCTGAGGTGGCCTCGAGGGCCAGCCTGGAGGGCTCTGAGCATAGCATGCAGCGGTCCCATAGGGAGGCAGGTAACCAAGGGCCAGGCAGAGCTGCTTCCTGTGCCTCTCCGGCATTTGTAATGTTTTTTTCTTTTTTCACGCACTGCCAAATCTGTTTTCTCCCTTGAAGAAACCCAGGGCAGATGTGGTCATCTGTCAAACTGAGGTCTGGAGAGGCATGACTAAATCACTGCAGAAGCAAAATCAGGACCCAGCATTTCTAGCTCCCAGCCCAGAGTAAGAGAGCAGAGCAGAACCCCTTCCCATTCTACCCGACCGAGGCAGCCCTGCCCTGCCCTGCCCCGCCCCTCCCCACCCTGCCCTGCCCCAGAGATCTCCAGTTCACAGTGTTCATCAGGCGAGATACTTTTGGACCCACAAAGCCAGTTTTTTGGGGGGATGCTCAGTGTCTACCTGCAGTGCCAAAGTTTTGCTTGAACAGCCCTCTTCTGCCGCGCCTCCCAGCTCCACCCCCTATCACGTGGGTGCTGGCTGCTTCTGCGTGAGGAGCTTCCTCTGATCACCTGTAGCATCTTTAGTGCCTTCGTCCAGTCGGCCTGCAAATCCCATTTCCCAGAGAGGCTTGGGCAGGGCCCACTTGCCACTTGGCCCTGTGCCCAGAGCGTTGGGGGCAGATGGCAGCCAGGGGAAGAAGGGAGGTGGGGAAGGGCCGCCACCGCTTGAGGGTCCCCTCCCTTGAGAGGAGGCCCCATGGCAGTTTTCCTGAGTTCTTGATCCACTTTGGTTTAAACAACTTTTGTGAAGCTATGTGAGATTTGACTGCATTTCAAAAGACAAAACACATGTTTTTTTCTGATTTGCTCTTTGCCTTTCAGCGACGCTTTCAGATACTTTGTGAGTGTCTACTCTGTGCTAGGTGCTGAGTAGACTGGGATGTGTGTGGCTCCATCCCTGGCTGGAAGAGCTTTGAGTCCTGTCTGCTGACTTCACTGAAGGAGTTTCTCTCTTGCTTCATTCCTTCCTCCCGGGGGTCAGCTGGGTAGGAGCAGACTTGCCCTGCCTTCCTCTAGGCAGAAAGTTTTCCTGCAAATGAAAGAATCTGCCATTCTCTTTTGCTATGATGATGATGATTATTCTGACATGACCCGCGGGTACTGAAGCCACAGTCCTCTCTGTTCACTGTTCTCTCCTTGAGTCATATCTATGGCCTGAGGACGTCTGTATCCAGCTCCTTTTCCTACAATGGTAGACACTTCCCCAGGCAGTGGGTGGGTCAGGGTGGCCAGTCACTCTCCTAGCTGTCCTTGCCTGGGGACTTAGATTTACCCCATCCAGGACTGTGGTCGCTATTCTGTGAGCGATTGATGGCGCATATGCAGAACTCCCCTGGAGTCATGGCTCTAGAAAGTGTCCAGGCCCATCGTGACAATGGTGCCAAGCACCGGGCTGGTGACCAGTGCCTAAACACACACGCTCCTTTAATCCTTACGGCAAGCCTGTGAGGCGGATAGGACCAGCCCTGATCTATAGTGAGAAAATTAAGGTTCAGAGGGAGAAGGTCCAAATAGTGGCCAAGCTGGGACTGAGATCTCGAGTTTGGGTTTGTTTGGTTTTGTTGTTGTTGTTCTTTCCCTCGTGTCCATGACTTTTCTCTGCCATTAGCAGGGAAGTGTGCGGAGGGCTTCCAGGGAATCAAGTGACCCTCCCTCTGAATTTCGGTGCCTCTTCCCCCCGCCCCTTGCTCACACATTTCAGTAGGTCACAGGCCAAATGGCAGCCCAAAAGGTGGGCAGAGATTTTTTTTTCTTCCCCTCACCCCTGCTTATTAACACAATTGTGACAACTACTTTACCTTACATCCCAGGGCAAACGGACAGCTTGCGGTACCTCCAAAAATTTGGAAAACCCTGAGTCTAAGACCACCTCTTGATAAAAGAGGCCTTTGCTCACATGTTCTGCTCGGAATCTTTCTTTGCCATTGGTGGGTGTATGTCGTCCCAGCTGAGACTGCGGGAGAGCTGAGCTCCAGCTTAAACCGCTTTTAATGGCCCTTCCCTACTGGGGGATCGCTGGAGCCCATGCCAGGTTACGGTAGTCATTTTAAACCTCTGCCACAAGGCCACGCCATAGAATCAATTTCCAAGTCAATGTTCTTGGCCCTAAAATGTTTGCGCCCACTGAGGATTTCATTACCAGGTGGAAGATGGGGGAACATATGCCACGTTAAAGAGCAAGTGCTGAGTGTGCCAGGACTTGAGAAGGACCTTAGGCTGAGGAGTGGACAGTCTGGTATTTATTTCGCCTCTCCCAAGTACCCAGCACAGAGTGGGAAAAAGAAGAAACTGCTCCTGCCTTCCAGTAGCTGGCAACTTGACATCAAGAACAAAAACATTCGTAGCTGGACCCCCGTCCTTTCATCGTGCCCAAGTCTTACATGTTGGCTTAAGCTGCCCCCTTGGAGGCCGTACCTTTCTCTTTGGACTGTGACAGTGGACACCTAACAGCCTGAGCCATGTGTGGCTGTCTTATCCCCCAAGGGTTGTCCAGGCCCGTTCTGCAGGGCTGTTGTGTAGACTGCAGACATCCATACCTCACCACAGACCAAAGATGACCTCGTGTCAGACTGTGGGCTGATGAGAGGTAGAGCAGCATGCATCGAGGCCTGAGGGTGCAGGGCGCCCTCTCTTGGCCTGGAGGAATTGCTCCTAACTAGAGTAAGTTTCCACGAGGGTCCCAGGCAGAGCTGCAGAGCTGGAACCGGAGGCTCCACAGTCCTTGCCTGCTCATGGACCTCCTTCAGAGCACCTTTCTACAGACTGGACTGCCCAGCTCCGTGGGGTGGCATCTGGTTTCTGGTGCTATTCTGCCAAGTTATCGAGCTCCTCCTCATGTTTCAACATTCCATCTTCCCGTTTCTATCCTCGACTCCAAAGTAAGCCTTCTTAGCTCCAATCAGGGATGAGGGGCTCAACCTCTTCTGTCCTCAAAGAGGCCAAACGCAGTGCCACAGTCGGTAGCCTTCACTTTTAGATGTCCTATTCATGTAAAAAAGAAGGTGCCCCCACCAGGCTTACATCAGCAATAAGCAATTCTAATGCAACGATGGTGTCCACATTTTACCCCAGTGTGTGCCCATGTATGCCTTTGTGCCCGTGTAATTATTGTTAGCGCCCCTTTCACTTAGAGGGGTGATGATAAACTGTGGCCACCTTGATTACAACCCACATTTCCTGCTTTGGGGAGCTTCCAAGTAACAGGCCATTTCTTACCTCCCTCCAGGAACAGTGGGCACTGCCCACCACCTCGTGTCTGCTCATAGGATGACGCTGGAGATCCCCACACTTACTCTACCCTCTTGGCAAATTGGCATTCCGGTGGTGGTTTTTGTTTCCTTTAACACATTAAATAAATGAGTATATAGGATGTGAGGGGAGGGGTGAGAACAACTAGCTGTAGCATGTGTAGGCTATATACTTTACCATTTGACTTCTTTCCTTTTTTTTTTTTTAAATAAAAAAAGTGCTTGACTGGTTTCAAGCTTCATCATGAAGATGCAGTGTCTATGGATTTTATTTGGCAGGAGAAAGGGTACATAGCTTTGTGGCCTGGGATCTTCGGGATCAAAGAACAGAAACCTATGCCAGCTATGTTTGGGAACTGTGGAGAAATAGGGGCGACCCCTCTCTGGGCCATAGTGCACCTTCATTCTCTTAACTACAATGTCCACAAACCAAGGGAAAGCTTCCTTTATGTCCAAAGGATGGTGAACCTCTTGCCGGCATTGCCTCCTGATGGTCAAGAGTGTGCTATGGAGGTCCAGGCCCAGTGGCTCACACCTGTAATCCCAGCACTTTGGGAGGCCGAGGCGGGCCGATCACCTGAGGTCAGGAGTTCGAGACCAGCCTGGCCAATATGGCGAAACCCCATCTCTACTAAAATACAAAAATTCGCCGGGCGTGGTGTCGGGCGCCTGTAACCCCAGCTACTTGGGAGGCTGAGGCAGGAGAATTGTTTGAACCCGGGAGGCGGAGGTTGCAGTGAGTCGACATCACGTCACTGCGCTCCAGCCTGGGTGACAGAGTGAGACTCGGTCTCAAAAAAAAAAAAAAAAACATTGTGCGGTGGGGGTTTGGGGTGGGAAATGCAGCCACATTTGGGCCGCAGAGACTGCCCAAGCCATCTGCTCCTGGGAGGTGGAGCACACTGCCTAACGTTTTACTACTTTCCCAAAGGCAGTGCCCAAGCAAAATCAACCCCAGTGTGGAGCCTCCTTGTTCCCAGGTGACTAACAGGACACCACCACCCCACCTTCCTAAGGAGAGAAGAAAACCAGCAGAGTCCCCGAACAAAAGAACTTGGAGGGAAGGGATATACATGCAATATTCATGCTTCTTTAGAGGAAACAATATAACAACCTTCTTGCAGACCTTGCTTAGGAATAATGGTCATTAATATATTAATCTGTGTCCCCATTAGAAGGAGAAAAACAGAAGGTGTGGTGGCTCACCCGTAATCCCAGCACTTTGGGAGGCCAAGGCAGGAGGATCTGTTGAACCCAAGAGTTTGAGACCAGGCTGGGCAACATAGCAAGACCTTTCCTCTACTCAAAGTTTAAAAAAAAAAAAAAAGTAGCCAGGTGTGGTGGTGCACACCTACAGGCCCAGCTACTTGGGAGGCTGAAGTGGGAGGATTGCTTGAGCCCAGGAGTTCAAGGCTGCAGTGAGCTGTGATCGCACCACTATGCTCCAGCCTGGATGACAGAGCAAGACTGTGTCGCAAAAAAAAAAAAAAAGGAAGGAAAAAGTCATGCGGTGTTCTGGGCCCCCATAGGAGCAGGTTCACCCAAGTTCTTGCAAACCAAGAGTGCTTAATCATAACAGGACTGGCAATGGTATGGGCTTTCCGGCTGGGGCTGGAGGGGCATCCGCCTCATGGGATGGGACGGCAATGGGACCATGATCAGGGACCAAACCTGGCTTTCTCTTTGCAGTCTACTTGCCCTCTCACTACATTTCTGTCCCGTGACCTTCCTTCAGGTCTCACCTGGAAGTGTCACACTCGCCATTCCCTATCATATTGTTTTTTGTTTTGTTTTGTTTTTTGAGACAGAGTTTCACTCTTGTCACCCAGGCTGGAGTGCAATGGCGCAATCTTGGCTCACTGCAACCTCCACCTCCCAGGCTCGAGCGATTCTTGTACCTCAGCCTCCTGAGTAGCTGGGATTACAGGTGTGTACTGCCAGCTAACTTTTGTATTTTTTATGGAGACAGGGTTTCACCATGTTGGCCAGGCTGGTCTCGAACTCCTGACCTCAGGTGATCCGCCCGCCTTGGCCTCCCAAAGTGCTGGGATTACAGGCATGAGCCACCGTGCCCAGCCCCGTCATACTGTTTTAACCACGCCAAACATGATCCAGCTGCCTCACCCTCTCATACCTGCAAACACTCCCTCATCTAAGGTGAGTTTCTGAGTCCAAGATTACCATCACGGGGGCACGCTTCTCCAAGTCCTTGGTCTTCAATGTCCATTCCTTCTCTCATTCAGTATTATTTGGGCCACATGAGATTCTTCAGCGTCTTGCAACTCACGCTTCCTAATCAATGGCTCTCAAATTTTAATGACCTTAATGATTCACCAGGGAGCTTGTCGAAAGACAGATTCCTCAGCTTCACTCCCTAAAAGTCAAACTCAGCAGGAATCAGCATCCTGAGAAATCCATTCTGAGGAAATAATCCGCATGCTCCACCCTGAGAAATGGCCGGGCTTTGCACCTTACCTGGTATAGTCTACATGTTCAAAAATTATATTCTGTGCTATTATTATTATTACCATTTATTTTTATTTTTATTTTTTTGGACAAGAGTCTCGCTCTGTCGCCCAAGCTGGAGTGCAGCGATGCAGTCATGGCTCACTGCAGCCTCTGCCTCCCGGGTTCAAGCGATTCTCCTGCCTCAGCCTCCTGAGTAGCTGGGATTACAGGCGTGGGCCACCATGCCAAGCTAATTTTTGTATTTTTAGTAGAGACAGGGTTTCACCATGTTGGCCAGGCTGGTCATGAACTCTGGTCCTCAAGTGATCCACCCACCTTGGCCTCCCAAAGTGCTGGGATTGCAGGCGTGAGCCACCGCGCCCAGCCAGGATCTAACTTTTACTGAGTACATGCTAATAGTTGAGAAGTTTATAGATGTTATCTCTTTTAATCTTCACTACAGTTCTTACAGATAGGAAATATTACATCCATTTTATGGGTGAGGAAATTAACAGTCTGAGAGATTAATTTACCCATGGCCACAGCTAGTAAGAGGATGAACTTGGGCATCTGAGCCCCTTACCATAAGTTCCCGAATCTATAATCTTCCCACTTAGCATTTCCCAAAATGTTTTTCAGAACAAATGTCGATAGGAATTTGGAAATAAGTGTTCTGAAGGTACATTAGTTTGAGAACTGCTGTTTAAAGTCTATTGCAGGACTTCTTATGTAAGCATAATCAGCCTCTTACATACTAGTGTGCAATGTGAATGTCTGAGAGGGGGTTTACTTACACTGGGTTTCTCAAATGTATTTGACTGTGATACCATTCACAGAGCATCTATCAGGGGCAACGTTTCATGTAATAAACTCTGGAAAATGTCCAATTTTAAATTTCAGCTCTGCCTTGCATTCTACCTGAACCATAATGCCTGTCTAACCTTAGCCACATCCTTCACCCAAATTCTGTTTGTAACTCACTGCAACAGAGAGCTGCTCACTGACTTCAAGCTTTCCTACTTGCTATTGCTCTACCTTGGAGTTGTCTGTAAGGATTTTCCCATACAAATTGAGCATCCCAAAATATAAAGACCCAAAATTGAAATACTCCAAAATCTGAAGCAATGGCATGACATTCAAAGGAAATCCTCAATGAAGCACTCAGATTACAGATTTTTTGATTAGGAGAGCTCAACCGGTGTGTATTCTGCAAGTATTCCAAAATATGAAAAAAAATTGATACCCACAACACTTCTGGTCCTAAGCATTTTGGATAAGGGAAACACAACCCGCAGTGAGATTGCCACATATAGGAAACTTCAGAAAACAGCCACCAGGCAGGGAATTTTTCTATCTCCTAAACACGTTTTCCTTTAGAGACTTGTAAATTAATGGCAGTGTACAGAACATACATATTTTATTAATAAGGCCCAGGTTCATCCCCTCTTAAGATCCAGGAGGCTGGCCGGGCACAGTGGCTTACGCCTGTAATCCCAGCACTTTGGGAGGCCGAGGCGGGCGGATCACGAGGTCAGGAGATCCAGACCATCCTGGCTAACACAGTGAAACCCTGTCTCTACTAAAAATACAAAAAATTAGCCGGGCGTGGTGGCGGGTGCCTGTAGTCCCATCTACTTGAGAGGCTGAGGCAGGAGAATTGCTTGAACCCGGAAGGCGGAGCTTGCAGTGAGCCGAGATCGCGCCACTGCACTCCAGCCTGGGTGACAGAGCAAGACTCCATCTCAAAAAAAAAAAAAAAGAATAACAAAGATCCAGGAGGCCCAGATCCTACAATAAACTATGTCCTCATTCCCTTCCAGCTGCGTGAAACTTGGCCTCCAATACTTCTACAGTATAGTACAGAATAGTGAACTTCAGTTTTCATTGCATACCCCTCAATAAAAATGTTAATATGTGACCAGGTGCAGTGGCTCATGCCTGTAATCCCAGTACTTTGGGAGGCTGAGGTGATCGGATCACTTGAGGTGAGAAGTTCGTGACTAGCCTGACCAACATGGTGAAACCTCATCTCTACTAAAAATACAAAAAAACTTAGCTGGGCATGGTGGCACGTGCCTGTAGTCCCAGCTACTCAGGAGGCTGAGTCAGGAGAATCATTTGAACCGGGAAGGTGGAGGTTGCAGTGAGCTGAGATAGCACCACTGCACTCCAGCCTGGACAACAGAGCAAGACTCCATCTCAAAAAAAAAAAAAAATATATATATATATATATATATATACACACACACACACATACATATATATACGTATATGTATATATGTATATATATGTGTGTATCTATACATGTTAACATGTACAAAATACATGGATTAATAAATAAATGTCATGTACAATATTGTTACGTGGGAAACTCTTACATACACCCATGCTTGGTTTGTTCCCTTCCATGTGAATGGAGCTGCAATCACAGTAAGGCTCCAGCTCTCTCTCTCCCTGGGAAAGAGTGACTGATATTTAGGGGAGCAGGAAGCAGGTATGCACAGCTCAGCCTCTCTCCTACTAGGGATCAGATGGCCCAGGGACGCATATTCCACTGGGCCCCTAGCTGTGGGAGGAGGCCTGTGCCTGGGTCAGTGAGCGTGTCTTAATTCTTGGATTCAAGCTTGAGACACCATGACTGCCAGGCACCACACCTAAGCCAGATTCTCCCACGGCCCTCTCAAGAATAAAGCTAACATTTTGTTCTCTATCTCTCAGATCCCACTCTCTCAGTTAATTCTGAACTCAGGGGAGGAGAACAGGGAGCTATTTATTAGGATTCTTAAAAACTGTCTACTGAGGATGGAAGTGGTGGCTAACACCTGTAATCCCAACACTTCGGGAGGCCAAGGCAGGAGGATCATTTGAGGCCAGTAGTTTAAAATCAGCCTAGGCGGCTGGGTGCGGTGGCTCACACCTGTAATCCCAGCACTTTGGGAGGCCGAGGCAGACGGATCATGAGGTCAGGAGTTCGAGACCAGCCTGGCCAATATAGTGAAACCCCGTCTCTACTAAAAATGCAAAAATTAGCCAGGCATGGTGGCACACGCCTGTAGTCCCAGCTACTCGGGAGGCTGAGGTGAGGCAGAGGTTGCAGTGAGCTGAGACCACGCCATTGTACTCCAGCCTGAGTGACAGAGTGAGAGAGTGAGACTCCATCTCAAAAAAAAAAAAAAAAAATCAGCCTACTAGGCAACGTAGCGAGATCCCATGTCTATAAAAATTACAAAAATTAGCCAGTTACAGCTGGGCGTGGTGGCTCACGCCTATAATCCCAGCACTTTGGGAAACCGAAGTGGGTGGATCACTTGAAGTCAGGAGTTCGAGACCAGCCTGGCCAACATGGTGAAACCCCATCTTTACTAAAAGTACAAAAAGTAGCTGGGCATGGTGCCACATGCTTGTAATCCCAGCTACTCGGGCGGCTGAGGCAGCAGAATTGCTTGAACCTGGGAGGCAGAGGTTGCACTGAGCCAAGATTATGCCACTGCACTCCAGCCTGGGTGACAGAGTAAGACTCCATCTCAAAAAAAAAAAAAAAAAAAACCCAGTTGCAGTGGTATGCACCCGTAGTTCCAGATACTCAGGAAGCTGAGACAGGAGGGTCCCTTGAGCCCAGGAGATTGACACTACAGTGAGTTATAATCATACCACTGTACTCCAGTCTGGTTGACAGTGAGACCCTGCCTCTAAAATAAATAAACTGTCTATTGGCTACTGGTTAGGCCAATTTTAGTTGATTTGTTATGTATTGTAATAAAATACATATGCAAAATTGAGCGTGCCTGAAGGATATGCTAAAAAATACACAATGAAAAGAGCAATGGTTCAGTGTGCCCCAGTGGCTTGTCTTATATACCCGCTGGGATTCATGGAATCCACTTTGTAGACCACTGACAAAGGAACAATTCTGGGCTTTAGGGTTAGACCTGGGTTTGAGTTCTGGCTCTGACATGCATTTTACCTTTCGAAAACGATGTCCTCATTTATAAAATAGGGACAATAGTGCCTTTCTCACAGAATCGTTGTGAAGATTAATGGAAATAATGTATACCTAGCACATAGTAGGCCCTTCTAATAGCGCATAATAATTTTTATTGTTTCTATGAAGAGTAGAATCTTCAGATTAACAATCTTCAGGCCAGGCGCGGTGGTTCATGCCTGTAATCCCAACACTTTGGGAGGCCGTGGCGGGCGGATCACCTGAGGTCAGGAGTTCGAGACCAGCGTGGCCAACATGGTGAAACCTTGTCTCTACTAAAAATACAAAAATCAGCCAGGCTTGGTGGTGGCGCATGCCTGTAATCCCAGCTACTCAGGAGGCTGAGGCAGGAGAATCGCTTGAACCCAGGACGCAGAGGTTGCAGTGAGCCAAGATCGTGCCACTTCACACCAGCTTGGGCGACAGAGTGAGACTCTGTCGCAAAAAAAAAAAAAAAAATCTTGAGACATTTTCATTGCCTAGTACAGGAGTTGGCAAACTTTTTCTTAAAGGGTCAGATAGTAAATATTTGGGGCTTTGCAAACCAAGGGGCAAAACCAGAATGTTACACAAGTATTTACGTAACTATTCAAAATACAACTGTCTGAAAATGTACAAACCATGTGAAAAGAAACATGCGGCTGGATGGGTTAAGCCCAAGGACTACAGAGCTTGACAACCCCTGCCTAGTATATATTTATCTTCTATTTTATTATTTTTCTCAAAATGGACATCTTTCCAAAGTATGTTTATGGAACACCCTCCCTCAACATGATCATGAAAAGCTGTTCTGTGGCTGAATCCACTTGACAAACACTTGTCTGAATATCCTCCAAATCTCCCTCCTTGGAGGGCCACACACCAGCACATTAAAGACTCCGAAGCCTTCAATTAACAAGCTGTTTAACCTAGTTCAATCCAGTTATTTCCAAAATATCTTTGACAACAGAATCCTCTTTTACATGTAACGTTTATGAACATCCCACAGAACACACTTTGGCATGTATGCTGCTGTAGATCCTACATTTTAAGCATTATTCAGAACTTCACTATATTAAATTTAGTTTATTCCTTACAGTGAATAAATATGAGGAATCTGGGTTGGGTGGTGCATGTTAGTTACTATCCTCAGCGGAGTAACCAGGCCGCTATGGTTCAAATGTGTCCCCTCCTAAATTCAGATGTTGCCAATGTGACATTGGCCTTTAAGTATTAAGAGGCAGGGCCGCCAGCCAGGCGCGGTGGCTCACGCCTGTAATCCCAACACTTCGGGAGGCTGAGGCAGGCGGATCACCTGAGGTCGGGAGCTCGAGACCAGCCTGACCAACATGGAGAAACCCTGTCTCTACTAAAAATACAAAATTAGCCAGGTCTGGCGGCATATGCCTGTAATCCCAGCTACTAGGGAGGCTGAGGCAGGAGAATCGCTTGAAACCGGGAGGCGGAGGTTGCGGTGAGCGGAGATCGTGTCATTGCACTTGCACTCCAGCCTGGGCAACAACAGCGAAACGCTGTCTCAAAAAACAAAACAAAACAAAACAAAACAAAACAAAAAACCAGGCAGGGCCTTTAAGCAGTGACTAGGCCAGGAGGGCCCCTCCCTCATGAATGGAATTAGTTGCCCTCGTAAAGGGGCTTGACAGAGGAAGTGTGTTTCAGCTGCTCTTCTGCCCTGCCAGGACACAGCGATCATCCCCCATTTGCCCTTCCGCCTTTCACCACGTGAGGACCCAGCGAGAAGGCCATCACCACATGCCAAGGCCTTGATCATGGTCTTCCTAGACCCTAGAACTGTGAGAAATAAATCCCTGTTCTTTATAAATTACTCAGTCTGCGGTATGCTGTTATAGACAAACAGACAAAGTCCCAGGCCACGTTAGTCTTTCGTTTGGAAAGGACTGAAGATTTGCTGATTTTTCTCCCTGCATTCATCTAGGATCATAAGAATGTTCACTTGGAGAGCCCTGTGGAAGTCCCTCTTAGAAGAATCAAGATGCGGACAGCACTTGGGAAGCACGTGGCAGCTTCCATGGAGATGTGAGAACCACGTCATGTCCTTGCTGCTGTGAACATGAATTTGCTAAACTGCTTTTACTGTATTTTTTTTTGTCGTGGTAAAATATGCGTAATACAAAACTTACCATTTCAGTCATTTTTAGTATATACTTCAGTAGTGTTACGCACACATTGTTGGACAACCACCACCACCATCCATCTTCAGACTTTTTTCATCTTCCCAAAATGAAACTGTGTGCCCATTAAACACTAACCCCACAATTCTCCTCTCCTCTCCCCCCAGCTCCCTGGCAATCGTCATTTTACTTTTTTTTTTTTTTTTGAGATGGAGTTTCGCTCTTGTTGCTCAGGCTGGAGTGCAGTGGTACGATCTCGGCTCACTGCAACCTCCACCTCCCAGGTTCAAGCGATTCTCCTGTCTCAGCCTCCCAAGTTGCTGGGATTACAGGCATGAGCCCCCACACCCGAGTAATTTTGTATTTTTAGTAGAGATGAGGTTTCACCATGTTGACCAGGGTGGTCTCGAACTCCTGACTTCAGATGATTCACCCGCCTCGGCTTCCCAAAATGCTGGGATTACAGGCGTGATCCACCGCGCCCAGCCCATTTTACTTTCTGGCTCTATAAGTTTGACTACTCTAGGTACCTCATATAAGTGTATGTCCTTTTGTGCCTGGCTTATTTCCCTTAGCATAATGTCCTCAAGGTCCATCCATTTTGTAGCATGAGTCAGAATTTCCTTCCTTTTTAAGGCTCAGTAATATTCCATTGTCTCTTTAGACCACTGTGTTAAGCCATTCTTGCCTTGCTATAAAGGAATATGTGAAACTAGGTAATTTATAAAGAAAAGAGGTTTAATTGGCTCACAGTTCTGCAGGCTGTACAGGAAACATGGTGCCAGGCATCTGCTCAGCTTCTGGGGAGGCCTCAGGAAGCTTGCAATCATGGCAGAAGGCAAAGGGGGAGGCGGTGTCTCACATAGCAAAAGCAGGAGCAAGAGAGAGAGTGGGTGGGAGGTGCCACACAGTTTTAAGCAACTAGATCTCATGAGAACTCATTCACTCAACGACAGCACCAAGACATGAGGGATCCTTCCCTTTCTTGCACGTGTCTCTCTTGTCGTTCTGCTTCTGCCACAGGATGATACAGCAAGAAGGCCCTCGCCAGATTCAAGCCCCTTGACCTTGGACTTCCGACCCTCCACGACTGTGAGAAATAAATCCCTATTCTTTATCAATTACCCAGCCTGTGGTATTCTGTTATAGCAACACAAAATGGACTAAGACAACAGTTTTTCAAATTTGAGTTTGTACCCACCCATCTTAAAGATAACAAAATTCTTATAGATTCCCAGTGTTTAGACTTAAATGATTTTAAATTAATGTATATTATATACATAAGCCAGACAGACATAAACATGTTGCCTTGTAGCTACTATGCAAGTAAAAAATGAATACTGGGCCAGGCGCAGTGGCTCACACCTGTAGTCCCAGCACTTTGGGAGGCCGAGGTGGGCAGATCGCCTGAGGTCAGGAGTTCGAAACCAGCCTGGCCAAAATGGTGAAACCCCTTCTCTACTAAAACTACAAAAATTAGCCAGGTGTGGTGGCGCATGCCTGTATCCCCAGCTACTTTGGAAGCTGAGGCAGGAGAATCCCTTAAACCTGGAAGGCGGAGGTTGCAGTGAGCCGAGATGATGCCACTGCACGCCAGCCTGAGAGACAGAGCAAGACTCTGTCTCAAAAAAAAAAAAAAAAAAAAAAAAAAAGAATACTTTCACAGGTTAAACACAAAGCTGACAGAGTTTACCTTAACATTAACAGGAGACCTGATGGCGCTTTTTATTTTTAATTCATACACACACACACACACACACACACACACACACACATATACACACACATACATATACTGATTTTTTTCAGCTTTGCTGAAATTATATCTCCACTCACACGGACAGGATGGAGGCAACCGCATTGGAGTAGATTTTTTGGAATCAATCTGCCTATATATTCTGAGTATTGTGATGACTCATTTTTCTCTAATGGAAATACTGGGAAAACCTTTGTTAAAGCAGCATATCGTGGTGCATTCAACACTCATTTGGCACAAATATATCACTAACATATGACGTCGGACCTGATTCTTTTCTCCTTAGCTAATGAAATTTGAAGTCATAGCCTGAGACCCTAATTCACTTGCCAGCAGAAATCAGTTGTTGGGGCCAACGTTCAGATTCTCCAGAATATACCTATCCATCTTTTACTTATTTTGTTTTTATAAATGTATGAGGTACAAGTGTAATTTTATTACATGGATAAGTTGCATAGTGTTGAATTCAGGGCTTTTACCAATCTGTCTTTTTTAAAATGTCATTGAAATGGAAACTCAGAATTTAAACATTCTCATAGAGAAGGGTTTTTTCCATTTTTTTAAAAATTTATTCTCATAGGGAGGTTTTATATCCAACTTAAGAAACACTATGGGGCAGGCGTGGTGGTGCATGCCTGTAATCAATGGGCACTGAGGCGGGAGGATCGCTTGGGCCCGGGAGTGCCAGGCTGCAGTGAGCTATGATCATGTCACTGCACTTCAGCCTGGGTGACAGAGCGAAGTTCCTTCTCTAAAAAACAGAGAAGGAGAGGGAGAGAGGAAGAAAGGAAGGGTGGGAGGGAGGGAAAGAAGAGAGAAGAAAGAAGAGAGAAAGGAAGGAAGGAAGGAAGAGAGAGAGAGAGAAAGAAAGAAAGAAAAAGAAAGAAAGAGAAAGAAAAAGAAAGAAAGAAAGAAAAAGAAGAAGGAAGGAAGAGAAAGAGAGAAAGAGAAAGAAAGAAGAAGGAAGAGGAGGGGAAGGAAGGAAGGAAGGAAGGAAAGGAAGGAGGAAAAGGAGGGAGGGAGGAAGGAAGGAAGGAGAGAGATAGGGAGGAAGGCAGGGAAATAAAAGAGAGAGAAACTCTGTCATCCTGTTTAATCCTAAACTTTCCTTTAACTCTGCCAGACTCTGGGATGAATAGGCAGGTGCTCTCTGGTTGAAAAATCTCTTTGCCACCAGCCTCCCCACTTCCTGTAGGAGCCTGTCCATGCATGGAGTGTGTCCAGAGCTTTGTGTGTATTCCGGAAGTCATTCAGAAACTGCTGCGATCACCCAGGGACTCACTTTCACACCGGGCTGGCCCCAGGAGCACACAGCAGCAGTGTGTTAAGAGATACCTAAAGCTGCTCGTGGAAAACTTCATTTTTACCCAAAAATTGGCAATAGGAAAAAAAAATGGGGAATAGAGATTTAAGCAATTTAGCCAGTAAGTTATTTTCAATATTTTCATATTAAAACAAACAAGAGTATATTATGCAGTAGAATTCAAACCTCACCTGAAGTTTTAAGATAAAACTTCAGACTTGAAAGAAATGTTGACTGCAGCCAGCTGCATCAGGCCAGGCCCCAGGGCCCAGGCCCCTGAGGGAACCTGAGTAAGTCAAGTTTGAGAAATCAAGTGATTAAGTCCTGCCACTGGCAAATAGGGTAAACACAATTAGGAGACTTTCTCTTTCCAGGTGTACTCTACTCTGTAAGCTTATTATCAGTCTAAACCAGATGCCCTGTGGGGAATCAGCTGTAGAGATTCTCAGGAAGAGAGAAACTCTCAAATCCACTCTTTGCTAGTGCTGTAAGTAAAGGAAGAAAGGGTTTATTTGTCACTACATATTACTTATGAGTAGGAACTGAACAATGAGAACACCTGGATGGACACAGGGAAGGGAACAACACACCCTGGGGCCTGTAGTGGGGTGAGGGGAGAGAGAGCATCAGGATAAATAGCTAATGCATGTGGGGCTTAATACCTAAGTGATGGGTTGACAGGTGCAGCAAACCACCATGACACATGTTAACCTATGTAACAAACCTGCACGTCCTGCACGGGTATTCCGGAACTTAAAATAAAAGGGTTTGGGCCGGGCGCAGTGGCTCACGCCTGTAATCCCAGCACTTTAGGAGGCCGAGGCGGGCGGATCACGAGGTCAGGAGATCGAGACCACCCTGGCTAACACGGTGAAACCCCGTCTCTACTAAAAATACAGAAACAAAATTAGTCAGGCGTGGTGGCGGGCACCTGTCGTCCCAGCTACTCGGGAAGCTGAGGCAGGAGAATGACGTGAACCCAAGGCGGAGCTTGCAGTGAGCTGAGATCACGCCACTGCACTCCAGCCTGGGTGACAGAGCAAGACTCCGTCTCAAAAAATAAATAAATAAAATAAAAACATTTGTTTGTAAAAGCAAATACTGGCTTGAGCCTAAGAGTTTGACACTGTGCAACATGGTGAAACCCCATCTCTACAAAAGATACAAAAATTAGCTGGGCCTGGTGGTGCATACTTGTAGTCCCAGCTACTTGGGAAGCTGGGGAGGATCATTTGAGCCCAGGAGGCAGAAGTTGGAGTGAGCTGAGATCGTGCCACTGCACTCCAGCGTGGGCAACAGAGGGACATTCTGTCTCAAAATAAATAGGCCAGGCACAGTGGCTCACACCTGTAATCCCAGCACTTAGGGAGGGTGAGGCGGGTGGATCACTTGAGGCCAGGAGTTCCAGGCTGCAGTGAGCTATGGAGTTTGAGACCAGCCTGGCCAACATGGTGAAATCCCATCTCTACTAAAAATACAAAATTAGCCAGGTATGGTGGCACGCACCTGTAATCCCAGCTACTCGGGAGGCTGAGGCAGGAGAATCACTTGAACCTGGGAGGCGGAGGTTGCAGTGATCCGAGATCACACCATTGCACTCCAGCCTGGGCAAAAACAGTGAAATTCCATCTCAAACAAACAAACAAACAGAATGAGGAAACTGAGTCTAGAGCCTGTCTGGACAACCCTGAAACCTCCATCTTCATGAAGAAGAACACAAGAACAACTAACCTATTTCTGGAACCCACTCTGGGCCAGGCTTGTTTCTGGCAAGTTGAAGAAATGAATAAGAGAAGTCCACAGTCTAGCCAGGAAGACGCCTACTAATAGCCACAGGGGACTCTGGGGAGAGTTATGAGAACATTGGCACGAAATGTCCAAGGGGTACAGAGCAAAAAGGAAAATCTGGCTGGGTGTGAAGGTTGTGAAAAGCTGCCTGAAAGGCCAAAACTATGGGACCCAGCAGATGAGGACACTGTTTCCCAAACGGAAGCTGGTTGAGCAGCACCATCGCAAATATTGCTGTATCCACAGCCCAACTTTACCAGCATTTACTTAATATTTCCTGCTAAATAGATTAACTCAAAAGGTAAATATGTTTCTTTAAAAGCAAGCTTTATATCTGTGAAAATAATTGGAAAACTTTTATAGGGTTCCATAATTAGAAGGTAACTGTAAAAGTAAGTAAAATGAAAGTGAAATGGTATCATTGAGTTCCAGCTAAGTATAGCTGCCTATTTAAAAAGTTCTGACTCTGAGGCCTGTTCTCTCTAGAGAGATGAGCATGTTTTAAGGAGATGTTAAAGACAAGCTAACACTAGACTCAGACTTTATACTTTTTTGTTTTAATAAAACAAAATAATGGCAAGACTACTGTAAATGGTAATAACTTGCACATTGTAACCCAGTGTCATTTCACCTTTCCCACACTTTAAAATCACCCAAATCACCTTTCCCACACTTTAAAATCACCCAAATCACCTTTCCCACACTTTAAAATCACTGGATTAATTTTAATACTTTTGTTAGGTCTAGAGGACACAGGACTATTTAACCAGAACACAGACATGATGGGAAATGTGAATAAGTGGACATGGTACTTAGAAGCTGGCAGCCAGGGAGAATTAAGTACATTTTCATAATTGTGAAGTGAAATCTAAACAGAACCACCCCATTTGATCACCCTTTTCTGGATTTAATAATGCTCAATGAAGTCTATGGCAGAAATAATTTTTTATTTCAACTGAAATTCTTTTATCTTCTTTTCATAACACTACTGAATTACAGTAAGATGTTTTTGAACATTTTGTGTGGAAGGGAAACAAAAGGGAGAATTCCACATAGAGACTGTTGCTATAGGCCGGGCACGGTGGCTCATGCCTGTAATCCCAGCACTTTGGGAGACCAGGGTGGGCGGATCACGAGCTCAGGAGTTCAAGACCAGCCTGGCCAACATGGCGAAACCCCGTCTCTACTAAAAAAAATACAAAACTTAGCCAGGCGTGGTGGTGGACGCCTGTAATCCCAGCTACTTGAGAGGCTGAGGTAGGAGAATCGCTTGAACCCAGGAGGCTGAGGCTGCAGTGAGCCGAGATCGTGCCACTGCACTCTAGCCTGGGCAACAGAGCTAGACTCTGTCTCAAAAAAAAAAATTTGTTTTAATTTAAAAATTTTTTAAAAAGAGACTGTTGCTGTAAAACTTACCACACTGCCCTGTAATCCTGTGTTTATGTGTCTGTCTACCCCACCAGACTGGAACCCTCCAGGCAGGTATCTCATGTTACTTTTCTGTCTCCGGAGTACCTGATAGAAGACTTAACACATTATAATACTTGGTGTTTGCTGCATGAATGAGTCCACCCAGTAGGGTAGTAGGAGGGGAAGAAAATTATCAAATACCCTAGTACATTTCTTTTTTTTTTTTTATAGCTGGAATTTTGCTCTTATCTCCTAGGCTGGAGTGCAGTGGCAAGATCTCGACTCACTGCAACCTCCGCCTCCTGGGTTCAAGCAATTCTCCTGCCTCAGCCTCTCTAACAGCTGGGAATACAGGCACCCGCCACCATGCCCAGCTAATTTTTGTATTTTTAGTAGAGACAGGGTTTCACCACGTTGGCCAAGCTGGTCTCGAACTCCTGACCTTAGGTGATCTGCCCGCCTCGGCCTCACAAAGTGCTGGGATTACAGTTGTGAGCCACCACGCCCAGTCCCTAGTACACTTCTGATTTATGTTTTCTAAATGTGAGACAATGTAATATGGTAACCAATTTGAGTTTCGGCAGATCTAAATTTTTGCCCTTAACGTGAAGACATAGTAGCACCTGCCTCATGGGGTAGTATAAGGATTACATGAGTTAATAGATGTAAAGTAGCTAGAAAGTGCTAGCACTGAAGTAAACTTCAGTTGATAGTAGCCTATCATTATCACTGTTATTGACATAATTTTAATAAAATTCGTTTGTATATAATTAGCTTTTGCTTACATATATTAATTACATGTCTGCATACATATACACAGACACACACATGAATTATCAAATACTTATATATGGTGGACATTTGTGATTTTAGCCACCCGTAATCTATTTTCCTTTCTTCAGGTAGTATTGCCCTCATTTTCCTTTGAGGAACCTCTTTTCCCTCTACTCTCAATCCATGTGATTTAGATGGGGCTAGCCTCACTCCTTGGTCCAAGAATGGGCATGTGAACCAGACCTCGCCAACCAGTACAGCCCAGTCTCCTGGCTACAACACGTGGCTCAGTCATGGACAGATGACCCAAGCCAAACCAATGAGACTTGATCCTTAGACCTTTGCTGGAGATTCTGAGGAAGAGGAGCTCTTTTTTTTTTTTGAGACGGAGTTTCACTCTTATTGCCCAGGCTGGAGTGCAATGCACGATCTCTGCTCACTGCAACCTCTGCCTCCTGGGTTCACCCGATTCTTCTGCCTCAGCCTCCCAAGTAGCTGGGATTACAGGCGCGAGACATCACGACCGGTTAATTTTTTGTATTTTTAGTAGAGACGGGGTTTCACCATGTTGGCCAGACTGGTCTCGAACTCCTGACCTCAGGTGATCCACCACCTCTCTCCCACTCCGCCTCCCAAAGTGCTGGGATTACAGCTGTGAGCCACCGCGCCCAACCTTGGGGAGCTCTTTTCTACTGTACTTGCCAAGCTGGCTGAATTTAGCCTACAGATGCTAGTAACCATATTGGTCATCTCAAGCGCAGAGCTTGCAGGAGAACAAAGCCTAATACAAAGGAAAGCAGAACAAAAATAGAGTGTAGGTGACACTGTTTGAAACTCTGCATCCAGCTGTGCCTGAAGGTGAATCAATGAACCAGCGATTTTCTTAAGTGACTGGGTTAAGTTTCTGTCACTGGCCACAAAAGAGTCTTAATAAACATATGGATTCAGGGAGCATGTTTATTTTCAATTTTTTTTTTTTTTTTTTTTTTTTTTGAGACGGAGTCTCACTCTGTCACCCAGGCTAGAGTGCAGTGGCGCGATCTCGGCTTACTGCAAACTCCGCCTCCCGGGTTCACGCCATTCTCCTCCCTCAGCCTCCCTAGTAGCTGGGACTACAGGCGCCTGCCACCACGCCCGGCTATTTTTTTTGTATTTTTAGTAGAGACGGGGTTTCACCGTGTTATCCAGGATGGTCTCCATCTCCTGACCTCGTGGTCCTCCCGCCTCAGCCTCCCAAAGTGCTGGGATTACAGGCGTGAGCCACCATGCCCGGCCCAATTTTTTTTTTTTTTAACCAGGCTGTTGCCGGGCACCGTGGCTTGTGCCTATAATCCCAACTCTTTGGGAGGCCGAGGTGGGCAGATCACCTGAGGTTGGGAGTTTGAGACCAGCCTGACCAACATGGAGAAACCCCATCTCTACTAAAAATACTAAATCAGCCAGGCATGGTGGCGTATGCCTGTAATCCCAGCTGCTCAGGAGGCTGAGGCTGGAGAATCGCGTGAACTCGGGAGGCGGAGGTTGCGGTGAGCCGAGATGGCGCCATTGCACTCCAGCCTGGGCAACTAAAGCAAAACTCCACCTCAAAATATATATATATAACAAAATAAAGTCAGGCTGTTAAAGGAAAAACTTGAGCTGAATTAAATTTAAGAGAGTTTAATTGAGCAAAAAACAATTCACCAATCAGGCAGCCCCAGAATCACAGTAGATTCAGAGAGACTCCAGGGATGCCTCATGGTCAGAACAAATTTATAGACAAAAAAAGGGAAGCGACATACAGAAATCAGAAGTGAGGTACAGAAACAGCCGGATTGGTTACAGGTTGGCGTTTGCCTTATTTGAACACAGTTTGAACACTCAGCAGTGTATGAGTGGTTGAAGGATGGCCACTGGGATTGGCCAGGACTCAGCTATTGTTACAGGCGCATACTCCTAAGTTAGGTTTTCAATCTTGTCTACTTACTAAGTTAGGTTGCAGTTTGTCCACAAAGACTCAAATAAAGACGTACAGAATCCTTCTCAGGCCATATGTAGTTTGGTTTCACAAGGCCTATTTAGAGATTACAAATTTCACCAAGTCCATTGAACAACTGGGTATTAAGGGCATTGTGGGGGTGTGCAGGGGACCATAAAGATGAGTAAGACTGTCCCTGACCTCAAGGTTCACCTCTAGAAGGGAATATAGACAAAGCAACTCCACTTTACAGTCATGCTGTTACCGGAAAGGGGTCTCGGTCCCCAAGAGAGGGGTCTCGGTCCCCAAGAGAGGGTTCTCGGATCTCACGCAAGAAAGAATTCAGGGAAAGTCCACAGAGTAGAGTGAAAGCAAGTTTATTAGGAAAGTAAAGGAATGAACGAATGGCTACTCTATAGACAGAGCAGCCCTGAGGGCTGCTGTTTGCCCATTTTTATGGCTATTCCCTGATGATATGCTAAACAAGGAGTGGATTATTCATGCCTCCCATTTTTAGACCATATAGGGTAACTCCCTGACATTGCCATGGCATTTGTATACTGTCATGATGCTGATGGGAGTGTAGTAGTGAGGATGACCAGAGATCACTCTCGTGGCCTTCTTGGTTTTGGTGGGTTTTTGCCGGCTTCTTCACTGCAACCTGTTTTATCAGCAAGGTCTTTATGATCTGTGTTTGTGCTGACCTCCTATCTCATCCTGTGACTCAGGATGCCTTAACAGTCTGGGAATGAAGCCCAGCAGGTCTTAGCCTCACTTTACTCAGCTCCTATTCAAGACAGAGTTGTTCTGGTTCACACACCTCTGACAATATCACGATCCGTGTTGCACTTGAGAGATTATGAGCACAGTAGAAGAACAAAGACAGGGAAGATCAATTCTGACCCAGGGTTGTCTGGGAGAGAAGGGAGTGTGGGTGCTTTAACTGTACAATAATTTCCAGACATTTAACAGTGCTCTCTTGCCTGGATTCTGGAAGTCATTCTGAGAATGCCTGTTTTCATTAGATTTTAATCACCCACAGGTCATATATTCCTTTAACGAATGCCTGATGACACCATGCAGAATGAAATGCGCTTTACTGCCTGCTTGGAATGTGTGCAGGCCTGCCTCATGGACCCCTAGAAGTTTCCTTCCAAAAGCAGTCCAGGTATGGTGAGAGGGAGGAATGGGGAGAACAGAAGCCCTATCTCTTACATACCTATACAGGGAGTGTACAACTCAGTTTGGTCCCTGGCCTCCTGTTGTCAGAGGGTGTGTAATTTCAGCTGGGTGGGGCTATGAGGTAAAGATTTCATGTCTGCCACTGCTTGGCTTTTTTTTTTTTTTTTTCTGAGACGGAGTCTCGCTCTGTCGCCCAGGCTGGAGTGCAGTGACGCGATCTCAGCTCACTGCAAGCTCCGCTTCCCAGGTTCACGCCACTGCTTGCTTTTGAAAGGTCTACCCACCCATAGCTCCAATGCATGAAACGCTTCATATAGCTTTGCTGCTTACAGCTCCTCAGTTACTCCTCACTTGCCGGGGATCAAGCCTAAGCCTTTTTTTTTTTTTTTTTTTTTTGAGATGGCATCTCACTCTGTCCCCCAGGCTGGAGTGCAGTAGCGCGATCTTGGTTCACCGCAACCTCTGCCTCCCGGGGTTCAAGCGATTCTCTCGTCTAAGCCTTCCGAGTAAAAGGGATTACAGGCACCTGACACCACACCCAGCTAATTTTTGTATGTTTAATAGAGACAAGGTTTCACCATGTTGGACAGCCTGGTCTCAAACTCCTGACCTCAAGTGATTCGCCTGCCTCAGCCTCCAGTGCTGGGATTACAGGAGTGAGCCACCTCGCCCAGCCCTAAGTCTTTTAATATGGCACACAAGGATGCTTCTTTATGAGTTAACACTGAGTACTTGGGAGACAAAGACAAATAAAACCTTTCCTACCCTCAAGTGAGAGAAACTCAACTGAGACTTACAGGAAATAAAATTTAAAACTACTGACTTACGAAACTGAAAATTCCACGGGGTAGATTCAAGCATTGCTGAATTTGGCTCAGATTATTTCTCAGGGGTTGGATTCTTCCTCTTTCTCAGCTGTATTTTCCTCTATGTTAGTGTCCCGCTTGGGTAGGCTCTCGCCAACTGGAGAGCAGCCCCAATTTTTTCCCTTTTAGGGACTCCAAGCAGCTGCAAGTTTACTTCCTCCAAAATTCATGGGCAGAAGAAAAGGCTCTTCTAAACAATTGGTTGGCAGGGCATGGTGGCTCATACCTGTAATCCCAGCACTTTGGAGGCCAAGGCAGGTGGATCACTTAAGGTCAGGAGTTTAAGGCCAGCCTGGCCAACATGGTGAAACCCTGTCTCTACTAAAAATACAAAAATTAGCTGGGTGTGGTGGCAGGTGCCTGTAATCCCAGCTACTCGGGAGGCTGAGGCAGGAGAATTGCTTGGACCCGAGAAACAGAGGTTGGAGTGAGCCAAGATCGTGCCACTGCACTCCAGTCTAGGCAACAGAGTGAGACTCCGTCTCAAAAAAAAAAAAAAAAAAACAAATTAACAATTTATTGGTTATTTGGGGAGTTGTTTCAGGAGTTTATTGTTTGTTTTTTAAAGTCCTGGATCTGCCTCTTCTTAGCTTAGTTGAATCACATGACCATCCTAGAGCAATCCTGGGTTTGGGATGCACTGATTGGCTTGAGTCTGAGACTTGGGACCACGCTGGAGTGGGGAAGAAGTGGGCTCCACCAGAATCAGATGGACTAAGAGTCATAGATGGGAGGAACTGGCTCTTCAGAGGGAATTCTGGCCTTCACTACTGGAGGAAGAATGAACGAATACTGGGCAGGCACAAACTACACAGATTAAAATCTAACCTTTATTCCACCGTGGCAATAAGTCCATTGTCTGGTCATAATGCAGAGTGTTCTGTATGGAGTCCAAAAAACTGTGTTGAAGAGCAAGACTTTGTAGAGTTTCTTCAATATTTTTCAAAGGGCACAATACTCTGATTTCTAGGATTCTTTCCAGTTATCCAGAGAAAAGTTTATCTTCTTATTTGTAGACTAGAGAAAGAAAAGTCACAAGATAATAGGAACATTCCTTAGGAAGATCCAATTCCATCTGCTCGAATTATTTGCTTAACCAGCAACCGTCTAAACTATAGCTGGGGCCAGGCGCGGTGGGTCACGCCTGTAATCCCAGCACTTTGAGAGGCCGAGGCTGGCTGATCACTTGAGGTCAGGAGTTTGAGACCAGCCTGGCCAACATGGCGAAACCCTGTCTCTACTAAAAATACAAAAATTAGCCGGGCGTGGTGGTGGGCGCCTGTAATCCCAGGTACTCAGGAGGCTGAGGCAGGAGAATCACTTGAACCTGGGAGGTGGAGGTTGCAGCGAACCGAGATCACACCATTGCACTCCAGCCTGGGTGACAGAGCAAGACTCCACCTCAAAAAAAAAAAAAAAAAAAAAACCATACTTGGGTGTCTTGAAAGGTCCCACCTGCCACATCAGAAGGGAGACCCTGTGACCAGGACTGAGTGGGTGGTTAATTTCCCCAGCATAAATGAACAATGTGGAATTCCATCATATGCATCTATCTGTTCTTTGTCATCTCCCTGAGCTTGCTCCTCCCATGGAAAGATCAAATCAGGCACTTGAACTTGGACAGCCTCCTTGCCGTGGTTTTTCAGTAAGTAGAGATGATGCCTCAATAATTAGGCAGGCTGGGGGAATCAGCCTCTCTCTTTGCTACTTGTTAGCTGAGACATTGCCCTTTCAGAGCCAAAAGCAATATTTTCATCCCTACTAACTTAGATTCCTGGCTTGCTGTAATTTAACAAATATTTTTCTAAATAGCTACCATGTATTACCATGTATTCACATTGGCCACCTGTGGTAGGTTGAACTATTTATTATTGGTCCCAGTTTTTCACCCCTCCATGTGTCCACACCTCTTGCCTGGGACTTTGCGCTCTCTCCCACCAAGTACTTCCTGGCCTTCCCCCATCCTTACATCTCCCTTCCTCCGCAGTGAGAACCCTGGCCTCCAATAATATCAATGTCTACTATCAAATCTACTCATTTGCTCAATCCTATAATATACCAAAGATAATTTTTGTGTTGTTTTGCCCATTTCAGTACAAAAATCAAATCTAATAAAACAGAAGTCAGGGTTTGTTTGCAATTTGCTTCCCAACCCCAACCCTGACCAAAACCAAGGACAAATATATAGTGTCCTCATACGGATTTGTTCTTTTCTTTCCTTCAATGTGGTTATATTATTCA
This sequence comes from Homo sapiens, assembly GCF_000001405.40. NCBI lineage: Eukaryota > Metazoa > Chordata > Mammalia > Primates > Hominidae > Homo > Homo sapiens. Next base: position 172,311,907 of record NC_000005.10, on the reverse strand, counting down.
TCGGAAATGCTGTTAAATCAATTTGTTTTGGTTTGCTTTTAAAGACAGAATGTACTTCCCCACTCTGACTTTGGGCTTGACCATGTGACTTGCTTTGGTCAGTGGGATGTTGCCAGATGTGACGCAGCAGTGGGCCCCACCTGTGTTTCTGCAGTTGGCTGTGCCTCCTTTCTTGTACTAGTGCCTTAATCATGAGAGGACCATATTCTGCCTAGCCCAGTGGTCCAAGGAAGATGAGAGACACCTGAGGTGGGCCTGGACGCAACCCTCTGCTGGAGTGAAAGCCAACTGATTAATTAGCCTCAGCTGACCTGAAGACACATGCGGTAGCATAAATTATTTGGAAATAATTTCAAAAAATTTGTTTGAATTTCAACATATTGTTTGCAATTATTGTTAACATTTTATCCCATTGGTTCTCTCTCTCTCTTTTTTTTTTTTCAATTTTTTTTGAGACACAGTCTCACTCTGTCACCCAGGCTAGAGTGCAGTGGCGAGATCTTGGCTCACTGCAACCTCTGCCTCCCAGGTTCAAGCGATTCCCCTGCCTCAGCCTCCCTAGTAGCTAAAACTACAGGTGCGCGCCACCACGCCCAGCTAATTTTGTGTATGTGTATTTTTAGTAGAAATGGGGTTTCACCATGTTAACCAGGCTTGTCTCAAACTCCTGGCTCAAGTGATCCCCCTGCCACCCCCCGCCCTTGGCCTCCCAAAGTGCTGGGATTAGAGGTGTGAGCCACCCAGCCCAGCTCCACTGGTTCTCTTGTATGTAAATTTTGGGGAGGAAACATTTGAGAATAAGTTGCATATATCACGCATTTCTTCCCCTAAATACATCAGCATGTTTTGCCTAAGAATAAGAACATTCTCTTTTATTATATAATCACAGAGCGGTTGTTAACTTCAGGAAATTTCACACCAATACAATATATTTATCTAACCTACCATTTATATTCCAGTTCTATCAATTGACCCAATCATGTCCTTTATTGAATTGTGTCTCTTTAATCTCCTGTAATCTGAAACAGTTTCTCAGCTGTTCTTTAACTTTAATGACATTGACCTTTTTAAAAATAGAGCCCTCATGTTTATTACAGAATGTCCCTCCATTTGCATTTGACTGTTATTTCCTCATGATTCCATTCAGGCTATGCATCCCCAGTCTGAACATCGTACACGTGGTGCTCCATCACTCTCAGGGTATCCCATTCGAAGGCACAAGGTGTCCATCTGCCCCACTTTGGTGATGTTAATTTTGATCATTTGGTCAAGGTGTTGTCAATTTTTTTCTTCTCTACAGTTACTATTTTTTTCTCTTGCAACAAATAAGCAATCTACGGCAAGATATTTTAAGACAGTCAAATAAATATCAAGTGCTACATTAAAATTTCCTTCATAAATTTAGCATCCATTGATGATTTTCCCTGAACCAGTCTTTTTTTTTTCTTTGTTTTGAAACAGGGTCTCACTTTGTCGCCTAGGCTGGAGTACAGTGGCACTATTATAACTCACTGCAGCCTCGACCTCCTGGGCTCAAGTAATCCTCCTGCCTCAGCCTGAGTAGCTGGAACTACAGGCATGAACCATCACACTTGGCTAAAACATTTTTATATATATTTTAGAAAGTGTGAGCTAACACTAAAACATTCCATTTTAGCCCATCTCCACTGATTTCTTGACTTTCCCCCATCCTTAGATCTCCCTTCCCCCGCAATGAGAACCCTGGCTCCCAATAATAGAAATGTATCCATTCATTTGCTCAATCTTGTTATATACCTAAGATAGTTTTTGTGTTGTTTTGCTCATTTCAGTATAAAAATCAAATCTAACAAAAAGGGATTCGGGGTTTGTTTGCAATTTGCTTCCCAACCCCAACCCTGACAAAAACCAAGGACATGTATACAAATAGTGTGCTCCTAAGTTACTTGGATTAGTTCTTTTCTTTCCTTCAATGTGGTTATATTATTCATCAGAAATGTTGTTAAATCAATTTGTTTTAGTTTTAGGTGTTTCGGGTATCCGCATTCTTGTTGATTCAATTTTATTTATTTATTTATTATTTTCTTTTTGAGAAGGAGTTTCGCTCTTGTCCCCCAGGCTGGAGTGCAATGGTGCAATCTCGGCTCACTACAAACCTCCGCCACCCAGGTTCAAGCAATTCTCTTGCCTCAGCCTCCTGAGTAGCCGAGATTATAAGCGCCCGCCACGATGCCCGGCTGCATTTTTTTGTATTTTTAGTAGAGATGGGGTTTCACCATGTTGGCCAGGCTGGTCTTAAACTCCTGACCTCAGGTGATCTGCCTGCCTTGGCCTCCCAAAATGCTACGATTACAGGCGTGAGCCACTGAGCCCAGCCTTAATTTTATTTTTGAATATATAGAATATTAGAATGCTTCTAAAAGAAAAACCATACAAAAAAAAAGTATAATCAGAGAAAGGGACCAGGTGCAGCAGCTCACGCCTGTAATCCCAGCACTTTGGGAAGCCGAAGTGGTTGGATCACTTGAGGTCACGAGATCAAGACCAGCCTGGCCAACATGTTGAAACCTCTTCTCTACTAAAAATACAAAAAATACCCAGGCGTGGTGGCACCTTCCTGTAATCCCAGCTACTCGGGAGGCTGAGGCAGAGAATCACTTGAAGTCAGGAGGCGGAGTTTGCAGTGAGCCGAGATTGCACCACTGCACTCCAGCCTGGGTGACAGAACGAGACTGTCTGTCTCACAAAAAAAAAAAAAAAAGAGAGAGACACTGAGAGAAAGGCACTCCTTTCCATATTCCTTCTGCTCATTCTCCACTCCCAATGCCCAATAGACTGTAGATAACCAACTTCATTATGTTCTGTTATATACTTTCCATGTTTCTTTCAGTAAAGGTAAACAGATATATGTCTGTTTTCATATTTTCCCTCTTTCTAAATATACATTTTGCTTGTTTCACTGAACAAAATATCTTGGGAAGCACTCCATATGACAAGAGGACATAAGACTGTCCTCTTTCTTTGTGCAGCTGCAGAGTATCCCTTGTAGGTATCATAGTTTATTCAACCTATTTCCTATATTTAGATATTGAGGTCATTTTCAGTGTTTTGCAATTATAAACAATACAGCAATGAAAACTTTTCTGCATTTTTTTTTTTTTAGACAGGGTCTCACTCTGTTGCTCAAGCTGAGAGCTGTGGCACTATCCCAGCTAACTGCAGCCTCGACTTCCTGGGCTCAAGCAATTCTCTGGCCTCAGCCTCCCAAGTAGCTGGGACCACAGGTTTGCACCACCATGCCTGGCTAATTTTTTATTATTTGCAGAGACGGGGGTCTCACTCTGTTGCTCAGGCTAGTCTTGAACTCCTGGACTCAAGCAATCCTCCCGCATCAGCCTCCCAGTGTGCTGGGATTATAGACATGAGCGCACCTGGCCCCACTTCTGCATATGTAGTTTTCTACTGTAGGAAGTGTTATCTTTTGGGTAAGTCACCATAAGTGGGAATGTTACTGGGAATATTGGGTTAAAGGGTAAGTGCATATGTGGTTTTGTTAGGTATTGCCAAATTCCCTTCTCTAGTGGTTGGACCATAGGAGAGTGCTGGTTTCCCCGTGGACTCACCAATACAGTGAACTGTCAGGATTTTGAATTCTTGCCAAGCTGGCAGGTGAGAAATGATATCTCAGTGTAGTTTTTTAAAAACAATTTTTTGATACATAATTTACATGCCATAAAATCCACCCATTTAAAGTGTACAATGTAATTTTTTTGTTTGTTTTGTTGGTTGTTGTTGTTTTTATTTATTTTGAGACAGAGTCTCGCTCTGTCACCTAGGCTATGGGTGCAGTGGCATGATCTCGGCTCACTGCAACCTCCACCTCCCAAGTTCAAGCAATTCTCCTGCCTCAGTCTCCCAAGTGGCTGTGATTACAGGCACGAGCCACCATGCCCGGCTAATTTTTGTATTTTAGTAGGGATGGGGTTTCTCCATGTTGGCCAGGCTGGTCTCAAATTCCAAACCTCAGGTGATCCACCTGCCTCGGCCTCCCAAAGTGCTGGGATTACAGGCGTGAGCCGCCATACCTGGCCATGTTTTTTAGTATCTTCACAGAGTTATGTTTTGCATCCCTATAATCTAATTTTAGAATATTTTCATCACCCCAAAAAGAAACCTCATACACACTAAAGTCACTTTTCCCCTCCCCCGGACAGCACTAATCTACTTTCTTGTTTTCTTGTTTTTTTTGGTTGTTGTTGTTTGTTTGTTTGTTTGTTTGAGATGGAGTTTCACTTTGTTGCCCAGGCTAGAGTTCAATGGCACCATCTCAGCTCACTGCAACCCCTGCCTCCCCCCAGGCCCAAGGATTCTCCTGACTCAGACTCCCAAGTAGCTGGGATTACAGGCATATGCCACCATACCTGGCTAATGTTTGAATTTTTAGTAGACACAGGGTTTCACCATGCTGATCAGGCTGGTCTAAAACTCTTGACCTCAAGGGATCCACCTACCTCAGCCTCCCAAAGTGCTGGGATTATAGGTGTTAGCCACCGCACCCAGCCCTACTTTCTGTCTGCATAGATTTGCCAATTATGGACATTTCATATAAATGCAATCAGACACTAAGTGGCCTTTTTCAACTGACTTCTATCACTTAGCATAATGTTTTCAAGGTTTTCTCCTAAAATTTTTATAGTTTTAGCTCTTATATTTAGGTCTTTGATTCATTTTGAGTTAATTTTGTTACAGGATGTGAAGCAAGAGTCCAATTTCATTCTTTTTCATGTGGATATCCAGTTGTCCTAGTACTATTTGTTGAAAGACTATTTTTTTCCCATTGAATTGCCTTGGCACCTTTGTGGGAAATCAATTGATAAATAAAAGCATTTACTTACGACATTCAATACTCAGTGTAGTTTTAATTTTTATTTCTTTTATTATGAGTTGTTGAACATATTTATGTATGTTTAAGGGCCATTGGATAACTTTTGTGTGTGTGAGTTGTCTAGTCATGCCTTTTGTCAAATTTTCCACAGGATGTTTTTTGATCTTTTTTTCTTCATATATTTTGACTTTTTAAAACTGTGATGCAAACTGCAAATATTTTCTCCTTGTTGGTTATTCATCTTTTGACTTTGCTTGGGTGTTTTTGTCATGCAAAACGTTTTATTTTTATACAGTTAAATGAATCTATTTTTCTTGTATTGTATCTGGATTTTGAGACGCAATTTAAAAGACTTTCCCTGCATCTAAGTTATAGAATTTACCCATATTTTCATCTAGTTCTTGTCTAGACATACAGTTTCATATTTTATGTTTAAAACTCTGATCTATTTTGAGTTTATTCTTGTGTGTGGGATTAGGAATGAATCTAATTTTATTATCTTTTCCAAATGGTTTTTCAGTTGCCCCAATACTACTTATTAAAAATTCCAGGCCAGGAGCAGTGGCTCACGCCTGTAATCCCAGCACTTTGGGAAGCCAAAACGGGTGGATCACCTGAGGTCAGGAGTTCGACACCAGCCTAACCAATATGATGAAACCCTGTCTCTACTAAAAATACAAAAATTAGCCGAGTGTGGTGGCAGGCGCCTGTAATTCCAGCTACTTAGGAGACTGAGAGAGGAGAATCACTTGACCCTGGGAGGCAGAGGTTGCAGTGAGCCAAGATGGTGCCATTGCACTCCAACCTGGGCAACAAGAGTGAAACTCCATCTCCAAAAAAAAAAAAAAAATCCATATTTTCCACCTGAAGTTAATATCAACTTGTCCATATCATTAAAACAAAATTTTTTGGTATTTTTATGGGGCCCAGTTTAATATCATAAATGAATTTGGGGAGTAAGTTGAATCACTCTATCAAAGAGCAAGGAACGTTTTACCATTCATTCTAGTCTGCTTTTTTTTTTCCCAAGAGGCTAGACTCAAAACCCTGGGCTCAAGCAATCCTCCCACCTCAGCCTCCCAAGTAGCTGGGACTAGAGGCATGCACCAGCTTCAAGTCTACTTCTTATGTTTCAAAGTTTTCCCATACACATGTTGTGCATTTCTTGTTAACATTATTCCTAAATGTTTTATCTTCCTTGTCATCATTGTAAATGATTTTTCCTGCAAGATTATGCTCTAATTATTGTTTGGATGAAAGCTATTAAATTTTATATATTAATTTTATATACTATACCTGCAGAATGCTATTACTGTTTGAACATTATCAACGAATCTCTGGGATTCACCAGGTATGCTATCATACCTTTGGCATACAGAGATACTTACTATATATTTTTTCCAATTCTTATGCCTAACTTGACTTTTCTTGTCTAATTGCATTGGCTTATACCTCCAGGACAATGTTAAATAGTAGTGAAACTAATGAGTTTCCTTGTCTTACTCCTGATCTTTAGTGTTTTCCCTTAAGTAAGATACTGGCTTTAGGACTAACGTATATATGTTTTTAGTGTGTTTTTCAAGAGTTTTTTGTTGTTTGGTTTTTGTTTGTTACTTTTTCACAATGGATGCTTGGTTTTGTCAAAGCTTTTTTTGTTTGTTTGTTTTTTGTTTGTTTGTTTTGAGACAGATTCTCAAAACATTTTCTTCTTTTTTTTTTTTTTTTTTGAGATGGAGTTTTGATCTTGTCACCCAGGCTGTCGTGCAGTGGCTCGATCTTGGCTCACTGCAACCTCTGCCTCCCAGGCTCAAGCACTTCTCCTGCCTCAGTCTCCCAAGTAGCTAGGATTACAGGCTCATGCCACCATGCCTGGCTAATTTTTGTAATTTTAGCAGAGATGGGATTTCACCATGTTGGCCAGGCTGGTCTTGAACTCCTAGCCTCAAGTGATCTGCTAGCCTCAGCCTCCCAAAGTGCTGGGATTACAGGTGTGAGCCAACGCACCTGGCCAGTTTTGTCAAAGCTTTTTAAGTACATATGGGAATGATCATATGATTTTTCTTCTTAGATCTACAAATATGTTTAATTATATTAAAAGATTTTGCTGCTGGGCATGGTGGCTCATGCCTGTAATCCCAGCACTTTGGGAGGCTGAGGCGGGCAGATCACCTGAGGTCAGGAGTTCAAGACCAGCATGACCAACATGGAGAAACCCCATCTCTACTAAAAATACAAAATTAGCCAGGGTGGTGGCTCATACTGAGGAAGGAGAATCACTTGAACCCAGAAAGCGGAGGTTGCGGTGAGCTGAGATTGTGCCATTGCACTCCAGCCTGGGCAACAACAGCAAAACTCTGGGAAAAAAAAAAAAAAAAGATTTTGCAATATTGGACTCATCTCACATTTTCATTATTAACTCCACTTGGTCATGGTTTATCATTTTCTTAATGTGGTATTTGAATCTGTTTGCTAACATTTTATTTAACATTATTTATTTTTATTCTCAAAGGAGGTGATATTTAGCTTTTTTTTTTTTTTTTTTTTTTTTTGAGACAGAGTTTTTCTCTTGTTGCCCAGGCTGGAATGCAATGGCACAACCTCAGCTCACTGCAAACTCTGCCTTCCGGGTTCAAGGGATTCTCCTCCCTCAGCCTCCCAAGTAGCTGGGATTACAGGCATGCCCTGCCATGTCTGGCTAATTTTGTATTTTTAGTAGAGGTGGAGTTTCACCATGTTGGTCAGGCTGGCCTCAAATTCCTGACCTCAGGTGATCCACCCACCTCGGCCTCCCAACGTATTGGGATTACAGGCATGAGCCACTGCACCCAGCCAATATTTAGCATTTTAAAAAATGATACTGTGTCTGCTCTCTTTATCAGCTTAGGATATCAATGTCAACCTGCTTCATAGAATTTAGAAATTTCCCTTCATTTGGTCAAGGATACAAAAAAAAATCACCTTCATTTTCTCTTCTCTGGAATAATTTATGTAGTAATAGCCCTATTTATTTGTTAACCATTTTTATAAAATCCTCTTGTGAAACCATCTGAGCTTGGTGCTGATGTGAGTTAGTTCCTTGATAGCATGCCATATTTATTCCTTGAAATTGATTTAACTTTTCAGTGAGGTCGATTTTGTTCAACTATATTTTACTGAGATATTATCCATTTCATTAGGTTTTCAAATTTCTTTGCATAGAGGTGTGTGGTATGGTCTGAATATTTGTGTCCCTCCCCAAATTCTTATGTTGAAATTCTAACCCCTGAGGTGATGGTATTAAGAAGTGGAGCTTGGGAAATGATTAAGTCATGAGGGTGGAGCCCCATGAATGTTATGTCATCCTAAATAACAAACAGAGAGGGAGACTCTCTAAATCATATTTGGAAATGGGTGTTGCAATGGGAATATACCCACAATAGTAAACTACATGCATATTGAGGGAGGTAAAGGAAGACAAAAGTTTTTAAAGAAAAAATGAGAGGGATTACATAATTCTTTTGAGATAATTATCTTTGGCTAAAAGGATCAATAACAAGGGTGGCGTCAGTCCAAGTTTGGACAGGCAGTTGCTGGGCAGATGTCCTCGCAGAAGAATTATTTTGTGTAAGGTTGTGCCTTTGTGCACGGTCATGGGTTTTGCAGTCTTTTGTGATAGCTTTTGTTGTCAGGCCTTCATGGCCTTCCCGGCTCTGCATTTCGGGATTTTTTTTTTTTTTTAACACAAGTGACTCATTTTGATTCTGACAATATTCACAGGGATTAGTGCCCTTAGAAAGTCAGCTCAAAGGAGCTCTGTCACCTCTTCCACCATGTGAGGGCACAGGTAGAAGCCACCATCTATGAATCAGAAAACAGGTCTTTCACCAGATACCAAATCTGCTTGCCTTGATCTTAGGCTCCCAGCCTTCAGAACTGTGTGAAATAAATTCTGTTGTTTGTAAGCTACCCAGTTTACGGTATTTTGTTATAGCAGCCTAAATGGGCTAAGAGGTATGTGTGCACAGGAGTCTTTTATGACTGTCTGGCTTCCTCTGTAGTAATAGTCTCTTTCCCTTGCCATTTCTTATTCTGCATATTTGTGCTTACTCCTCCCCACGTATTTTTTAATTAAATTAGATCATGGCTTGACTATTTTCTGACTTTATTCAAAGAATCCGTATTTTGTTTTATTTTGATCTGCTGTTTTTCAGTTCTTGGCTTTATTGCTTTTTAGTTTTGTCTTTATTCTTTTCTTCCTTGTGTTTTCTTTTGTTTTTTATAACTTGAATTGGAAATGTAATTAATTTAAACCCAACTCATTGTTTAATTTTTATTGACATGGGTGTTTTATACATCTGTTAAACTAAATTTGGCCTAAGGATGCCTCCATACTTGAGTCCTTATGGAACAAACTGCAACCTAACTTAGTACATAAATTAACTAAAAGCCTAACTTAGGAGTATACTTTTGGAGCTAATATCTGAGTCTCAGCCAATCATAGCAGCCCAGCTTCAGTCAGTCGCAGCCCCCAGCTGAGGAGACCATGTTCAAATAAGGCAAATGCCCAGCTGTAATCAATAGAGCTGTCTCTGTACCTCCATTTTCTGTCCATAAACGCTGCCTGACCATATTGCAGGCTAGAGCTCTCTGAACCTGTTTTGGTTTTGAGGATTGCCTCATTTGTGAATTGTTTTTTGCTCAAATAAACTCTGCTAAATTTACTTTGAAGTTTTTCTTTTAACAGATTGGCATCGGAAGTGGGATCCAAAGTAAACCTCCATTGGCAGAGTGTGATGGCTCACATCTGTGATCCCAGCTCTTTGGGAGGCTGAGGCAGGCTGATCCCTTGAGGGCAGAAGTTTGAGATCAGCCTGGCAAACGTGGCGAAACCCCAGCTCTACTAAAAATGCAAAAATTAGCGGGTGTAGTGGTGCACGCTTGTAATCCCAGCTGTGTGGGAGGCTGAGGCATGGGAATCACTTGAACCCAGGAGGCGGAGGTTGCAGTGAGCCGAGATCACACCACTGCACTCCAGCCTGGGCCACAGAGCAAGACTCTGTCTCAAAAAAAATAAAATAAAATTGGAGTTCCCACAACCCCTCTCCTCAGGTTTGATAATTTGCTGGAACAGCTCACAGAACTCAGCGATAAGCTTTATTTACATATACCAGTTTACTATAAAATATATTATGTGCGGGTGCTGTGGCTCATGCCTGTAATCCCAGCACTTTGGGAGGCTGAGGCGGCTGGATCACTTAAGGACAGGAGTTTGAGACCAACCTGGCCAAAATGACAAAACCCCATCTCTACTAAAAATATGAGAATTAAGCAGGGCATGGTGGCATGCACTGTAATCCCAGCTACTTGGGAGGCTGAGGCATGAAAATCACTTGAACCTGAACCCAGGAGGCAGAGGTTCCTAGAGATCGCACCACTACACTCTAACCTGGGCGACAGAATGAGACTATGTCTCAAAAAAAAAAAAAAAAAAAAAAAAAGAGGCCAGGCGCGGTGGCTCACACCTGTAATCCCAGCGTTTTGCGAGTCTGAGGAGGGCAGATCACTTCAGGTCAGGAATTTGAGACCAGCCTGAGAGTGTGATGTTCCCCTTCCTGTGTCCATGTGTTCTCATTGTTCAATTCCCATCTATGAGTGAGAACATGCGGTGTTTGGTTTTTTGTCCCTGCGATAGTTTACTGAGAATGATGATTTCCAATTTCATCCATGTCCCTACAAAGGACATGAACTCATCATTTTTTTATGGCTGCATAGTATTCCATGGTGTTTATGTGCCACATTTTCTTAATCCAGTCTATCATTGTTGGACATTTGGGTTGGTTCCAAGTCTTTGCTACTGTGAATAGTGCCACAATAAACATACGTGTGCATGTGTCTTTATAGCAGCATGATTTATAGTCCTTTGGGTATATACCCAGTAATGGGATGGCTGGGTCAAATAGTATTTCTAGTTCTAGATCCCTGAGGAATCACCACACTGACTTCCACAATGGTTGAACTAGTTTACAGTCCCACCAACAGTGTAAAAGTGTTCCTATTTCTCCATATCCTCTCCAGCACCTGTTGTTTCCTGACTTTTTAATGATTGCCATTCTAACTGGTGTGAGATGGTATCTTATTGTGGTTTTGATTTGCATTTCTCTGATGGCCAGTGATGATGAGCATTTTTTCATGTGTCTTTTGGCTGCATAAAAGAGAGTAATTTTTTCCTGAAGTAGAATGGTTAGTTGTTCCAAATGAGAAGAGAAAAAGTATAGGAGCAAAACCTGAATGGATAAGAAGGTTGTAGGTGTGTGGAAGATGAATCTTGTGATATAAATTTTATGTGTGATGTAGGGAATTATTTAGAATGTTTTTCCTAAAAAACTGAGCATTAATAGCAAAACTAGAATTTGGCCTTCTCTGTTAAAACAACAAGGTTTTCTTAGAGTATTGGCCTCTGATCTTAACAGAAAATTGTTAACAATTTTTCTTTACCTTTTAGGTAATTGGCCTAGGGGAAAAAAAGATTCTGTGTCTTACCAAGAAATTTTCCTGTGCTTCAATTTTTTTTTTTTAAGAGACAGGGTCTCACTCTGTTGCCCAGGGTGGAGTACAGTGGCATATCATAGCTCATTGCAGCCTTGAACTCCTGGGCTCAAGCCATCCCCATGCCTCAGCTTCCCAAGTAGTTAGAACTACAGGTGCTCACTGCCACACCTGGCTACTTTTTTATTTTGTAAAGATGGGTCTCACTATGCTCGCCAGGCTTGTCTTGAACTCCTGGCCTCAACTGATCCTCCCACTTCAGCTTCCCAGGCTGTTGAGATTACAGGCATGAGTCACTGCAACCAGCCTTGTGTTGTCTTTATTGGGTTTTCGGTCACTTAAGAAAACTGAGAGATCAGAAAGTTGACTAAATACAGAAAGTTACATGGTTGTCAAAAAAAACCTTAGCTCCAAGCTAAGTGTATAAATGTTTTATACACTTGAGCTGAGGTTTTTTTTTTTTTTTTTACAGCTATGTAACTTTCTGTATTTGCCTTTGAAGCCTTTTAATTGTCACTTTGGTTAAATGAATGACTATTGTTCACAGTGACCTGTGAACCTATTTTGATCAAATGTTTTAAATCTTTGATATGTTTGACAAACTCCCCCAAAATCAAAATCTAAATGAAGTCTTTTTCTTGACCTTGAATTAACTTTGAATTTTTCCAGGTGGGCCTTTGGAATATCTCAGAATGATACCTTTCCTTATAAAAAGAGAGATATCACATGAATTGAGCCTATTAAATATATTAAATTATATGGGAAGCATTGCCAAATGATAAGTAATAGTAAACCTTCTTTGAATTATATTTGTATGGACGTGTTATTAATGTGTGTTTTAGAAATTATATGATATTTATAGAAATCAAATAGTCCTGGTAGAATGTTATCATTCATAATTTTAGTTATTATTTTAAAATGTTGCATGCAAGAGAAATAATCAAATTTTGTTGTGAATTGTATTAACATTGTAATTAACTTTAATCAGATCTTTAACCATTCACAAATGGTTAATCTTTGTAACTCACAAATGATTGTTTACTCTGGTACTTTCCTGAATTAAAGAAATAAGATTGGTGTTTAAGAGGGTATAAATCCAATGTGAAGCCTGGACCCACGAAGAGGCTGGATGGCTGCCTGGTAATTCCTGAGTCCTTAAATCTTCCATCATTAGGCCAGGCATGGTGGCTCACGCCTGTAATTCCAGCACTTTGGGAGGCTGAGACAGGCAGATTGCTGGAGTCCAGGAGCTCAAGACCAGCCTGGGCAACATGGAAAAACCCTATCTCTACAAAAAATACCAAAAAAAAAAAAAAAAAAAATTAGCTGGATCTGGTGGTACATGCCTGTAGTCCTAGCTACTTGGTGCTGAGGTGGGAGGATCACTTGAACCCAGGAGGTTGAAGCTGCAGTGAGCTGAGATCATGCCACTGTACTCCAGCCTGAGTGACAGAGTGAGACCCTATCTCAAAAAGTTTCCTGTTTTTGTTTTTTTTTTTTTGAGACGGAGTTTCACTCTTGTTGCCCAGGCTGGAGTGCAAGGGTGCAATCTCAGCTTGCTGCAACCTCTGCCTCCTGGGTTCAAGAGATTCTCCTGCCTCAGCCTCCCAAGTAGCTGGGATTACGGTGCCTGCCACCTGTAATTTTTGTATTTTTAGTAGAAACGGGGTTTCACCACGTTGGTCAGGCTGGTCTCGAACTCCTGACCTCAGGTGATCCGCCTGCCTAGGCCTCCCAAAGGAGCGATTATAGGTGTGAGCCACTGCGCCCGGCCAAAAGTTTCCATCATTAAAAGTTATGCCTGCCATAGCTCACCATGGAGTAGAAAAAAATGATATAAATTACAGAAAAAATATTGATGTGGTAACCAATGTTTGGTTTGTTAAACCCACAATTCTGTAAAGACAAAACTTCAGGTTTTGCTTCATTTCTGCTACTTGATGGGCCATTTGAACATTTTCAGAGGGATTTTATTCAATTGCCACCTTCAATGGGATATAAGTATGTTCTTGTAATAGTCTATGTTCTTTGGCTGAATAGAAGCTTTCCATGGAGGAAGGCCAATACTATTACAGTAGCTAAAAGTTTATTCAAAAATGTGTTTCCTTTATGGGGCATTCTTGGAGAAAAGAAAGCTCCACTGACAGAGATACCAATTTTACTCGGAAAGTTATAAAGCAATAAAATAAAGTGTTACAAACACAATGGCATTACCATTGTTGCTATCACCTTTAGTCTTCTGGAAAGGTTGAAAGGACAAATGGCATCTTGGAACTGAAACTGGCAAAGTTAAGTGAATTGACTGGATTGCCTTGGCTAACAGTATTACCATTGGCCTTGATGGCAATCAGATTCCCCTCTCAGTGGAAAATGTAACTTGACCCCTTATGAAACAGTCACTGGGCCGGGCATGGTGGCTCATGCCTGTAATCCCAGCACTTTGGGAGGCCGAGGAGGGCAGAACACCTGAGGTCAGGAGTTTGAGACCAGCCTGGCCAACATGGGGGTTTCAACCCCATCTCTATTAAAAATAAAAAATTAGCTGGGTGTCATGGCACGCGCCTGTAGTCCCAGCTACTCGGGAGGCTGAGGAAGGAGAATTGCTTGAACCTGGGAGGTGGAGGTTGCAGTGAGCCGGGATCGTGTCACTGCACTCCAGTCCTGGCGACAGAGCGAGACTCCATCTCAAAAAAAAAAGAAAGAAAGAAAAGAAACAGTCACTGGAAGGCCTATGCCCCTAAGAATAGAACCTCATGTATCTTCTACTCTTATAAACTCTGCTATGATTCAGTAGTGCAAGGCTTTAATGCATTATGCCAAAGCATACTTTCACTAGGTTAACAAAAAAAAAAAAAAAGGCAGGCCGGGCGCGGTGGCTCACACCTATAATCCCAGCACTTTGGGAGGCTGAGGCAGGCGGATCACGAGGTCAGGAGTTCAAGACCAGCCTGGCCAAGATGATGAAATCCCGTCTCTACTAAAAATACAAAAATTAGCCAGGTGTGGTGGCAGGCGCCTGTAATCCCAGCTACTTGGGAGGCTGAGGCAGGAGAATTGCTTGAACCTGGGTGGCAGAAGTTGCAGTGAGTCAAGATCACGCCACTGCACTCTAGCCTGGGTGATCAAGTGAGACTCTGTCTCAAAAAAAAAAAGAAAAAGAAAAAGAAAAAGAAAAAAAGGGGGGGCCTTCATGACCCACCAGCAGATGACAACTAGATTTCTCAGAGTCCAAAACTCAGCGATTGAGTCCTTTGGAAATGACACCAGAGAAAGACTGTCCTTGAACTCTATTGGAAGGGACCATAACAAGTTCTTCTCTGCCACAAAACTTCAGTGCTCTGAGACTTGGATCCACAACTCTCAACTCAAAGGAGCCCCTCAAGACTCCTGAAGCCGTACACCCGTGGGATTCGAGACTCCTGAAGCCGTACGCCCGTGGGATTCGAGACTCCTGAAGCCGTACGCCCGTGGGATTCGAGACTCCTGAAGCCGTACGCCCGTGGGATTCGAGACTCCTGAAGCCGTACGCCCGTGGGATTCGAGACTCCTGAAGCCGTACGCCCGTGGGATTCGAGACTCCTGAAGCCGTACGCCCGTGGGATTCGAGACTCCTGAAGCCGTACGCCCGTGGGATTCGAGACTCCTGAAGCCGTACGCCCGTGGGATTCGAGACTCCTGAAGCCGTACGCCCGTGGGATTCGAGACTCCTGAAGCCGTACGCCCGTGGGATTCGAGACTCCTGAAGCCGTACGCCCGTGGGATTCGAGACTCCTGAAGCCGTATACCTGTGGGATTCGAGACTCCTGAAGCTGTATACCTGTGGGAGACTTTCAGGTAAAGCTGGTGAGGGAACTTTTCCCTCCAGAAGCAGAAGGCATTCTAGATGTGGACTCTTTCCCAAGATCATGGGTCAAGACTTCTTTGCATCATGAAAGCCTTATCCTCCCCTGACCCCCTCTTTCCTGCTGCCCTAATCCTTTCCTTTTCTCTCCAGGAAAATCCATGGGACCATAATTTGTGGATGGCTTTAGCTAAGGTTCATGCTCCAGCAAAAAAACAGAGCAATTGTTGGGTATATGAAGACAAGTTAGTTTCCATTGAGGAACAGTTCCAATGGGGTTCTTGGGGGCTCACTCTTGATAATTGTGGAGTATTGTTAGTATCGAATTGAAGCTAATTCATAACTTGGGGAAAAATCTTGGACTTTTTGGCCAATCAGACTTCCCAGGGGTTCAGATAAGTAGAAGTCGCCCTCTGAAATGTGGATGACAACATACATTTTCAATAAAAGCACTTAATGGGGCCGGGTGCGATGGCTCATGCCTGTAATCCTAGCACTTTGGGAAGCCGAGGTGGGTGGATCACTTGAGGTCAGGAGTTCAAGACTAGCCTGGCCAATACGGTGAAACCCCATCTCTACTAAAAATACAAAAATTAGCCAAGCGTGGTGGCGCGTGCCTGTAATCCCAGCTGCTCGGGAGGCTGAGGCAGAAGAATTGCTTGAACCCAGGAGGCGGAGGTTACAGTGAGCCAAGATTGCACCAATGCACTCCAGCCTGGGTGACAGAGCGAGATTCTGTCAAAACAACAACAACAAAAACAAAAAAAAAAAACAAGAAAACAAGCCCTTAAGGAACATCAACAGCTTTAGCTCTTCTTTTTGCTCAGGGCTTGTGCATGGTCCTAAACAAAACTGAATCTTGTACCTATCTTTCCCCTGATTTTGCTACTACAGAAAGCTTAATTTAAAAGGTGGTTGATGGTAGGTGGGCATGATGGCACACACCTGTAGTCTCAACTATTCAGTAGGCTGAGGCAGAAGGATAGCTTTGAGCTCAGGAGTTCAAGTCTAGCATAGGCAACCTAGCAGGACCGCATCTCTAAAAATAAAGTTGCTGGATTTTTTGTTTTGTTTTGTTTTTTGAGACAGTCTTGCTCTGTTGCCCAGGCTAGAGTGCAGTGGCTCTATCTCAACTCACTGTGACCTCCGCCTCCCAGGTTCAAGCAATTCTCCTGCCTCAGCCTCCCGGGGATTACAGGCAAGTGCCACCATGCCCGGCTAATTTTTGTATTTTTAGTAGAGACGGGGTTCACCATGTTGGCCAGGCTGATCTCGAACTCCCGACCTCAGGTGATCCCCCTGCCTCGGCCTTCCAAAGTGCTGGGATTACAGGCGTGAGCCACCTTGCCCAGCTGATATTGCTGTTTCTTTAGGTATTGCCACCAAATACATTAAGGAAATGTCTCAAGAAAAAGGAAACACGATGTATTTATAGGAGCAAACAACAGTTGGCTTGCAGACATCCTAAATGGTGGATGGCAAGCTTGGCTTTTCCAAGGTTTTCCAATCTTTATGTTCTTCTAGTGGGTCTTCAGGTTACTATGACTTGTGTTAACAGGCTAACAACAAAACTGGATACCTCTTTAAATCAGACCACTCTACAGTGAACTATGGTCCTCAATTGCCATTGTGCCTCAACAAAGACTATGACCAAATGAACTCAGATGCCTATATTGTATGAACTTTGACTTGTTTGATTTGGTTGTTTGGTTCATGGGGACTCCTATTGAAGAGTACTCTTTAGTCTTTTGGTATTTTCCTCCTGACAGTCATCATAATAATCCCCCTAGTACACTATATCCTCTTGTTTTTTTGTTTTTTGTTTTTTGTGTTTTTTTTGAGACAGAGTTTTTCTCTTGTTACCCAGGCTGGAGTGCAATGGCGCGATCTCAGCTCACTGCAACCTCCGCCTCCTGGGTTCAAGGGATTCTCCTGCCTTAGCCTCCCGAGGAGCTGGGATTACAGGCATGCGCCACCATGCCTGGCTAATTTTTGTATTTTTAGTAGAGACAGGGTTTCACCACGTTGGTCAGGCTGGTCTCAAACTCCTGACCTCAGGTGATCCACCCGCCTCAGCCTCTCAAAGTGCTGGAATTACAGGTGTGAGCCACCATGCCCATCTTAAATGTCATCTTAAATGTCTGTATGAAGCCATCCATTGAGTGTTCAGTGGTCTCACTTCAATTAGATCATCAAGAACATCAAGAATTATTCAACTGCTGTGACTTTGTGACTTGTGAATTTCATACTAAAACCAAATAGGTCCATTTGCAATGGTGACAGAGAGTGGCATCAATGCTCAAGGTTTAGGTCAATCTCTCAAAAATTGAGAGGCTGACCAAAATGGAGGAATTGTTAAACTAAATTTGGCTTGAGGATGCCTCTGTACTTGAGTCCTTATGGAACAAATTGTAACCTTAGTACATCAGCGAACTACAAGCCTAACTTAGGAGTATACTTTTGTAACAGTAGCTGAGTCTCAGCCGGTCACACTAGCCAAGCCTCAGTCAATCACAGTTGGGCAACTGATTAGACCATGTTCAAATAAAGCAAATGCTGAGCTGTAATCACCTGAAGTATTCATAAGTGCTGCCTGCCCACATTGCAGGCTACAAATCTTTCAACCTGTTCTGGTTTTGAGGATTGCCTGATTCATGAATTATTCTTTGCTTAAATAAATTCTGCTTTAATGTAATTTGTCTAAAAATTTTAACAGGGCTATGAATTTTCTTTTGATATATGAGTTTTTCTGGGGATATGTGCTTTACATATATCCCATAGATTTGGATTTGTAGCAATTCTTTAATTTCTGTAATTCCCTAGATCCAAGAGTTGTGAAGCACAGGTTTTAAAGTTTTCAGGTAGAACATTATGCCAGTTATCAAATTGTTGAATCTCAGATGCAAACTCAATCTTCATTGCCTGCTCTGTGAAAATGAATATGGGCCCTTTAAATATTGTTTCTTTGCCAGCTGGCACAATGTTTAGCTTTGACAGTAGAGGGCACTGGAGAGACACTGCAGGAGGCTCACTCACTCAGTAGGTTTCCACAGCCTGGGTGGCTTCTCCAGTGCCAGGTTCCTGCGCTGTGTGCAGCCTTTCTAAGTGGCCAGCTTTTGCGGCACAAACAAGCTTCTCTAGCATAGCTCCTTCAGTATATATGTTGCTCCAGCACCAGGCTCCTGAGGTGGTGGGCAGCTTCTCCAAGGCCCAGATCCTGCAATATGCAGAAGCCTACACCACCTAGCAATGAGCAATTTCTCCAGGTACTTCGTAGTACCCGGTAGTTTCACAGCAGAATGGCTCTAAGTGGGGTACCTCCTATAAACAGCCTTTCAGCATTACAGGGCATATTATCAGCAAGTCCTAGAGAAGGGATTTCCAGCAACTTCCACTGGTGTGGCACAAGAGGAACTTCTCTGCCATTCACCAAGCCAAGGCCATATCCCCTCCAGCAATGGGGCACTGGCTCTCAGCCCTAGAAGGGCCTCTTCCTTAAGTGCACTGTCTCAGCCCTAGGGTTGCTGCTGCTGCTTATCTGCATTCCTCCGTTCTTTAGAGTTTCCTTTTCTCTTCCATAAAATCAAAATAATACCTGATACAAAAAGTGGACAAAGACCTTTAAGGAAAAAAAGAACTATAGACACTGGGTGCAATGGCTCACGCCTGTAATCCCAGCACTTTCGGAGGCCGAGGTGGTGGATCACCTGAGGTCAGGAGTTCGAGACCAGCCTGACCAACATGAAGAAACCCTGTCTCTACTAAAAATACAAACTTAGGGCCAGGTGCGGTGGCTCACACCTGTAATCCCAGCACTTTGGGAGGCCAAGGTGGGTGGATCATGAGGTCAGGAGATCGAGACCATCCTGGCTAACATGGTGAAACCCTGTCTCTACTAAAAATGCAAAAATTAGCCAGGCTTGGTGGCACATGCCTGTAATCCCAGCTACTCGGGAGGCTGAGGCAGGAGAATTGCCCGAACCCGGGAGGCAGAGGTTGCAGTGAGCCGAGCAGTGAGCCGAGATCATGCCACTGCACTCCAGCCTGGGTGACAGAGCGAGACTCTGTCTCAAAAAAAAAAAAAAAAAGTCAGGCATGGTAGCTCATGCCTATAATCCCAGCTACTTGGGAGGCTGAGGCAGGAGAAGTGCTTGAACCTGGGAGGCGGTTCAAGCAACAAGAGCGAAACTACGTCTCAAAAAAAAATTATAGGCAAATATTCATAACCAGAGATGCAATAATTTAGAACAAAATGTTATAAGGGCTAAATGGTAAGAGCTTATGAACACAAAGAAGGAAACAAAAGAAGGAAACAGGCCAGGCACGGTGGCTCAGCCTGTAATCCCAACACTTTGGGAGGCTGAGGCGGGCGGATCACCTGAGGTCAGGAGTTTGAGACCAGCCTGGCCAACATGGTGAAACCCCATCTCTACTAAAAATACAAAAATTAGCCGGGCGTGATGGTGAGCACTTATAATCCCAGCTACTCAGGAGGCTGAGGCAGGAGAATCACTTGCACCTGGGAGGCGGAGTTTGCAGTGAGCTGAGATCATGCCACTGCACTCCAGGGGTGACAGAGCAAGACGTTGTCTCAAAAAAAAGAAAGAAAGAAAAAAAAGGAGGAAACAACAGACACAGGTCTACTGGAGGAGGGAGAGTGGGAGGAGGGGGAGGAGCAGAAAAGCTAACTAGTGGGTACTGGGCTTAATACCTGGGTGATGTAATAATATGTACAACAAACCCCTATGACACGTGTTTACCTATGTAACAAACCTTCACATGTACCCCCAAACCTAAAATAACAATTTTTTTAAATTGCTAAATATGCCACAAAAATCATTTTAATATAGAAATAAAAGAGCTGTTTATGATTCTGAAAAAAAAAAGTTAGCAAATAGAATGCAACAGTACATAAAGAGGACAATACAACCTTGAATTTCCCAGCTTCAAAACTTACTGTAAAACTACAGTAATTAAGACAGTGTAGTACTCGCATAATCATGACATAAAAGATCAATGAAATAAAACTGACAGTCAGAAATAAACTCTAACATTTATGGTCAATTGATTTTTGACAAGGGCATCAAGACAATTCAATGGGGAAAGAATGGCCGGAGGTGGTGGCTCACGCCTGTAATCCCAGCACTTTGGGAGGCCAAAGTGGGTGGATCACTCGAGGTCAGGAGTTCGAGACCAGCCTGGCCAACATAGTGAAACCCTGTCTCTACTAAAAATACAAAATTAGCTGGGCATGGTGGTGCATTCCTGTAATCCCAGCTACTTGGGGGGCTGTGGCAGGAGAATTACTCAAACCTGGGAGGCGAAAGTTGCAGTGAGCCGAGATCGTGCCATTGCACTCCAGCCCAGGCAACAAGAGCACAACTCTATCTCAAAAAAAAAAAAAAGGTGGGCGGGGGTGGATAGAATAATCTTTTCAACAAATGATGCTGGGACACTGGAAATCCACATGCAAAAGAATGAAGTTGGATCCCTACTTTACATCATTTATAAATATTAAGTCAGGCTGGGTGCAGTAGCTCACACCTCTAATCCCAGAACTGTAGGAGGCCAAGGTGGGAGGATTGCTTGAGGCCAGAAGTTAAAGACCAGCTTAAGCAACATAGCAAAATCCCATCTTTAGTTCAAATACATTTATAAAAAATAAAAATAAGTTATTTCATGTTATATGTATTTTACCACAATAAAAATATTAATTCAAAACAGATCAAAGACCTAAATGTAAGTGCTAAAAGTATAAAACTCTTAGAGTGTAAATCTCCATGGCCTTAGACAATGGTTTCTTTTTGTTTTTCTTTCTTTTTCTTTTTCGGACATGGTATATTGCTTTGTCACCCAGGCTGGAGTGCAATGGCATGATCATGGCTCACTGAAGCTTCGACCTTCCATTCTCAAGTGATCCTCCCATCTCAGCCTCCCAAGTAGCTGGGACCACAGGCACACAGCACCATGCCTAGCTAATTCTTTAAATTTTTTTTGTAGATACAGGGTCTCATTATGTTGTCCAGGCTGGTCTTGAACTCTGGGGTTCAAGGCATTTTGCCTCCCAAAGTGCTGGAGTTATAGGCACGGGCCACTGCACCCAGCCAACAATGGTTTCTTAGATATGAGCCCCAAAGCACAAGCAATCAAAGAAAAAAATAGGTTAAATGGACTTCATTAAAATCAGCTGGTGCAGTGGTCCATGACTGTGGTCCCAATTCTTCAGGAGGCTGAGGTGGAAGTATGGATTGGGCCCAGGAGTCAGAGTCTAGCCTGGGTAACATAGTGAGACCCCCATCTCCAAAAAAAAAAAAAACAAACAAAAAAAGGAAACTACCTTTTGTGCTTCAAAAGACACTATCAAGAGGGTTAAGCAAGGAGCATTGGTTCACGCTTGTAATTCCAACACTTTGGGAGGCTGAGGCGGGAGGATCACTTGAGGCCAGAGTTTAAGACCAGCCTGGGCAGCATAGTGAGACCCTGTCTCTACAAAATATAAAGAAAATTAGCCAGGCATGGTGGCATGCAGCTGTAGTCCCAGCTACTAGAAAGGCTGAGGTGAGAAGATCATTTGAGCCTGGAAGGTTAAGGCTGCCGTGAGCCAAGATTGTGCCATTGCACTCCAGCCTGGGCAACAGAGCAAGATCCCGTCTCCAAAATTAAAACAAAAAAAAAGAAAAGAAAGTTAAGCCAGGTGTGGTGGCTCACACCTGTAACCCCGGCACTTTGGGAGGCTGAGGCAGGAGGATCACTTGATCTCAGTCGTTCGAGATCAGCCTAGGCAACATAACAAGACCCTATCTCTACAAAAAGAATTTTTTTTTTTGAGATGGAGTTTCGCTCTTGTTGCCCAGGCTGGAGTACAATGGCGAGATGTTGGCTCACCACAACCTCTGCCTTCCGGATTCAAGCGATTCTCCTGCCTCAGCCTCCCAAGTAGCTGGGATTACAGGCATGTGCCACCACGTCCAGCTAATTTTGTATTTTTAGTAGAGACAGAGTTTCACCATGTTGGCCAGGCTGGTCTTGAACTCCTGACCTCAGGTGATCCCACCCACCTCGGCCTCCCAAATTGCTGGGATTACAGGTGTGAGCCACCGTGCCCAGCCCAAAAAGAAATTTTTTAAGTTAGCTGGGCATGGTGGTGTGCACCTGTAGACCCAGCTACTTGGTAGACTGAAGTGGGAGGATTGCTTGAGCCAGGAGTTCAAGGCTGCAGTGAGCTATGATTGCACCACTGCACTCTAGGTTGGGCAACAGAGTGATACTTCATCTAAAAAAAAAAAAGAGAAAAAATTAGCCAGGCGTGGTGGCAGGTGCCTGGTATCCCAGCTACTTGGGAGGCTGAGGTAGGAGAATCACTTGAATTCAGGAGACAGAGGTTGCAGTGAGCCAAAATCACGTCACTGCACTCCACCCTAGGTGACAGAGCAAGACTCCGTCTCACACACACACACACACACACACAAAAGTAAAAAACCTGCAATAGGCTGGGTGTAGTGGTTCACACCTGTAATCCCAGCACTTTGGGAGGCCAAGGCGGCCAGATCACTTGAGGTCAGGAGTTCGAGACCAGCCTGGCCAACATGGCAAAACTCCGTGTCTACTAAAAATACAAAAATTAGCCAGTCATGGTGGTAGGCATCCGTAATCCCAGCCACTCAGGAGGCTGAGGCGGGAGGATCACTTAAACCTGGGAGGCAGAGGTTTCAATGAGCCAAGATCATGCCACTGCACTCCAGCCTGGGCTACAGAGCGAGACTTCATCTCAAAAAAAAAAAAAAATGAGCAAGTATCTTGAGTAGACATTTTTCCAAAATAGATATACAAGTGGCCTATAAGTACATAAAAAGATGCTCAACATTATTAGCCATTAGGAAAATCAAGTCAAAACCACTTTGGAAACAATTTGCCAATTTTTCAGAAAGTTAAACAGGGTTACCATATGACCAAGCAATTCCATTCCTAGGTATAAATCCAAGACAATTAAAAACATATGGCTACACAAAAGCTTGTACAGGAATGTTCATAGCAGCTTTATTCCAATACCCAAAAAATGGAAACAATCCAAATAACCACCAACTGATGAAAGGATAAACAAAATGTGGTACATCCATACAATGGAATATTGTCCATAAAGAGGAATGAAGTTAGTCTCAGCTACTGGGTATTGTGTGTGTTGGCGGCGGGTGGCGGGTTGGCGGGGGGGAGGCGGGGGGAGGTGGGAGGATTGCTTGAGCCTGGAAGGTTGAGTAACATGGTGAAACCCCATCTCTACTAAAAATACAAAAAATTAGCTGGGCATGGTGGTGCACACCTGTAGTCCCAGCTGCTCGGGAGGCCGAGGTGGGAGAATCACTTCAACTGCGAGGTTGCAGAGAGCTGAGATTGTGCCAGTGCACTCTAGCCTGGGTGACAGAGGGAGACTCCGTCTCAAAAAAAAAAAAAAG
This sequence comes from Homo sapiens, assembly GCF_000001405.40. Lineage (NCBI taxonomy): Eukaryota > Metazoa > Chordata > Mammalia > Primates > Hominidae > Homo > Homo sapiens. The sequence continues at coordinate 172,288,227 of NC_000005.10, read as the reverse complement.
AGAAAGGTTTGTGGTCGCCTAGGGCTGGGGTGAGGTAGGGGATAGAATGAAATGGGGAGTGACTGCTAATAGGTACAGGGTTTCTTTTTAGGGTGATAAAAATGTTTTAAAATTCATTGACTATTGATATTTAGTAAATATACTAAAAACCATTGACTTGTACAATGTAAATTGGTGAAGGGGTGGGGGTGGATGGGGAAAAGGGAGATATTGATTCCAGAGTAGAAAGTTTCAGTTAGGTGGAATAGGCATTAGTGACCTACTGCACAGAATGGTGACTATAATAATGCACTGTATACTTCCGAATCGTTAACAGAGTAGATCTTAAATGTTTTCACCACAAAAAAGAGAAGCACGTGGACGGGGCGCAGTGGCTCGGGGCACGGTGGCTCACGCCTGTAATCCCAGCACTTTGGGAGGCGAAGGTGGGCAGATCACGAGGTCAGCAATTTGAGACTAGCCTGGCCAACATGGCGAAACCCCATTTCTACTAAAATTACAAAAATTAGCTGGGCGTGGTGGCAGGCGCCTGTAATCCCAGTAACTTGGGAGGCTGAGGCAGGAGAATCGCTTGAACCCAGGAGGCAGAGGTGGCAGTGAGCTCAGATTGTGCCACTGCACTCCAGCCTGTGCAACAACAAGACTACGTCTCAAAAAAAAAAAAGACAAATACGTGAGGTGATGGATTTGTTAATTAGCCTAGTCATTCCACATTGTAAACATGTATCTAAACATCACACTGTGACCTCATAATACAGTTATTTGTCAATTAAAAATAAACTGGTGAAATACATGGTATATGAATATCTTAATAAAGATACTATAAAACAGTAGAAAAGCACATGTGCACACACACACACACACACACAAAGAAGGAATTGTTTTGATAGAAAGTGCTATGCAGTCAGTTTTTTTTTTTTGGAGTCAGTCTTGCTCTGTGGCCCAGGCTAAAGTGCAGTGGTGCTATCTCGGCTCACTGCAACCTCTGCCTCCCAGGTTCAAGTGATTCTCCTGCCTCAGCCTTCCGAGTAGCTGGGATTACAGGCACACGCCACCATGCCCAGCTAATTTTTGAATTTTTAGTAGAAACGGGGTTTCACCACGTTGGTCAACCTGGTCTCAAACTCCTGACCACAGGCGGTCTGCCCGCCTCAGCCTCCCAAAGTGTTGGGATTATAGGCCGAAGCCACTGTGCCTGCCTGCAGTAAATTTAGATAGATGATGCTAGACATGAAATAAAGAGTTGATGAAAAGCCCCACAGAGTTTGGAGCATTATTTTTGGCCCAATTTTACAGGTGAGGAAACTGAACTCCACATAAACTTTTTTTTTTTTTTTTTTTTAGATGGAGTCTCACTCTATCGCCCAGGTTGGAGTGCAGTGGCAAGATCTCAGCTCACTACAACCTCCGCCCTCCGGGTTCAAGCTATTCTTCTGCCTCAAACTCCCAAGTAGCTGGGACTACAGGTGCGAGCCACCACGCCTGGCTAATTTTTTTTTTTTTTTTTTTTTTTTTGAGATGGAGTCTCGCTCTGTTGCCCAGGCTGGAGTGCAGTGGCGCGATCTCTGCTCACTACAAGCTCCGCCTTCCGGGTTCACGCCATTCTCCTGCCTCAGCCTCCTGAGTAGCTGGGACTACAGGCGCCTGCCACCACGCCCGGCTAATTTTTTGTATTTTTAGTAGAGACGGGGTTTCACCATGTTAGCCAGGATGGTCTCGATCTCCTGACCTTGTGATCCGCCTGCCTCAGCCTCCCAAAATGCTGGGATTACAGGCATGAGGCACCACGCCCAGCCTAATTTTTGTATTTTTAATAGAGATGGGATTTCACCATATTGGCCAGGCTGGCCTCCAACTCCTGACCTCGTGATCCGCCCGCCTCGGCCTCCCAGAGTGCTAGGATTACAGGCATGAACCACCGTGCCCGGCCAAACTTTCTTTTTTCTTTTTTTGAGACAGGGTCTCGCTCTGTCACCCACACTGGAGTGCAGTGGCGCGATCACAGCTTACTGTAGCCTCCACCTCTCTGGATTCAGGTAATTCTCCCACCTCAGCCCCCTGAGTAGCTGGGACTACAGGCGCTCACCACCACGCCCCGCTAATTTTTAAAATTTTTTCGTAGAGACAGGGTCTCCCTATGTTGCTCAGGCTGGTCTGAAACAGCTGGGCTCAAGTGAGCTTCCCACCTCAGCCTCCCAAGGTGCTGGGATCACAGGCGTGAGCCACCATGTCTGGCAGAAACTTCAGACCATATAGCTAGTACACGATGAAAGCCAGATTCCAATCCAGGAAGTTAATCGCCAAGCTGGGGCCCTGACTGCGACACTACTCTGCCTCCTGGGAAATGTGTCTCTAAGATAAAGGCAGGGTGGAGAACATCTATTGCTGAGAATCTCTCCCCGAGATTGCTCTCTCTTCCTAGTGCCAACTCCTCAGTGCTCATCGGAGAGCCCTCATCATTTGGGTGCCTACCATCTGTTTAATAGACATCGTGGAAGTCTTGGTTTCTGCAATTTCTAGAGTGAAATTCAGGACAAAGCAATCTCTTTGCAAATATTCGGCATGCAGCTTCTCTTCTTCAGGGAAGTGATGAAGTGATGTGTCTGCCAACGTGTATAGTTAGTTGAAAATGATCAGACAGAAGGCTTTGTGACACAGCCCCTGATGTCAGAGCAACCTCTGAAAACTCATAATAACATCGATGGCATAAGCTCTTTTTGGAATGTTCAGGACCACAACTGAGGACAATACTAATTCTTCAGGATGAGTTTAATATAGCAGATTTCTATATCTCACGACATTTCTGTGTTTTAACCTAAGTGTAGGTTTTGCTTGTCTACTGTCTTTTTATCAAATGAATACAGAGATCTAAATCTTTGTATAATAGCTTGATCTATTTCTGTGAGCTAGATTTCCAGATGTGGAATAATCCCGAGTCAAAGGATATGAACATTTTTAAGGCTCTTGATCTGCATTGCCAAATTGCTTTGCAAAAAAGATTGAACCAATTTACACTCCCACCAGCAATGTATGAGAATATATTTAAATGCAAATCCCAAGCTGCAGAGCATCTCTTTCTTAGGTATTTCAACTTAAAAAATTTTTTTTCGTGCTAAGCAAAAGCTGACCCAGGATGTTAAAAAAAGAAAGTCTGATATAAAAATGGAGCAGATAGTTAAAACAGCTTCTTAGGCAGAAATAAGCTTTAGAAAGTCCCAAGCAGGATGATAACAATTTTAAGGCATCATAGCACGAAGCACAATTCTAAAGGGACCATTAACAATTTGGCTGAGATTGGAAAAGTAACCGCCAAGAATGTTGGGCGTGGTCAATGTCCCAAATTCTAGATTCGAAAAGGCAGGGTGTTTCACTCATTTACACTTCACTTTGGCCTAAGGACGATTTAAGATACCCAAAGGCAGGATCTTGATAAGTAGTATTGTTTGAATCATTAATCCCGTGAAAATGAAAGAAACCCACGCCCCCTGAACTAAGGTCAGCGTTTATCTCTTCTTTCCAGGCGTTCCATCAGGACGCCTCGCCTCTAATCTCAGTTTGGTTTGCCACAACCACTGCCTCCACCCCTAATAATGGGGCCCCATGATTTTAGGGAAGACGGGGGTGGGCAGGCAAGAGGAAGCCCAGATTCGGGGTACCAACCCACGGAGCGCCATACAAATTCAAAGGGCGCTGGGACCTCAACGTTCGGCCAGGACACTCTCCCCCGAGCCCCCGTTATTTGGGAAACCGCCCCGTCCCCGCCTGCGAGTCTTCCACGACTACTTCTCGGTTCCCCCGTGCGACCCGCTTCCACCAGCAAGAAGGAGCCGACGGCCGAGGAGCCAGGAACTCGATTTCGCCCCTTCCCACTCCTCTTTTCTCACTTTTGTTCGGCTTTTTCCTGCTTTCCCTCCCTTCTTCCCTCTCCTTTCTTCTTCCCGTCCTCCCTCTCTCCTCCTCCCCTCGCCTCCAGTCCTCCCCCCGCCTGCAGTCCTCCCCCCACCTAGCCCCCTGCGTCCCCTCCCCCGCCTCACCCTCGCCCCGCTCCGCTCGCAGCCCCGCCCGCAGCCAATCAGAGCGCGGCCTCCGGTGGCCCCGCCCTTCTCCGGCGATTCCGGGCGGGCCGGGCCGAGCCCAGGCCGTGGGTGCGGAGGGCGGCGCCGCGGGCCGGGGGCCGATGGGTCCTGGCGGACGCGAGGCGCCGGCGCGGGGCTCGCCTGGACTCGGGTGTGCGGGGCTGTGAGGGGGCGAGGCGGGCGCTGCGGCCCGCCCGGGATGGGCCAGCCCTGGCCTGGCGGGGCTGAGCCGAAGGCGAGGGCGGCGCGCGGGCCAGGCCTGCCGGGCGGGCGGCCCGGGGGTTGAGGTAGAAGTGGGCGCGGAGGAAGGGGCCGAGCCAAGGCGGTGGGTGGAGCGGCGAGGGGGGCGGAGGCTGGGCCGCGGCGGGCGAGCGGAGCGGCGCGCCTGTCCGGAGCTCGGCGGTGGCGCCGGAGGAGGCTGCAGCGGCGGCGGCGGCGGGCCCGGACGAGCGTCCGGAGGTGGCGGACGAGGCGCCGGGGGCCCCCATGGGCGGGTGTGTGGGCGCCCAGCACGACTCCTCGGGCAGCCTCAACGAGAACTCGGAGGGCACCGGAGGTAGGTGAGCGCCAGGGGGCAGCCTCGGCCCCCCATTGTTCCCGGCCAGGCCCGGCCACCTGTCCCGACCCCCGCGGGCCGCGCCGGGCCCCCGCGCCCCTTTGTCATCCCCTCTTCCACGTCATTCCCCGCGCTCCGCTTCCGGCTGTCCTGCCAGCCGCGGGGGTCGCCCCTTCCCGCCCCAGCCCTGAAGAAAAGTCCTCTGAGCGCCGGGGACGTAGCCCTTGGCCTCGCCGACCGCCCCGCTCGGCTCGGGGAAGTCGGACCCGAAGCTGCCCTTCTGGCCACCTCACTCCCTCTCCAGGCCGTTTAATTATTGAGGATCAGGATGGCGGCGCCGGGGTTGCAGAAAAGCGAATTGATGGCGGGGGGAGGGAGCTTGATGCGTTCCCTCCGACGGGCCCCGCCACATCTTTCCGCACCCTTCCTTGTTCTGTGGAGTTGGCTGGTCTCAGCTTTCCTGAGTTTCAGATGACAGCTGCCCCGGTTGGTTCCAGATTGGCCATTTAAACCTGCGAGTTTCTGGAGCTCGGCTGGAGGAGTCTCCAGTGGCCGCAGGCATTGTATTAAGGAGGGGTGGGGAAACGGTCTTCCCGGGTAAAACGTGGCTCCTAGCTAGAGCTTGGGGGTGTTAGGCCGGTGTGCTGTCGGGGTGGGCTAATCACATTCCCATCTGTCTTACGTAGAAGGAAAATATGTAGGATAAAAGTACAAGTGCAGTTGGACCCTGACTTACCCCACCCAGTAAGATCAGTACTTTAAAAGTTTTCTAACACGGGAACGCACTCCTACTTTATAGTAAAAGCGTGCTGAGGATAGGTATTTTAATTCAATCAGTAGTAGTTGTAGTATGGCAGTATAATAATAAAATTAGTTCTATCTTTATTTAAGTGACCTTTGGTTACGTCCATTCTGTAGAATATTTTAGTGATAAACAGCCTTTAGGCAAAGATGACAGCGTTGGTTTGATTTGTGACCTAATGTTAGCTGCCTTAAAATGTGCATGTCTGTAAATTTTTAAATTGTTTGGGTATGGGAGGGTTTACAACTTTTTCGTAGCATACTAACATTTAGACCAGTTGCTTGCCCTGTCACTTAAGCTCTCTTCACAAACCATGTACACCTAAGTTTTTTGGCTAATGGATTTCCTGAATTCCATGATGGTTAGCCATGCCACTTTATTAAAATCTGTGGGTATCCTGTATGACTAAATCCTGGGTAAATAACTTGAGAACTCAGTGGAAGTTGTCTTGAAAAAGTCCATGAAAATGCTACTTTATAGTGTATTTTATGTCGTAGCATTATTACTGGCATATTGAGATCCTCAGTGACAACAAAGCAGGAAGATAAAAAGGGCACGATTTAAAACAGCCTTGGGTTAAGGTGAAATTGAAGGATCAAAATGAATCTTCCTCTAATTGTGTTGATCATTAATGATTCTGAAATATATTAGTATTTGTTATCGCTAGTGTTTAGTTTTAATTAAATTTTTTTCACACTCATTTTAATATTGTCATAAGCATTTTGCTCTTCTCCGTAATGTATGTGGATTAATTTATTTAAGCCTTTTGGTAGTGTGACTTATGACCAGACAGGCATTATTAATATGGGCTTTAAAAAGCGTGAAATCTTAGCTTTGGGTAATTTATTACCGGTGGTATCCAGTTAGATAGCTATAGTATCAGTTTCTTTGAGGACTGAGTTCTCTGGACCGTAAGCTCTGCTGTACATGAAGTTTAGAAAAAGGAACATTAACCACCAAACGTCTTTATTTTCTTTTGGAGAGAGGACATGGGCCCTGATGTAACTGGGGTCAGGGAAGAGGCTCTTGTACTAAAAGGATTATTTCTGGAATTTGATTATGGACGCTTTTATTCTCCATTATTGTCATGATAATTAAGAGTTAATTGTGGTTTAGTGAAATTAACTCAGGTGTGTTGCAGGTTAACATATAAAAAAAATTATTGCTTAATAAGTAGATTGTTGGGAAGGGAAAGACTTTTTCCTAAGGGTGTTGGCACAGATCCCTAGCTTTTCAAACATACTGTGGTAGTGAGTTAGGTTTGGGGGATGTGTGGAGGGCTTGGTTTGGTTTCTCGAGACAGGTTCTTGCTTTATCGCCCAAGCTGGAGTGCAGTGCCAGATCACAGCTCACTGCAGCCTTGACCTCCCAGGTACAAGTGATCCTTCTACCTCAGCCTCCCAAGTAACTGGGACCACGAGGTGCATGCCACCGCACCCGGCTAATTTTTAAAAAATTTTTAGTAGAGGTGGGTTTTGCCGTGTTTTTAATCTGAATGTGTTGGGTTATGAAAGTTGTTTTATCAACATGGAGTCTTCACATGCTTCTTACAACGGATTTAAACTTTCCATGACAGATTTAATTACATTCACCAACCAGGCGGGGTGGCTCATGCCTGTAATCCCAGCACTTTGGGATGATGAGGCGAGAGGATTGCTTGAGCCCCAGGAGTTGGAGACCAGCCCAGGCAACATAGTGAGACTCTGTCTTTAAAAAAATAAACAAAATAATTACATTCACAGTGTTGTGCAAACATCACCATTTTAGAATAGCTTGACCCTTTCTAAATATCAGCCAGCCTTAGTAAGAAAAAGATTTTAAAAAAATCTTTTGACCATTTGAAATACTATACTTTCCTTTTTCCCTCTGAATCCATCTCTTATGTATGCAAGTAATTATGTGTATATCAATAAAACCTTCCTTATTAGGTGTATTCTTTGAAGGAATTTGGGAGATTTTTATAAGAGACTGTAGAATATGGAAGTGGCTTAATTCACATTATAAGCTTTGCATTATCTATTGTTTTGGGATTAATTGTTGTATTTTCCTTTGGCATATACCTTGCCTAGAATTTAGTTCTTGAGCTCCAGCTACTTAGGCTTTTTTCAAATAAAAAAACTTTTATTTTTATATTTTGTTATTGAGATAGTATCTTGCTCTGTCACCCAGGCTGAAGTACTGTGGCATGATCATAGATTACTGCAGCCTTGAACTCTTGGGCTCAGGCAGTCCTCTGGCCTCAGCCACATGAGTAGTTAGGCTGGTTTTTTTTTTTTTTTTTTTTGAGATGGAGTCTTGCTCTGTCGCCCAGGCTGCGGTACAGTGGCACGATCTCTGCTCACTGCAGCCTCTGCCTCCCAGGTTCAAGAGATTCTCCTACCTTAGCCTCCAGAGTAGCTGGGATTACGGGTGCCCACCACCATGCCCAGCTAATTTGTTGGTATTTTTAGTAGAGACGGGGTTTCACCAGGTTGGCCTGGCTGGTCTTGAACTCCTGACCTTTAAGTAATCCGCCCACCTGTGCTTCCCAAAGTGTTGGGATTACAGGTGTGAGCGACTGTGCCCAGCCTTTTTTTTTTAATGCCTACTTTTAATCAAGACAGGTATGTCATAGAAGTTATGTAAGATTATTTAACAGTTCTAAGCTTCCATGCTCCTAGAATTTCCCATTGTTTTGACTTTTTTTTTTTTGAGACGTCGTTTCACTCTTGTTGCCCAGGCTGGAATGCAATGGCACGATCTCAGCTCACTGCAAACTCCGCCCTCCCGGGTTCAAGCAGTTCTCCTGCCTCAGCCTCCCAAGTAGCTGGCATTACCGGCGTGCGCCACCGTGCCTGGCTAATTTCATATTTTTAGTGGAGATGGGGTTTCACCGTGTTGGTCAGGCTGGTCTTGAACTCCTGACTTCACGTGAGCCACCTCGCCCAGCCTGTTTTGACATTTTCAGACATTCTGTATGGTTCTCCGCCGTACTAGAATGACATTGTGATGCTGGAGTTGGCATTTAGGACCTCTAGACAAGCCTTTAGCCATGACATTTGCTAAGGAATTAAATCCTTTATGATTTTTTGAAATAAATATGTGGGCAGAAAATCCAATAAAATTGTATTAATTGAAGACAACCAACAACCTTTTCTTTCTTCACCTCTTTAATGAAAGTATAGTGATGTACAAAGTAACTTCTCACTTTCTGAGTGTGTCATTTATTTTGTGCATTCAGTGATATCCTAAGAGAACTGACCGTGGTGGTCACAAGTTTCCAGGTTTACAGAGAATAACTGAATGCTGGACATTCATTCCTTTAGTCTCTATTCCAGAATGTCTTGAGAACATCATGGAGTTCTTTCAGATACCCATTTATAGCAGCCTTACAGACACCTACTCAGTGAGTAACAATGGTTTTTGAATAGCATCTACCATTTATCCAGTATTTATTATGTAACAGGTCCTAACAACCTTATGAGGTGGATAGTATCTCTGTTTCATAGATAAAGATTGAAGCCAAGAGCAGTTATTACGTTAGTGCAAAAATAGTTTTGTTCTTTGCCATTACTTTTAATTGCAAAAACCGCAATTACTTTTGCACCAACCTTTAATAACTTGCTCATCATCACATAGCTTATAACTGGCAGTCAGAGCTTAAACCCAGGGCTGCTATAAAGAATGCTAGTTTTCTGTTTTTCCGTAGTTTACTTTTTTTAAATTGTGACAAAATTGGCCAGGCCCAGTGGCTTACGCCTGCATTCGCACCACATTGGGAGGCCAAGACAGGTAGAGCACTTGAGGTCAGGAGTTCAAGACCAGCCTGGCCAACATGGAGAAACCCCATCTCTACTGAAAATACAAAAATTAGCCGGGTGTGGTGGTGGCGAGTGCCTGTAATCCCAGCTATTCAGGAGGCTGAGGCAGGAGAATCGCTTGAACATGGGAGGCAGAGGTTGCAGTGAGCCAGGATCACGCCATTGCACTCCAGCCTGGGTGACAGAGTGAGACTCGGTCTCAAAATAAATAAATAAAAATAAAATTGTGGCAAAACATATAACAATTACCGTCTCAACCATTTTTAAATGTGTAATTCAGTGGCATTGATTATATTCACAACGTTGTGTGGTCCTATATGTAGAATCATAAAATATTTGCCCTTTTGTTTGTGGTTTATTTACTTACCATAAAGTCTCCCGTGTTCATCCTGTTGTAGCATGTATTTGTACTCTATCCTTTTTATGGCTAAATAATATTCCATTGTATGTATATACCGCTTTTTTTTTTTTTTCCCCTGAGGCAGAGTCTCACTCTGCCTAGGCTGGAATGCAATGGTGTGATCTCAGCTCGCTGCAACCTCTACCTCCCAGGTTCAAGCGATTCTCCTGTCTCAGCCCTCCGAGTAGCTGGGATTATAGGTACGCACCACCACGCCTGGCTAATTTTTTGTATTTTTAGTAGAGACGGGGTTTCACCATGTTGGCCAGGCTGGTCTCCAACTCCTGCCCATGTATATACCACTTTTTTTTTTATCCATTCATCTGTTGGACATTTGGGCTGCTTCCAGATTTTGGTGTGAATGATGCAGCTCTGAACTTTGGTGTACAAGTGTCTGTTTTCAATCTCTGTTTCCAGTTCTTTCAGCTGGATAGGAGTGGAATTAATGGGTCATATGGTAATTCTGTGTTTACCTTTTTGAGAAACTACCAGATTATTTTCTACCACTTATTCTTACCAGCAGTGTATGATGGTTCCAGTTTCTCTCTTTTCACCATCACTTGTTATATTCCATTTTTTAAATTACAGCAATTCTGAAGTAGTATCTCTTAGTTTGATTTGCATTTTCCTGATGAGTAGTGGTGTTGAGCACCTGTTTTCATGTCCATTTATATATCTTCCCTGGAGAAATATTTATGCCCTTTGCTCATTTTTTGAGTTATTTGGCTTTTTTTTTTTTTTTGAGTGGTAAGAGTTTTATATATTCTGGATATTGAACCCTTATCAAATATATGATATGCAGATATTTTCCCCCATTCTGTGAGTTGTCTTTTCATTCTCTCGATGGTGTCCTTTCATGTACAAAGTTGTTGTTGTTGTTGTTGTTTTTTAATAGAGTCTCGCTCTGTTACCCATGATGGAGTGCAATGGCGTAATCATGGCCTACTGCAGCCTCTACCTCCGGGGCTTAGCCAATCTTCCTGGTTCAGCCTCCTGAGTAACTGGGACCACAGGTGTGCACCACCACAGCCAGCTAATTTTTAAATTTTTGTAGAGACGGGGTCTTTCTGTGTTGTTGAGGCTGGTCTCAAACTCCCGGGCTTAAGTGATCCTCCCTCCTTGACCTCCCAAAATGCTGGGATTACAGACGTGAGCCACCGTGCATCACCTAAAGTTTGTAATTTTAATGATGTCCGATTTATCTATTTTTTTCTTCTGTTGCTTGTGCTTCTAGTTTCAGTTTTAAATATAAAGTAACCTTTCACTGATGTATACAGAATAGATCTATAGCCAATAATTTGCAAATCTCACAGCTAACATTTGCTTTCTCAACAAGAAGTGGAAAACTTTTATTTCCTCTGTCTGATCTGATGAAAGGTTATTAGCAGTGAAATGGTTTATAGAAGTTGACAATTCAGTTAACAGGGTAGCTAAAAAAGAAAAAAAGTTGACAAAAGTAATTCATAAATGTACTTCGTCTTCTTTTTGTTCCCTTCTTTTTTTTTTTTTTTTTTTTTTTTTTTTTTGAGACAGAGTCTGCTTTGTCACCCAGGGTGGAGTACAGTGGCATGATCTCGGCTGACTGCAATCTCCGCCTCCCAGGTTGAAGCAATTCTCCTGCCTCAGCCTCCCGAATAGCTGGGATTACACGTGTGCACCTCCACACCGGCTAATTTTTGTATGTTTAGTAGAGACGGGGTTTCACTGTGTTGGCCAGACTGGTGTCGAAATCCTGACCTCAAGTGATCCCCTGCCTCAGACTCCCAAAGTGCTGGAATTACAGTTGTGAGCCACTGTGCCTGGCCATTTTGTTTCCTTTTTTTGTCTTCTTCCTTCCCTCCCTCCCTTCTCTCCCCCTTTCCCTTTCTTCCGTCTTTCCCTCCCTCCCTTTCTTTGTCTCTGCACCCCAATAATGAACCTTACAAATGAAACCATCTGTCCTAAGGAACATAATGCAACTGGCCCACATTACGGGGTCAGAAGGCGTGGGGGACTGATCTTCACCCCAGTTGATTCTCCAGCTCAGTTTGTAAACTGATAGTACATGAGTCACATCCAGTCAACAAACATGCTTTGTTTGGCCTGTATGATGTTTTTAAAAACATACCAGATAGAAGAATGGTTATGAAGTAAAGCTTGGAAGTGGTTGTAAACAATACATGCATGGGGTAATCGTTGGTAAAGTGGCTGCTTTGGCTTGAGCAGTGTGTGTGAGAGAAAATGATGGAGAAACTGGACAGGTATTGCGTAGGATGTTAGTGTGGACTCTTGAAGAGAAGAGCTTATCTGATGAAAAGAATGTACTGACTGCTAAATATCATTCACTAAATATTAGTTGAACCACTATTATGTACTAGTTACTGGGATTACAACAGGGAAAAAAAAATCTCTGCCCTCAAAGGAATTTACAGTCTAGTATTTTGCTGCTCAGAAAGTTTTGTCTCTGGAGCAGCAATATCGGCATCACCTTGGGAGCATGTTAGAAATTCAGAGCCTTAGACCTACAGAATCTGCATTTTCACAAGATTCTCAAGTGATTTCCTATGTACATTAATGTTTGAGAAGCATTGGTATAGGATTGCCTAAAGTGGGAAGAGACTAGGATGAGGAACCCATGAGGGAAAAAAATGGAATGAGTTGGTGATTTATTGGATGTAGGGGTACAGAAGAGAAAAGGAGAAGTAAAATAATACCATGTTTATGAACCCGAGTGACCAGGAATATTGAGGTAGCTTGGCAGGTTTTGTGGAATAAGAAAGATATCTGGGAAAAGCCCTGGTTTAGCATTCAGTATATGTTAAGGTGTAGGTGACAGAAGAATGTCTAAGTGGAGTCACCATGTAGTGTGGTACGGAAATTTAGATAGGGAACTCCTAGATGCTTAGGGCTATGATTGTGGATTTTGGGATCAGCTGGGGTGAGTTGACTGAAGGTGTAAAAGTGAGTGACTGCTAATAAGTAAGTGAAAGAGGAGGAAAATACTAAGAATTGAGTCATGAGAGTTTCATAAAGGGTGAAGCAATAAGAAAATCACCTCTAATCAGGCCTGACACATAGTAAGTAGGTACTTAGTATACTGAATTTTGTTGAATTGGGAAAGAGGGAAGCAGGTCTCTGCTTGTGAAACTAATCTGGTTGTATTTAGAACGGATCATTCTTGTAATTTCAGAAAATAATTTGGTTCAGTAACTTGGTTCTAGCTGTGGTGTGATACCGTTTGGCTGTGTTCCCACCCAAATCTCATCCTGAATTGTAGTTTTCATAATCTCCACGTGTCATGGGAGATACCCAGTGGGAGGTAATTGAATCATGGGGGCGGTTACCTCCATGCTGTTCTTGTGATAGTGAGTGAGTTCTCACAAGATTTGTGGTTTTATCAGGGGCTTTCCCCGCTTTTGCTCGGCACTTCTTCCTCCTGCCATGTGAACAAGGACGTGTTTGTTGCCCCTTCCACCGTGATTGTAAGTTTCCTGAGGCCTCCCCAGCCCTGCGGAACTGTGAGTCAATTAGACTTCTTTCCTTTATAAATTACCTAGTCTCAGGCAGTTCTTTGTTTTTGAGACGGAGTCTCGCTCTGTTGCACAGGCTGGAGTGCAGTGGCGCAATCTTGGCTCACGGCAAACTCCACCTGCTGGGTTCATGCCATTCTCCTGCCTCATCCTCCCAAGTAGCTGGGACTACAGGCGCCCGCCACCATGCCTGGCTAATTTTTTGTATTTTTAGTAGAGTTGGGGTTTCACCGTGTTAGGATGGTCTCAATCTCCTGACCTCATGATCCGCCCACCTCGGCCACCCAAAGTGCTGGGATTACAGGCATGAGCCACCGCGCCTGGCCTCAGGCAGTTCTTTATAGTAGCATGAGAACGGACTAATACATAGTGTTTGCAAAAATTCTAGCTGTAGTTTGTTACTCATATCCTAAAACAAGGTAGACTTCTTAGGTATACAATTCCAGAATATACCAGTAGCCCTTTTGAGGTTGGTGTGGTTCAGGACAAACACATTCTCTGTAAGACTTTCTTCACCAAGAATGTCCAGTGTACTTCTTTCTTATGTATTTTCAGTGTCCATTATGTTCTACACATCATCTAACTGGTTTATTGAATTTTCTTATGCTTCTATTCTTTGGTTTGTGCCAATAGTAAAGAGTAAAACAGCCAGGTGCAGTGGCTCACACCTGTAATCCCAGCACTTTGGGAGGCTGAGGCGGGCGGATCATGAGGTCAGGAGATCAAGACCATCCTGGCCAACATGGTGAAAGCCTGTCTCTGCTAAAAATACAAAAATTAGCTGGGCATGGTGGCACGTGCCTGTAGTCCTAGCTACTTGGGAGGCTGAGGCAGGAGAATCGCTTGAACCCGGGAGGTGGAGGTTGCAGTGAGCCGAGATTGTGCCACTGCACTCCAAGCCTGGCGACACAGCGAGGCTCCGTCTCAAAAAAAAAAAAAAAAAAAAAAAGTAAAGCAAAATTGAGCATGAGGAGGACTGAAGATTTAGTCTCCTTGTATCCCTAGTGTGACAGTGGAGGTGAAAATCCTTCATATTTTCTGGGTCGGTGAGCTCTGGGGCTTTATGAGAGAGGTGCCTAAAATTTCATACCACTTTGGCAAGAGACTTTTAGGACATTTACATGATACAAAGCAGAAGGCAGCAAATTTTACTAGGAGGAGTGGAGTTGTAGGGAGGGGACCAAAAAGAAAATGGGCAGCAAGAAGATATAGGTTGAAAATACAGTGGTACTCTGGGTTGGCAGGTATGAGAACCTAATATATAGGTCAAGGAAGCTACAGTCGGAAAATATTAGACATGAGGAGAGCTGAATCCTCTTTGGGAAAAGTTTTAGCACTAGAGTTTACATTAAAAATTGACATAGGCCATTGTAGCTGCTTCCTGATCATCTACCTTCCGTTGGGCTAGTCCCACTCCATTTTCAATTTTCTATCAATAAAGGATTGGAATTTATGTTGGAAAGCCTTTTTTTTTTTTTTTTTTTTTTTTTTTTTGAGACGGAGTCTCACTCTGTCGCCCAGGCTGGAGCGCAGTGGTACAATCTCGGCTCACTGCAACCTCTGCCTCCCAGGTTCAAGCGATTCTCCTGCCTCAGCCTCTGAAATAGCCGGGATTACAGGCGTGTGCCACCACACCTGGCTAATTTTTGTATTTTTAGTAGAGATGAGGTTTCACCACGTTGGCCAGGCTGGTTTTGAACTCCTAACCTCAGGTGATCCACCCGCCTTGGCTTCCCAAAGTGCTGGGATTACAGGTGTGAGCCACCATGCCCAGCCAGAAGGCATTTTTAAAAAGAATCTTGCAGTGGGCATTATTTGAGGATGTTTTCATCTCCAATTTAAATTTATTTAGGAATCAGTTATTAGTGCTGCATTTTATGGACAGAAGCTTTAATCCATTAGACATGATAGCAATTTTTACTCTTCTAACTTTTGATAGCCCTAGTCTATAATGCCTCTTCTTTGGACAGATTTTTATTTTTATTTTTATTTTTTTTTTTGAGACGGAGAGACGGAGGCTTGCTGTCTCGCCCAGGCTGGAGTGCAGTGGCACGATCTTGGCTCACTGCAACCTCTGTCTCCTGGGTTCAAGCGATTTTCCTGCCTCAGCCTCCCGAGTAGCTGGGACTACAGGTGTGCGACTACGCCCAGCTAATTTTTGTATTTTTAGTAGAGATGGGGTTTCACCATGTTGGTCAGGATGGTCTCAATCTCTTGACCTTGTGGTCCGCCTGCCTCGGCCTCCCAAAGTGCTGGGATTACAGGCGTGAGCGACCGCACCTGGCCTCTTTGGACAGATTTTAATAGATGGGTTTTATTTTTAAATCTGGCTGATTTTATTACTGTATATGCAAAGCTTTGGCAGTACCTTCTTAGTACTACTTTACCCAGGTGAGTCCTCTAATGAGAATGTTAAATCACTAGTAACAAAATTTTGCCTTTACATTGATGAATTAATTATCTCTTGTGGCTTTTGACTAAAACACATTCTTATCTTGTTGCAGGAATACATTAGGTTTATTTAGTTTAAGCAACATAATCAAATTAACCGGACATGATCAATTTGCTGATTTAATGACTCTCATTTTTTCCTTACTGCAGACCACCTGAGTGGTTATCTTCATTTGGGGGGCCACTGCACCTGCTTCTCCCCATGCCCCTCATCCCTCGCATCTTTCCGCTTCTGCTTTTCTGGCAGTACTAGGCTGCCAGCAAGCTTTTCTTGAGTCACTGGTAGTTCAAGGACCATAGGCTGAGACTTTACTAATGCATATGTACTTAAAGATGCATTTGTGTTGGCCAAGAACAATCAGCATGTATTTGTCTTGCATCAGCTACTTTGACATGCCGTCAGCAAGAATCAAGTTTGGTTTTTAATATATCCGTATATTGAGCTGAGCGGTTAAATACTGCTGAGTGTACATTGGGTGTTGTGATGCCTATTTTTGCATGTTTGCAGTGAAACTTAGAAGTTTCCATTATTGCTCTGTTTTCTGAAGTGGAATTTCTGTTGAAGTTAGACATCTAAGAAAAATGAAATATTTACATGTGAAAATCATTCTAAATGAATTTTATTTGAGTGTGAGGTCATAATTATATTTACATTTGCTCAAAGCTTGACTAAGTAATGAATTAGTGACTTGGGCTTTTCTCATTGAGTTCTTATCCTCACAGTAAAACCTTTAAGTTTTTTTTGCATTTATTGTAGTGGGCTTTTAGGTATAAGCAAGGTGAGACTATTTCTTTGCATTGGTTCAGATCATTTCCATGCTTGTGGGCTATGTGACAGTACCAAAGGAGTGGAGTAACAAATAGTTCAGTTCATTTAATTATGAATCTGCCTTCAACTTAGGGCAACTACTTTATTTCTTGAGTTAAGATGCTTCTTCCTGAAACTTTAAAAAATAGCCTCCATTATTCCAACTCCCAGCACTTGACGCTAGCTGTAATTAGAGATGTAAATAAGGCCTGCTGTATATTAAGTACCTTATGGCCTACTGGAGGAATCATACATTTAAGTAGAACTTAGGTAAAATTTAAAAAGTCTCTAGAGCAATGAATATTATGTAAGTTCAAGGAGGAGTGGGGGGCAGGGTCAGAAAGCATCACTGAAACAGTGATACAAGAAGTTGGTCTTTTTTTTTTTTTTTTCTTTTGAGGTGGAGTCTAGCTCTGTCACCCAGGCTGGAGTGCAGTGGTGCGATCTCGGCTCACGGCAAGATCTGCCTCCTGGGGTCACGCCATTCTCCTGCCTCAGCCTCCTGAGTAGCTGGGACTACAAGCGCCTGCCACCACGCCTGGCTAATTTTTTTATTTTTAGTAGAGACGGGGTTTCACTGTGTTAGCCAGGATGGTCTTGATCTCCTGACCTCGTGATCCACCAGCCTCGGCCTCCAAAAATGCTGGGATTATAGGTGTGAGCCACTGCGCCCAGCCCAAGAAGTTGGTCTTAAAAGAGGATTAGATGAAGAAAAGGCAGAGAAGGGCATCATTCTGTATGTAGAGGAAATTACTTGTACAGAGATACGAAAAAACATAGCATTTAGGGGGATTGCTAAGAAGCTTGTAGAGGAGATAGGTGAAATGTGAAGTTATTAAGATATGTTATTAGATTTGGGAAGACAGGATTGCCATAAGTAGACCAAGTTGTGAGACTATATTATAGGTGATATTAGTGAAGTGGTTTAAAATTTTTGTTTTTTGTGCTTCTAACAGACTAATTCCCATGTAATGCTGCATTTTGCAAGGTTATTTTATATAAAATTCTAATGTAGTAGGTTATTATAGTCTAACAGAGTTTTATTCTGTTACAATTTTAATGCTACAGGTTGGACATCCCTAATCCAAAATTAGAGGATTTCAGGTTTTCAGATTAGGGATACTCAGTATGTGTGCTGCAAGTATTCAAATCTGAAAAACTCTAAAATTCTAGGCTGGGTGCTGTGGCTCACACCTGTAATCCCAGCACTTTGGGAGGCTGAGGTAGGCAGATCACGAGGTCAGGAGATTGAGACCATCCCAGCCAACATTGAAACCCCGTCTTTTACTAAAATACAAAAAAATTAGCCTGGCGTGGTGGTGGGCGCCTGTAGTCCCAGCTACTCGGGAGGCTGAGGCGGGGGAATTGCTTGAACCCGGGAGGCAGAGGTTGAAGAGCCGAGATCGCACCATTGCACTCCGGCCTGGGCAACAAGAGCGAAACTCCACCTCAAAAAAAAAAAAAAAAAAAAAAAATTCTAAAATTCTAAATACTTCTAGTTTCAGAACTTTTGAATAAGAGCTACTCAGTCTGTATTATCACAGATTAAGCATAAGAAATGTATTTAAATTAAAAATTAGGCAGGCCAGGTGGTAGCTGTGCCTGTAGTCCCAGCTACTGGTGAGACTGAGATGGGAGGATCTGTTTGAGCCCATGAGTTCAAGGCTGCAGTGAGCCGTGATTGTGCCACTGCACTCCAGCCTTGGTGACAGAGCAAGACTCTGACTCTTGTTTTTTTGTTTTTAAATTGAGACAGAGTCTTGCTCTGTCGCCCAGGCTGGAGTGCAATGGCGTGATCTCGGCTCACTGCAACCTCTGCCTCCTGGGTTCAAGCAATTCTCCTGCCTCAGCCTCCCGAGTAGCTGGGATTACAGGCATGCGCAACCATGCCCAGCTAATTTTTTGTATTTTTAGTAGAGACGGAGTTTCACCATGTTGGCCAGGCCGGTCTCGAACTCCTGACCTCATGAACTGCCTGCCTCGGCCTCCCAAAGTGCTGGGATTACAGGCATGAGCCACCGTGCCTGGCCTACCCTGACTCTTAAAGAAAAAAAAAATGTGTTTAACTTTTTTTTTTTTTTTTTTTACATGCACATGTATATGTTTGTTACAGAATCAGTCTGTGTCTCTTAGTTCCCAATTTTCTGGCATATGGAAAGAGTTTGGTCTAAGATTCTTCAGACCGCTTGGGTTTTAATCTTGTTACGAGAAGAGGCCTCCATTAGCTGTGTGCGACTCAATTTCTTTCATTGTTGAAAGGAGTGGATGGATAGACCATCTTTACCAAGGTTACATCTAATTCTTTTTTTCAAACTTAATTTTTTTTTTTTTTTTTGAGACAGGGCCTCACTCTGTTGCCCAGACCGGAGTGCAGTGGTGCAGTCTCGGCTCACTGCAACCTCCGCCTCCCAGGCTCAAGTGATTCTCCTGCCTCGGCCTCCCAAGGAGCTAGTATTACAGGCGCACACCACTACTGCCTGGCTAATTTTTGTGTTTTTAGTAGAGATGGGGTTTCACCGTGTCAGCCAGACTGGTCTCCAACTCCTAACCTTAAATGATCCACCTGCCTTGGCCTCCCGAAGTGCTAGGATTACAGGCATGAGCCACCCCGCCCCGCCCAAACTTTTTAAATGACAATTTTCAAACATACTGAAAAGTTGGAAGACTCTAGTACAGAAACCCTTGAACGCCTGTCACCTATATTAAACAAATGATATTTTGTCATATTTATATATCTTTTTTGATATATATTCCTTTGTATCTCTTTTTTTTGCACTTAACTGTTTGAAAGTGAATATAGACATCATGACACTTCAATGTGAATCTCTTAAAAGTAAAGCTGTTCTCCTACGTAACCACAGTACCATTATCACTGCTAAGAAAGATTATTATATCTTCATGTCCTCTGAGATCTAGTCCATAGTCCAAATCCCTTAATTGTCCTCAAAATGTCTTTTATAACTGGGTTTTTTTCCCCAAAATCAGATCTTATCAGCATTTAGACATTGCATTTGTCACTTCAATCTTTTAAAATCCAGAACTCCTCCTCCTCTTCTTCCCTATGACATTCTTTTTTTAAGATGGAGTCTCACTTTGTTGCCCAGGCTGGAGTGCAGTGGCATGATCTCTGCTCACTGCAACCGTTGCCTCCTGGGTTCAAGCAATTCTTCTGCCTCAGCCTCCTGAGTAGTTGGGGAATACAGGTGTGCGCCACCATGCCTGGCTAATTTGTCTATTTTTTGGTGGAGACGGGGTTTTACCATGTTGGCCAGGCTGGTCTTGAACTCCTGACCTCAAGTGATCTGCCACGCCCGGCCGACATTGACTTTTTGAAGAGTCTTGTAGAATGTACCACAATCTGGATTTGTCTGAATGTGGCCTTGTATCATTTAATGTGTGCTGTAGCCTCTGTTTTCCCTGGAAATCAGGTAGATTTAATTCTACAGAGGACGGTTGAACTATTTTCCAGGCTACAGTAGATCCACACTCTGCCCACTTCTCTTTTTCTACGTTCCAACTAGGATAATCTTTCATTATTGACCAACTCTGAGCGTTTTTCTCATTTTTCTACCCAGAAATAATCCTGCCGTTTTCTGAACTTCCTTAGTACTATTCTTATAGTACTTATCCTCTCCACTCTACTTAAAAAAAAAAACTTCTATCATGGCTATTTTTATACATTACTTATCTTCGCACAATGTAAGCTGCATTGGACCTGGGGCAGAGACTGGTTCTCTCATAATGCTTTAGGATCAATTATCATTTGTGTGGAACACATCTTTGACTTTATAATGGCATTGGAGAGAAAATAATATGCTCTTAATAGAAGCCTTTCTTAGTTCTAGAACAGAAGCTTTGTTAAATAGGACCATATAGTATAATGAAAAGATCTGGGAGTCAGAAGAACCCTTGAGTGTTCCACTCATCTTCCGTTTCTTTATGACCTTAAATAAGTCAGTTGACTTCCCAGCTTTCGTTTTTAAGTATGTTAGATGAAATCAGTAGATTCAGACATTAACATGGAATCTTCTTTTTTTTTAAATCTGACATTGAACACTAACATAGCCTCAGCATTTGATTTCTTTATATTTTATTTTGATGGTGTGGAATCAGTAAAGTCCTGGTACACAAATTTTTAAACATGATTTAGAGTCTCATAAAGTTCTGTAGGAGATTTTAAGTTTGAATCACCAACATCATCAGCTGTACTCAGAAGTTAAACACGTCATGTCAAGCAGTGTTATGACTTAAGTTATATTTTCTCCGAGTATTGTTTATTTACTTCGTGTTGATGAGAGCGTATACTGAGCAGATGCATCTGAGCTTGCTGTGACATTTAGTGGAACCTAGACATCCATGTACTGTGTTAATGTGCTCACTTGTACAGTTTTACGGGACTGGATGTATACATGCCTGTATTAACAAAAGACACCATGCAGACCTGTGGTTTTCCCAGTCAGTAACACATTTGCAGGAAGTTTCCTAAATTTCATATATGCGTAAAGATGGCAAGAAAAGCTTCATTCCAATGCCTTTACAATCATTTTGACCTGGTGGCGTAAGCTAACATGTCTCATGATGGTCTTCATATTAGAAACTTAACATTTGTGGAACTTTTTATTATAGTTCTTAAAAATAGCAAAAATAGGTTTTACAGAGTAATCTCAGTTGTGTTTATGGATCTCTGAAGCAGGTGTTTCTTTTGTTCTCTTGGGTTCTTTGGAACCAGTTTTTAAAATCATACGGTAAGATTCTAGGAAAAAACTTTTTTTTTTTTTTTTTTTTTAAAGAGAGGCTCTCTGTTACCTAGTGGAGTGCAGTGGTGTGATCAGAGTTCACTGCAGTCTCAAACTCCTGGGCGGTCAAGCAATCCCCTGCCTCAGGCAGCCTCTGGGGTAGCTAGGATTATAGGCGCACACCACTGCACCTGGCTGATCTCTAAATTTTTTTTGTATAGATGGTGTCTTGTTTTGTTGCCCAGGCTGATCTTGAAATCCTGGCTTCAAGTGATCTGCCCTGCCTGGGCCTCCCAAAGTGTTGGGATCACAGGCATGAGCTACTGCAGCCGGCCAACTTTTGGCTGCTTAATGTACTGTAAGTGAAGTTGTTTGTTTATGATGTGAACCTTACCTCTTAGCCCATTTGAAGCTGGAAATGCAACTTAGCACTATTAGGCCTACTCTCCCTATCTCTCACCTGACATTACTTTTCTCATTCCTCTCTTGGGCATAAAATATTACATCTCTTCACCTCCAATTGGAACAGACTTATGTTTAACCGTAGGAAATTCAGACAGGAAGTACTTCATGGAAAAGGGGCCGGTGGATGAGATGTGTTTGACAGTTTGGCTGTGGCTTGTGAAGTAGGAACCAGAATAGATGGCATGCCAAGAAGGACCTGGTAGGTAAAGTCTGGTGCCTGCTCTGCTGTGTTTTTAAAAATCTGACTGTTGCTTATGAAGAATGGATTAGATTCAGATGAAACCAGTGGGATACCGATGCAGTCTTTACATCCAGTGACTCACACACAGCTTCTTCCCATCTTAGGGCTTTCGTGCTGTTTCCTTTGCTTGGAATCTAAACAATGTGTGGTGCTGGCCAGGTGCGGTGGCTCACACCTGTAATCCCAGCACTTTCGGAGGCCGAGGCGAGTGGATCAGCTGAGGTCAGGAGTTCAAGACCAGCCTGGCTAACACGGTGAAACCTCATCTCTACTAAAACAAAAATTAGCCGGGTGTGGTGGCACACACCTGTAATCCCAGCTACTCGGGAGGCTGAGGCAGGAGAATTGCTTGAACCCGGGAGGCAGAGGTTGCAATGAGCTGAGATCATGCCACTGCACTCCAGCCTGGGTGACAGAGCAAGACTCTGTCTCAAAAAAGAAAAACAAAAAAAAAAACAATGGGTGGTGTTTTTTATTACAGTTCTTAAAACTAGCATGCCCCTCCCACTTGCTTTAAAAAAGTTGCTTTTAGAAATTATTTGTTTATTTATATGCTTCCCGTCTTCCCCCAGAATATTGTAAGCACTGTGAAGGCAAGGGTTTTGTCTGATTTGTTCTTTACTATATCCCTAGTATCTGGTATAGTGCCTAGTACATCTGCAATAAATAGTTGTTGCTCGAGTAAATAAGTGAAATAATGAATAGACAGTTGTGGCTCTTTTATCATTTGGAGAATGAAAAGTTTACTACTCAGTGGCCAGGCACGGTGGCTCACGCCTGTAATCCCAGCACTTTGGGAGGCCGAGGCGGTCGGATCACAAGGTCAGGAGATCGAGACCATCCTGGCTAACACAGTGAAACCTGTCTCTACTAAAAATACAAAAAATTAGCCGGGGTGGTGGGCGCCTGTAGTCCCAGCTACTCGGGAGGCTGAGGCAGGAGAATGGCGTGAACCCAGGGGGCGGAGCTTGCAGTGAGCCAAGATCGTGCCACTGCACTCCACCAGCCTGGGTGACAGAGCAAGACTCCGTCTCAAAAAAAAGTTTACTACTCGGCTTTAATTATTTCGTTTCGGTTTTGGGTGAAATTATTTTATTACTGACTGGTTCCTTAGTTGTACAGAAGCCTATTATCTTTAGAGAGACTCTTCATGGTAATTAACTCAGATTCTTATTTGCCTGGTGAAAGGAGGCAGTGATCTAATTTGCTTGTTAAGAGCTTCCTACTTATTTTGTGTTTGTGTATTTTATTCTGTCATCCTTAGCAAACCTATTGGTGACTTGACTTGCTTTGGAGGTGAACAGAGTATTAATTGCATGTATAGCCTATTCAGCCCAGTGGACTTAGGTTGCCCTTGGGCTGATCTGTGCTTATGTTGAATGAAGCAGAAATTCAGGCTTCATGTGCAGCCTATACTGAGTACTGTATGAATAGGAAGTAATGACAACAACTTTTAAGAATTCT
Source organism: Homo sapiens (assembly GCF_000001405.40). Lineage (NCBI taxonomy): Eukaryota > Metazoa > Chordata > Mammalia > Primates > Hominidae > Homo > Homo sapiens. Next base: position 172,264,919 of record NC_000005.10, on the reverse strand, counting down.
CTGAATTTTTTTTGTTTTGTTTTCATTTGTTTGTGTTTTTTTTTGAGATGGGGTCCCCCTCTGTCTCCCAGGCTGGAGTGCAGTGGCACAACCACAGCTCACTGCAGCCTTGACCTCCTGGGCTCAAGCCATCTTCTCACCTCAGCCTTCTGAGTGGCTGGGACTATAGGCGCATGCCACTATGCCTGGTTAATTTTTTTATTTTTTGTAGAAATGGGAGTCTCACCATGTTGCCCAGTTTGGTCTCTTAACTCCTGGGCTCAGGTGATCCTCTTGTCTTGGCCTCCCAAAGTGGATTACAGGCATGAGCCACGGTGTGTGCCTAGCCCCTTGGGTTGTTTTGTTTTTTTTTTTTTTTAATTTTTTAATTTTTTTTTTTGAGACGGAATCTCGCTCTGTTGCCCAGGCTGGAGTGCAGTGGCACTATCTCGGCTCACTGCAACCTCTGCTTCCTGGGTTCAAGTGATTCTCCTGTCTCAGCCTCCCAGGTAGCTGGGATTATAGGTGCCACACACCTGGCTATTTTTTTGTATTTTTAGTAGAGATGGGGTTTCACCATTAACCAGGCTGGTCTTGAACTTCTGACCTCAAGTGATCCGCCCGCCTCAGCCTCCCAAAGTGCTGGGATTACAGGTGTGAGCCACTGCACCTGGCTGGGTTGTTTTATTTTAAGCAGACATTTTAGAGGATGCTGGAGGAGGAGGAGAACAATCTGACGACAAGTTATTGCTGGTACTGATTTTTAGAATACTTGTCGAGGCTGCAGTGAGCTGTAATTGAGCCACTGCATTTCAGCCTGGGTGATGGCAAGACCCTGTTTCAAAAAAAACAAAAGTAAATAAAATACCAAAGACTAATTTTATTTCAGGGGTCAGAACTATTCATCCTTTATCTTTTTATTTGAAACCACATTTCACCATATAAAAATTAGAGCCTAGGTGTGTTGTTGCACACCTGTAGTCTCATCTACTCTGGAGGCTGAAGCGGGAGGAGTGCTTGAGCCCAGCCTGGGCAACATAGCAAGATTCCATCTCAGAAAAATTACACACACACACACACACACACACAGAGGCACGTGCATTGTATCTTGGGGGGAATTTATTACTTAAGATTTTGTGGTTTTTTTTGAGATGGAGTCTCGCTCTGTCCCCCAGGCTGGAGTGCAGTGGCGCGATCTCGGCTCACTGAAGCTCCACCTCCTGGGTCCACGCCATTCTCCTGCCTCAGCCTCCGGAGTAGCTGGGACCACAGGCGCCCGCCACCGTGCCTGGCTAATTTTTTGTATTTTTAGTAGAGATGGGGTTTCACCGTGTTAACTGGGATGGTCTCGATCTCCTGACCTCGTGATCCGCCTGCCTCAACCTCCCAAAGTGCTGGGACTATAGGCGTGAGCCACCGCACCCGGCCCCTACTCAAGTTTTTAAATATAACTTTATATAACATACAATTTAAACTTTATAACATATGTTTATGCCTTTATATTACATGCTTTGTATTATGAGATGTTTAGTAATACAGATATATTTCACAACTACTGTCCTATTTTAACTTACGAAAGTCTCCCTTCCCAACTCTTGTTATTTTCACAACAAACGTACCCTGAATACACCTAGTGACATACTTGAACTTGTATGTAACTATCTCAACAGTGATTTATAAGCAGTGGGTACATAATAAAATACTAGTTGAGGCCAGGTACTGTGGCTCGCACCTGTAATCCTAGCACTTTGGAAGGCTGAGGTAAGCAGATTGCTTGAGCTCAGGAGTTCAAGACCAGCCTGGGCAACATGGCGAAACCCTGTCTGTACAAAAAAATTAACTAGGTGTGGTGGTGCGCACCTGTAGTCCCAGCTACTTGGGGGGCTGAGGTGGGAGGATCGCTCGCCCGGAGGTCGTGGCTGCAGTGAGCCACCAAGATCATACCACTGCACTCCACTCTAGGTGACAGAGCAAGACCCTGTCTCAAAAAATAAAACAACAAAAAACTAGTTGAATGCATATGAGGGTATCTTATTGAAGTTACTAATAGCTTTTCAGTTGTTTAAGCTTCACAAATACAATTTATAGACGTGAAAAGAACTGTGATTGTTAACGATACTTTTTTTTGAGATGAGTCTTGCTCTGTCACCTGGGCTGGAGGGCAGTGGCGTGATCTTGGCCTACTGCAACCTCCACCTCCCGGGTTCAAGCGACTCTCCTACCTCAGCCTCCCAAGTAGCTGGGACTACAGGCACGTGCCACCACGCCTGGCTAATTTTTTTTGTATTCTTAGTAGAGATGGGGTTTTGCCTTGTTGGTGAGGCTGGTCTCGAACTCCTGGCCTCAAGTGATCCGTCTACCTCGGCCTCCCAAAGTGCTGGGATTACAGATGTGAGCCACCATGCCTGGCTGTTAATGATAGATTTTATTGTACATTTTTATTTTTGAAGAATCTTCATATACATTTTCTTGTTTTTTTTTTTTTTTTTTTTTTGGTGGATCTGTCTCTGTCACCCAGGCTGGAATGCAGTGGCACGATCTCAGCTTGCTGCAACCTCTGCCTCCCAGGTTCAAGTGATTCTTCTCTCTCAACCTCCCAAGTAGCTGGGATTACAGGCATGTGGCACCATGCCCAGCTAATTTTTGTATTTTTAGTAGAGATGGGGTTTCACCATGTTGGCCAGGCTAGTCTCAAACTCCTTACCTCAAGTGATCCACCTGCCTCAGCCTCCCAAAGTGCTGGGATTATAGATGTGAGCCACCGCTCCCGACCACATTTTCTTGATTCTTAAAAAGACCCTTTGACTTTAATGAAGACTGATGTTAATATTGCCATCTTATAGTGGAGGAAACTGAGGCACAGGGTCTCAGTTCTGATTTTGATCTGAAAGAGAAATAAAAAGAGTAGCCAAAACTGTAAGCTTTGTCTTCTGTTGTCTAGTTCAGTATTCTCTCCACAGATGGTGGGAGTTTTTGGTTGGCTTTTCTTTCCTTGCAGTAGAAGTGTATGTGAGTGAGGCTGGGTGTGGTGGGTCATGCTTGTAATCCCAGCACTCTGGGAGGCAGAGGCAGGCGGATCACTTGAGGCCAGGAGTTCGAGACCAGCCTGGCCAACATGGCGAAACCCATCTCTGTTAAAAATACAGAAATTAGCTGGATGTGGAGGCGCATGCCTGTAATCCCAGCTACTAAGGAGGCTAAGGCACGAGAATCACTTGAATCTGGAAGGCAGAGGTTGCAGTGAGCCGAGATCGTGCCACTACACTCCAGCCTGGGCAACAGAGTGAGACTCCATCTCAAAAAAAAAAAAGTGTATGTGAGTGGTTTCCTTCATGACAGTAAACACAGTTATTATCTAACTGGGTCAAGTAGAGAAAAGGCATAATCCTGCTCATCTTTCCTTGTGCCCCTTTACTTGATTATGTTCTTTCTCATTACCTTTGCCTTCTATCCCAGACCGAATGTTTTCAGCTTAAAACTCCATTCAAACTTGACTTGAATTTAGCAGTTGAACTGTGTGGGGAAAGAAGTTTCACTGAGGTACAAGAAAGGAAGGCATTGTTTAATCTGTAGAAAGATTAATAAAGCTTTTCTAGGCCTGTGCTCTTCAGTCACTTAGTGGAGTTTTGGAAAATCTATCTCGGTTATAAAGTGGTGCTTGTCCCAAGGGGTAAGTTGAAGGAGATTACATGAAAGTGTTCTCTCTGCTCTTAGAATATCAGCATGTGGTCATTTGGGGTCACCTTCTGGTTTTATAGTTGATAAAGGGAGCAGAGACATTCTTGCTTCCTAAAGTGTCTCACTTAGAAGCGGGGGAGGGGGAACCTACAGTGGTCCTGTAATACAGAGTTTCATTATCATAGCTTGTACGTTTTCTGATAGTCACCCATTTCTGTCTTGGGCAGTTACCTGGATAATAATTTTAACTTGATGGTGATTCAAGAGCTTTTAAGGCTTTGATCATTGTTGTATTGCTAAACATTAACACATAGGGCCTATTCAACAAACCCTGGCTTTCACTGCTCTGGGTTTGTGATGGCTGCATCATGTCACAGAGATGCTCTTCCTAAATGAATCGGAGTAGTTCATATTCTCTTTAAATTCTCATAATTTTGAAGTTAAAAGTTGAGATGTGCCACAACATATAACAAGTAGGACATAGTGAAAAGGAACTTTAGAAACAATAAAATGATACCCAGTACTTCTGGAATGGACATCGAGTGAGACACTTAACCTGTAACAAGAGCTCTGAGAATGGGAAGAATTGCTTATCTGTTATTGAATGAAATGACATGTAATAGTCTTGGAAGCAAGGAGACTATCTTTCTGCATTGTATCAGTTGTAGGGTAGGAATAGGTTATTGTGGGTGTTTGTATTTTTGTTTTTTATATTTTAATACTAAATTTGCTGACTAAAACCTATGATATACCTGCATAAGGCAAGCACGTAAGTGAAAAAATAACTTTTTTTCTATAACAAGCAATCCTTAAGCATTTTAAGAAGGGAATAATCAATAGGAACAGAACTTATACTTCAGTGGTAAAGATAGGTTTTTCAGCTGGGGACAAGGATGGATACTAACAGTCTTATCTATAGGAAGTTTCATAATTGCTCGAAGAGGGAGGAAAGAAGTTTTCAGATAAAACATTAAGAGAGAGTAAGGAAAATTAAGATGTATTAATAGAATAAAATTCAGTTTCCACCAAGAAATACTTCTGATTTAATAGTAAGTAGAAAGTATAAAATACATTGGCAGGTTATTTTTGCAGCAGAATCTCAGGGACATATTATCAAATTTTAATGAATAGGAAAATACTGATTAATGATGTCTTTGCATTTGCTCTTCTTTTTGTTGGGGGTGGGGGTGCGGCGGGGAGGGGGTGGGGGCGGACAGAGTTTTACTCTGTCACCCAGGCTGGAGTGCAGTGGCACGATCTTGGCTCACTGCAACCTCTGCCTCCTGGGTTCAAGCGATTCTCCTGCCTCAGCCTCCCGAGTAGCTGGGATTACAGGTGCTTGCCATCATGCTCAGCTAATTTTTGTATTTTCAGTAGAGACTGGTTTCGCTGTGTTGGCCAGGCTGGTATCGAACTCCTGACCTCAAGCGATCCACCCACCTCAGCCTCCCAAAGTGCTGAGATTACAGGCGTGAGCCATCCTGCCTGGCCCATTTACTGTTGATACAGTCCAAAAGCTTATTCTGACCTTGCTAAACTAAATCAATACCTTGTCAAGTTCAGATTGGAACACTTAAAAGATCACTTTTGCCTTCTAGGTAACAGAAAAAGTAAAGCTTTAATTTCCTCCCCACCCCCACACCGCCTCCACACACATACATTTATATGGTGTATACAGTACATATACACATACAACATATATACATAGAGTATATATGTTTTTTATTGTATTAATATATAGTCTCTTCTCTCTTCTATGAGAATGTGTTGAAGACTACTCCTTTCTTACTATAATTATAGTCATTTTTAAAACCCTCAACAGGGCTGGGCGCGATGGCTCACTCCTGTAATCCCAGCACTTTGGGAGGCTGAGGCGGGCAGATCATGAGGTCAGGAGTTCAAGACCAGCCTGGCCAAAATAGTGAAACCCTGTCTCTACCAAAAATACAAAAATTAGCCAGGCGTGGTGGTGGGTACCTGTAGTCCCAGCTACTGGGGAGGCTGAGGCAGGAGAATCGCTTGAACCCAGGAGGCAGAGGTTGCAGTCAGCCGAGGTGGCACCACTGCACTCCAGCCTGGGTAACATAACGAGACTCTGTCTCAAAAAAAACAAAACAAAAACCCTCAACAAAGTAGCCATTAAAGGAACATACCTCAAAATCATAAGAGCCGTCTATGACAAACCCACAGCAACATCATACTGAATGGGTAAAAGCTGGAAACATTCCCCTTGAGAACCAGAACAAAACAAGGATGCCCACTCTTAGCACTCCTATTTAGCATAGTTCTGGAAGTCCTAGCCAGAGCAATCAGGTAAGAGAAAGAAATAAAAGGTATCCTAAGAGGAAGAGAGGAAGTCAAACTCTTTCTTTGCAGATTATATGATTCTGTACCTAGAAAACCCCCTAGTCTGCCCAAAAGCTCCTAGATCGGAAACTTTAGCAAAGTTTCTGGATACAAAATCACTGTACAAAATCAGTAGCATTTCTATACACAATAACATCCAAGCCGAGAGCTAAATCAAGAATACAGTTCTGTTCACAGTAGCTGCAAAAAGAATAGAATACCTAGGAAAACAGCCAACGCGGGAAGTGAAAGATCTCTACAACAAGAATTACAAAACACTGCTGAAGGAAATCAGAGGACATAAACAAATGCTCATGGAGAGGAAGAATCAATATTGTTAAGATGGGCATACAGCCCAAGGCAATTTACAGATTGGATGCACTCCTGTCAAACTATAACATTTTTCACAGAATTTGAAAACACTATTCTAAAATTCATATGGAACCAAAAAGGCCAAAAAGCCAAAACAATCCTAAGCAAAAACAAGAAAGCATCACACTACCTGACCTCAACTATACTTCAAGGCTACAGTAACCAAAACAGCATGGTACTGGTACAAAAACAGACACATAGAACAATGGAATGAGTTACATAACCCAGAAATAAAGTCACACACCTACAATCATCTGATCTTCAACAAAGTAAGCAGTGGGGAAAGGACTCCCTATTCAATAAATGGTCCTGGGATAACTGGCTAGCCATATGCAGAATATTGAAACTGTACCCCTTCTTTTCGCCATCTACAAAAGTCAACTCAAGATGGATTGAAGACTTAAATGTAAAACTTGAAAAACCCTAGAAGAAACCCTAGGAAATACCATTCTGGACATAGGCCCTGGCAAAGTTTTTATGATGAAGATTGCAAAAGAAATTGCAACAGAAACAAAAATTGACAGGTGGGACCTAAGTAAACTAAGAGCTTCTGCACAGCAAAAGAAACTATCAATAAAGTAAACAGACAACCTACACAATGGGAGAAAATATTTGTAAACTCTATGTCCAACAAAGGTCTAAAACCCTGAATTGATAAGAAACTTAACAGACAAAAAGCAAACAACCCCATTAAAAAATGGGCAAAGGACATGAACAGACACTTACCAAAAGAAGACATTCCTGTGGCTAACAAGTATGTGAAAAAATGCTCACCATCACTAATCATTAGAGAAACGTAAATCATGACTTTTTTGGTTTTCTTGTGTTTTAAAAAAATATAAATCAGAACCAGAATGAGATACTATCACACCAATCAGGATGACTGTTGTTAAAAAGTCAAAAAATAACAGATGTGATGAGGTTGTGGAGAAAAGGGAATGCTGATGGGAATGGTATATTAGTTCAGCCTCTATGGGAAGCAGTTTGGAGGTTTCTCAAATAACTTAAACCAGAACTACCATTCGACCCAGGAATCCCATTACTGGGTATATACTCAAAGGAATATAAATTGTTCTGCCATGAAGACTCATATGTGTGGATGTTTATCATATACCATTCCCAATAGCAAAGACATGGAATCGACGTAGATGTCCATCATCAGTGGACTGGATAAAGAAAATGTGGTATGTATACACCATGGAATACTTACACAGCTATAAAAAGAAGGAGGTCATGTCCTTTGCAGCAACATGGATGCAGCTGGAGGCCATTATCCTAAGTGAATTAACACAGAAACAGAAAAGCAAATACTACATGTTTTCACTAATAAGTGGGAGCTAAACATTGAGTACACGTAAACGCAAGGAAACAGTAGTCACTGGGACCTCCTTGAGGGCAGAGGATGGGAGGAGGGTGAGGATCATAAAACTACTTACTGGGTACTGTGCTTGCTACCTGGGTGACATAATAATTTGTACTCCAAACCCCAGTGACATTCAATTTACCCACGTAACAAACCTGCACATATACCTCCGAACCTAAAAGTTGGAAGAAGAAGAAAAAAAAGAATTCATCAAGAAGGAAGAAAGTTATAATCATTTTTAGAACTTTTAGAAACTTTTTTTTGAGATGGAGTCTCGCTGTTATCGCCCAGACTGGAGTGCAGTGGTGCGATCTCAGCTCACTGCAACCACCTGCGGGGTTCAAGCGATTCTCCTGCCTCAGCCTCCCAAGTAGCTGGGATTATAGGTGTCTGCCACCACGCCTGGCTAATTTTTGTATTTTTAGTAGAGATGGTGTTTCACCATGTTGTCTAGGCTGGTCTTGAATTCCTGACCTCAGGTGATCTGCCCGCCTTGGCCTCCCAAAGTGCTGGGATTACAGGTGTGAACCACCTCGCCTGGCCGCTTTTAGAAACTTTTTGTGAAAAAAAATCAGAAAAATATCAAAAAGTGTATTTACCAGCCTGGACAACATAGCAAAACCACATGTCTACTAAAAAAAAAAAAAAAAAGCTGGGCATGGTGGCATGCACCTGTAGTCCCAGCTACTTGGGAGACTAAAAAAGGAGTATACTTGAGACTGCAGTGAGCCCTGATGGTGCCACTGAGTTCCAGCTTAGGCAATAGAGCAAGACCCTGTCTCCAAAAAAAAAAAAGTATAAGGAAAAGTAAACCACATTTATCCTACCACCTAACATAAACATTTTTATGTATACCTTTTCAGACTTAAGGTGTGTGTGTGTTGGGGGCAGGTGTTGGGAGTACATGTTCAGAGAAATTTAAAGTGCTTAATGAGGTTATCACAGCTATGACTTAATAGAGTGGCTTTACTGATGTTCTGGTTTGGGAATGTAACAGGAATGTCATTGTTAGCTTTTCATTATAGGACGGATTATCAGTATTTCTTTGACCTTGCTATCCATCTTTCTTTTTTTTTCTCTCTTTTCTCTTTTGAGACAGAGTTTGGCTTTTATTGCCCAGGCTGGAGTGCAGTGGTGTGATCTCGGCTCACTGCAACCTTCGCCTCCTGGGTTCAAGCGATTCTCCTGCCTCAGCCTCCCAAGTAGCTGGGATTACAGGTATCCGCCACCACGCCCGGCTAATTTTTGTATTTTCAGTAGAGATGGGGTTTTACCATGTTGGCCAGGCTGGTCTCGAACTCCTGACCTCAGGTGATCCATCTGCCTCTGCCTCCCAAAGTGGTGGGATTGCAGGCGTGAGCCACTGCGCCCAGCCCCTTGCCATCTATCTTAAAAGTTAAGAATTCAGCCCTGACCCTCCCACCCTGGGTCCCAGCCTCTTCTTACCCTGCCAGCCCCGGGGGACTTGCTGAGCGAGCGGCGCCGGCATCATGTGACTGCCTGGAGTTGGTGCCAGGAGCCAGAGGGGAGCCTCGTGTAGCCGGGCCCCAGCCGGAACGCAGGGAGAGCGCCTGCTGCATGCGCTCCCGTCCTTGTCCCCTGCCGTCAACGCCGCCCGGAACCCTGACATTACTGCGCTTGGGGGCCTCCAGGCAGCCCGGATCTGGGCCTTTATTTCTCGTGGGCGGCGTCCCTAACCACACCTCTCAAAGCCAAACACCAGAGCACCCTAGAAGGTTTAAAAGAATGCTCATGTTTGACCCAGTTCCTGTTAAGCAAGAGGCCCGTGGACCCTGTCTCGGTGTCATACTCATCTAATTACATGGAATCCATGAAGCCCAACAAGTATGGGGTCATCTACTCCACACAATTGCCTGATGAGTTCTTTCAGACCCTAGAAGGCCTGTGGCATGGAATACAGATGGAGCCAGTGGACTTCATGGTGAGCAAGCGGAGTTCACCTCCTTCTGCTGGGAATTTGCACCCCTCTCTCAAGTTCCTATCCTCACACCAGAGAGCCTCGCCTGGGTTGAGCATGCCTTCTTCCAGCCCACCAATGAAAATACTCATCCCCTTCTCCAGGCTGGCAGCCTTTTGACGTGCCACTTGTCCATGCCGCAGATGATGGCAGCTGCCCTCTCCTGGCACAGAATATGGAGCCTGGGGATCTTGCTGGTCATCCAGCCGGTGGTGGTGCAGCCCATCCCCTTTATGTACATGAGTCACCTCCAGGAGCCTCTCATGGTCTCCTTGAGGAGGAGGAGGAGGAAGAGGTCTTCCATGGAGGAGATGAAAAATTCCAGTAGTAGCATGCAAGTACCTGTAATTGAATCATAAGAAAATCCTGTACCAGAGAAAAAAATTAAAATAGAACCTGGGATTGAACCACAGAGGACGGATTATCCTGAAGAAATGTCACCCCCCCCTTAATGAACTCAGTGTTCCCCCCCACAAGCATTGTTGCAAGAGAATCACCCTTTGGTCATCTTGCAGCCTGGGAAGAGACCTTTACCTGTGGAATCCCCGGATACTCGAAGTGGAGGATACACAGATGTGATTACGATGGATGCAACAAAGTGTACGCTAAAAGCTCCCACTTGAAAGCACACAGAAGACGACACACAGAAAAACCCTACAAATGTACATGGGAAGGATGCACATGGACGTTTGCTCGGTCTGATGAACTAAAAAGACATTTAGGAAAACATACTGGAATCAAACCTTTACAGTGTCCGGACTGTAACCGTAGCTTTTCCCGTCCCAACCATAGGAAAAGCCACATGGAGGCCGGGCGCAGTGGCTCACGCCTGTAATCCCAACACTTTGGGAGGCCGAGGCTGGCGGATCAGAGGTCAGGAGTTCGAGACCAGCCTGACCAACATGGTGAAACCCCATCTCTACTAAAAATACAAAAATTAACCGGGCGTGGTGGCGGATACCTGTAATCCCAGCTACTTGGGAGGCTGAGGCAGGAGAATCCCTTGAACCCGGGAGGCAGAGGTTGTAGTGAGCCGAGATTGCACCACTGCACTCCAGCCTGGGCGACAGAGCGAGACTCTGTCTCAAAAGAAAAAGAAAAAAGGAATGCTAGTTTGAATGCCTCTGTGTCCTGCCTCCCATTATCTAAAACATTTTAATTTGATTCAGCCGGTCTGAATCTCTGAACTTATATTATCCAAAACTTCCATATGGTCAGTAGATGTTGTCTAATCCTCCCTCTCCTTACCATGGGTAAGACCTAAAGAATGAGAACACTTTTTTTTTCCTAGGGTTGCTAAGCAAACCATTCTTATAGATAACATTTGATGTAATAAGAACAAGGGAACATGTAAACTAACATAATCAATTGTCAGTTGTCCATGTATTCCTCAAAAGAATGTCAGAGTAAATTTATTAGAAATAAAAAAAATTTAAGAATTCATTGGGTTGGGGCCGTGCACAGTGGCTCGTGCCTGTAATCCCCGCAGTTTGGGAGGCCAGGGCAGGAGGATCATGAAGTCAAGAAATCGAGACCATCCTGGCCAAAAACGTGAAACCCCATCTGTACTAAAAATACAAAAATTAGCTGGGCGTGGTGGCGCGTGCCTGTAATCCCAGGTACTTGGGAGGCCAAGGCAAGAGAATTGCTTGAACCCAGGAGGTGGAGGTTGCAGTGAGTGGAGATCCCGCCACTGCACTACAGCCTGGCAACAGAGTGAGACTCCATCTCAAAAAAAAAAAAAAATTGATAGGGTTGATATTGACAATATCAATTTTGTCAGTTGATTTGTGAGATTTATATCTCAGGACTTAATTTGAGGAAATACAGTATAGAGCAAAAGGAATACCCAGCTAATAATGGGCAAGTTTCTCAAAGCTTTTATGAGCATAGTTTGCAAGAATATAGTATTTCTTTCTCTTTCTGAACATTGCACTTAAGTAAGCTAAAAATAAAGCTTAGAATTTTGTAATGATCGTAGTCATAGATAAAATTTAAAAATAGTAAATGGCCAGGCACAGTGGCTCACACCTGTAATCCCAGCACTTTGGGATCCTGAGGCAGGAGGGTCACTTGAGCCCAGGAGTTTGAGTCTGCACTGAGCTATGGTGGTGCCACTACACTCCAGCCTGGGTGATGGAATGAGACCTTATCTCAAAAAACAAAACAAAAGATTAAGTGACATCTAAGATACTTCTGTCTTTACCCATGAATCTAACCCCAAGAGAATACAGTTTCTAGTAGTTTTTTTCTGTTTGCTTCAAAATATCTTTTTCTTTATAACTGGATAGAATTTAACATGTTAGTCCCAGTTCTGTTTTATTGATTTCGTAGCAAAATCTTGCACAAGCCAAAATACCAATATGTTTTATGGTTCTGTTGAACCTACTTTTTGATTCTTGTCCATTCTTGAAAGCAAGAGGGCTTTGACTGCAAAAACCCATTAAAGGAGAAGGACTTGACAAATGAGTACAACTTCAAGTGAAGTATGTTTATACACATTTTTGCCAGGCTCTTAACATTAGAATTTCTCAAGCAGAGGAAACTTCAGATAGAAGAGGGAGACCACCTTGAAGAAAGAGTCCTTTGTACTCCTAGTGTATTTCTTAGGAAACAATTAGCCCTTCCCTTGATCGTGGTCTCAGGACAGGCAGCAATATGCTTTTGATAATTGATGTATGCTGCCTAGGAATTATTTTGTTTGGTCACTAAAGGTCAATGCCACCCTCGCTTTCTTTGCAGGGAGCAGGTATGTATGTTCCCTATTATGTCTGGAGGCAGAGGGAAAAGGCTTCAGTCCCCTGGGCATCATGTCTTTGGTGCCGCTGGCTTCCTGTCTGCCAATTCTATCCTCAAGCACTGGGACACAGAGGGGAAAAAAAAAGGCCAACTTCTGTGCCATCCTAAGTATGGGTTCACATCTTTGAAATCTTGTGGAGCCTTAAAACCTCTCAAATGGGTTAATAATACAGTTTCACTTTGGGAGGGTAGGTGAAAATCCAAATCCATGTTAAACATTTATTCAAGTAACTCTTAAAGCCAGGAGGCAGAATAGTCCTGGTTAAGAGCATGAACTTTGGAGTCAGTGTTGGTTTGAATCCCTGTTATACTGTTTAGTTCTATGATCTTTGAGAAATAGTTACTTCTTCTAATTCAGTGTACATTTATGTGTTTTCTTTGTGACAGGTACTGTTCTAATTGTTTGAGAAATATTACCTCGTTAAATCTTTATAACAGTCCTATGAAACAGATATTATTGTCATCTCCCTCATCTTCCTTTCCATCCTACCCAGGTAATCGACATCTTTATTTGCAAAGTCAGTTATACCCTATACTTCAGGAACCATCTGTATTCTGAATTTTACTTTCACCAGTTTTATACTTTGAGATGTTTTGTGTTTCTCATTGACGTCCTTTCTTTCAGCTTCAAGAATTACCTTTAGCATTTCTTGTAAGACAGGTCTGGTAATGAAGAACTCACTCAGCTTTTGTATAGGAAACCCTTTTATCTTTCCTTCATTCTGAAGAACAGCTTTGCTGGTTATGGTATTCTTGGTTGCCATTTTTTTTTTTTTTTCATTGCACTTTGAACATACCCACTGTCTCTGGGTGTGAAGGTTTCTGCTGAGAAATCTGCTGCTAGCCATATTGGAAGTCCCTTATATGTTATTTGCTGCTTTTCTCATGCTGCTTTCAGGATCTTCTCTTTATCTCTGATTTTTTTTTTTTTTTTTTTTTGGACAGTTTGATTATAATGTCTTGGGGCAGTGTTGTTTGGATTGAATATGATTGGACACTATAGATTTTTCTGTATGTGGAACTGTTTGATTATATTTCTGACAGGAACCCATCTTTAAATACTTTAGTGGCTATTTTCTTTTTTTTTTTTGAGATAGGCTCACTGTCACCCAGGCTGGAGTGCAGTGGTGTGATCTTGGCTCACTGCAAGCCTGGCCTCCTGGGTTCAGGCCATTCTCCTGCCTCAGCCTCCCGAGTAGCTGGGACTACAGGCACCTGCAACCACGCCCGGCCAATTTTTTTTTTTTGTATTTTTAGTAGAGACGGGTTTCACCGTGTTAGCCAGGATGAGCTCGATTTCCTGACCTCGTGATCCGCCCGCCTCGGCCTCCCGAAGTGCTGGGATTACAGGCGTGAGCTACCGTGCCCGGCCTTTAGTGGCTATTTTCTAAGAACAAGGACTTTATCTTTCTTTTCTTCCTTTTTCTTCCTTTTACTTTCTTTCCTTTTTTTTTTTTTTTTTTTTTTTTTTGAGACAGGGTCTCGCTCTGTCACCCAGGCTGGAGTGCAGTGGTACGATCACAGCTCACTGCAGCCTCGACCTTCCTGAGCTCGGGTGATCCACCCACCTCAGCCTCCTGAGTAGCTGGTACTACAGGTGCATGCCACCATGCCTGGCTAATTTTTTATTTTTTTGTAGACACAGGGTTTTACCATGTTGTCCAGGCTGGAAGGATGTTATCTTTCATGAGCACAATATAATTATCAAAATCAGGAAGGTGGATATTGACATAATGCTAATATCTACTGTATAGGCCTTATTCACAATTCACTATTATCTCCATTAATAGTCAAAGTTATCCAGGATCATGCATTGTTTAGTTATATCCCCTTAGTTTGCTTTGCTCTGAAACAGTTCCTAAGACTTTTTTGTCTTCTCATGATGTTGGCATTTTGAGGACAGGCCAGTTATTTTATACATGTCTATAAATTTGAATGCTTAGATTCCTCATTACACAGGAATATTACAGAAGTAAATTGTGTCCTCAGTGCAGCATATCAGGAGTCACAAAATGTCTGTTTTCCCATTATTGGTGATGTTAACTTTGATCATGTAGGGCAACTGCCAACTTTCTTCACTGTAAAGTTAACTATTTTTCCTAATGCAAATGATAAGTATTTTATGGGAAGATTTGAGCCTATGTAATTTATTTTATTTTATTTTATTTTTTTGAGATGGAGTTTTGCTCTTATTACCCAGGCTGGGTTGCATGGAGTGCAGTGGTGCTATCTCGGCTCACTGCAACCTCCGCCTACCAGGTTCAAGTGACTCTCCTGCCTCAGCCTCCCAAGTAGCTGGGATTACAGGCACCCACCACCACGCCCAGCTAATGTTTGTATTTTTAGTAGAGACGAGGTTTCACCACGTTTGCCAGGCTGGTCTCGAACTCCTGACCTCAGATGATCAACCCACCTTGGCGTCCTAATCTTAGAAGGGAAACCTTTCAGTGTCTCTTCATTGAGTATGACATTACATGTAGGTTTTCAATAAAGACTATTTATTATGTTGAGGAAGTTTTCTTCTATTCCAGTTTTATGAAAAAGCATTTTGTCTGATGTTTTTCTGCATTAATTGAGATGATCACGTGGGTTCCCCCTTAATTCTATTAATGTGACATATTACATATCTTCTTATGGCCTTGCAGTTTTGAGAAAAATCTCAATTGTGATATATAATCTTTATGCATTTAGATTTAGTTTGCTGGTATTAATAATTTGCTGAGGATTTTTGCATATGCTATTTTGACCAGGCTGGGCTGAAACTAGTGATCTTCCCATCTCAGCCTCCCAAGTATCTGGGGCTATGAGGGTGTGCACCACTGTGCATGGGTTTTGCGTATATCTTAAGGGATATTGCTCTGTAGTTTTCTTGCGGTGTCTTTGTCTGGCTTTAGTATTAGGGTAATGTTGGCCTCATAGAATGAGTTAGGAAGTGTTCTTTCTATTTTTTGGAAGAGATTGAGAAGGATTGCTGTTCTTTTTTTTTTTTTTTTTTTTTTTTTTCATGAGACGGAGTCTTGCTCTGTCACCTAGGCTGGAGTGCAGTGGTGCAATCTTGGCTCACTGCAACCTCCTCCTCCTGGGTTCAAGCGATTCTCCTGCCTCAGCCTCCCGAGTAGCTGGGATTACAGGCACATGCCACCACGCTCAGCTAATTTTTTGTATTTTTAGTAGAGATGGGGTTTCACCATGTTGGCCAAGTTGGTCTCGAACTCCTGACCACAACTGATACACCCGCCTCGGCCTTCCAAAGTGCTGGGATTACAGGTGTGAGCCACTGCACCCGGCCCCACTATTAATTCTATTTCTATAAGATTGGTAATAGTAGCCCCACTTTTGTTTCTAATTTTAGTTATTTGTGCCTTCTCATTTTTTCTTAGTCTAGCTAAAAGTCTTTCTATTTTGTTGAATCTCTACTGTTTTTCTATTCTGTTTTATTTATCTCTGCTCTAATTTTCTTCCCCCCCAAGACAGGCCCTCTCTCCGTGACCCAGGCTGGAGTGCAGTGGTGCAGTCATGGCTCCCTGCAGCCCCACCTCCCAGGCTCAAGTGATCTTCCAGCCTCGGCCATCTGAGTATCTGGGATTCCAGGCACATGCCACCACACCCAACTAATCTTTTTAATTAATTTTTTTTTTTTTTTGAGACAGGATCTTGCTCTGTCACCTAGGCTGGAATACAGTGGTGCATTCTCAGCTCACTGCAGCCTCTACCTCCCAGGTTTAAGTGATTCTCATGCCTCTGCCATCTGAGTGTCTGGGATTACAGGCAAGCGTTATCAGGCCTGGCTAATTTTTGTGGGTTGTTTTTTTTTTTTTAGACGGAGTCTCGCTCTGTCGCCCAGGCTGGAATGCAGTGGTGCGATCTTGGCTCACTGCAACCTTCGCCTCCTGGGTTCAAGCAATTCTTCTGCCTCAGCCTCCCGAGTAGCTGGGACTACGGGGGTGTGCCGCCACACCCAGCTAATTTTTGTATTTTTGGTAGAGATGGGGTTTCACCATATTGCCCAGGCTGGTCTCGAATTCCTGACCCCATGATCTGCCCGCCTTGGCCTCCCAAAGTGCTAAGATTATAGGCATGAGCCACCCCATCCAGCCTCGCTGTAGTCTTTATGTTCTTTTACCTTTGGGTTTTGTCTGTTCTTTTTTGGTTCCTTGAGGCATGAAGTTAGGTTATTCATTGAGATCTTTCTTCCCTTTTAATGTGACTGTTTACATTTGTGAATTTTCCTCTGAGCATTGCTTTCACTGCATCTCATAAGTTTTTGTATGTTTTGTGTTCACTTCTATTCATCTCATTGTATTTTCTCATTTTCCTTGTAATTTCTTTTTTGGTCCATTCATTGTATGAGTGTATTAGTTTTTTTATATTTGTGAATTTTCCAGTTTTCCTTATTTCTGGCTTTATTCCATGTAATCATAGAAGATAACTTTGTATGATTTCAGTCTTTTAAAGTTTATTGAGACTTGTTTTGTGGTCTAACATATAGTCTATCCTGGAGAATTTCTATGTGTTTTTAAGAAGAATGTGTATTCTGCTCCTTTTGGGTAGAATGTTCTTTATGTCAGTTAAGTCTAGTTGGTTTATAGTGTTCAAGTCTCCAGTTTGCTTATCACTATTCTGTCTATATGTTTCATACATTATTGAAAATAGGATATTGAGGTTTCCAAGTATTGTTTGTAGAACTGTATCTCCCTTCAATTCTGTGCTTGCTTCATATATTCTGGGGTTCTGTTGTATATACTTGTTATGTCTTTCTGATGAATTGACACTTTAATTATAAAACATCTCTTTTTATCTTTAGTAAAAATGTTTGTCTTAAAGTCTATTTTATTGTTTACAAATATAGCCACTGTAGTCCTCTTGTTTTTGGTGGTGGTGGTTGTTTTTTGTTTGTTTATTTGAGAAAGTGTTGCTCAGGTTGGAGTGCAGTGGTGTGATCATAGTTTTATTTTGACCTCCCAAGCTCAAGAGATCTTCCCACCTCGGTCTCCCAGAGTGCTGGGATTACAGGTGTGAGCCACTGCACCCGGCCTGTTTCTTCTGTAATTCTCTCAGTTTCTGCTTGATGTCTGTTATTAGGTACATACTTAATATTGCCATGTCTTCTTGGTGAATTGACTTTTTTACTGTTATCATTTATCTCTGGAGCTGTTCCTAGGTTCTGAAGTCTACTTTGTCTAATGATAGTATAGCCACTTAAACTTTCTTTTGATTAGTATTTGCATGATTCTATTTATCATCCTGTAATGCTAGTTATCATCCTTTTACTTCTACCTTCTCTATGTTAACATACTTACAGGGATTTCTTGTAGATAGCATGTAGTCGAATCTTTAAAACTGCAATCTTGGGCCGGATGCTGTGGCTCATGCTTGTAATCCCAGCACTTTGGGAGGCTGAGGCAGGCGGATCATGGGGTCAGGAGTTTGAGACCAGCCGGACCAACATGGTGAAACCCCATCTCTACTGAAAATACAACAATTAGCAGGGAATGGTGGTGCAATCCCAGCTACTTGGGAGGCTGAGACGGGAGAATGGCTTGAATCTGGAAGGCAGAGGTTGCAGTGAGCCAAGATCAAGCCATTATACTCCAGCCTGGGTGACAGAGCAAGACTCTGTCTCAAAAAAAAAAAAAAAAAAAAAAAAAAAAAAGCAATCTCGGCTGGGCGTGGTGGCTCACACCTGTAATCTCAGCACTTTAGGAGGCCAAGGCGGGCAGATCACTTAAGGGCAGGAGTTCGAGACCAGCCTGGCCAACATGGGGAAACCCTGTCTCTACCAAAAATACAAAAATTAGCCAGGCATGGTGGCATTCACCTGTAGTCCCAGCTTTTGGGAGGCTGAGGCAGGAGAACTGCTTGGACCTGGGAGGCGGAGGTTGCAGTGAGCCAAGATCGCACCACTGCATTGCAGCCTGGGCGACGGAGTGAACTCCATCTCAAAAAAAAAAAAAAAAAAAAAAGCAATCTCAATGTGTTTCTTTTTTAAATTGGTTTGTTTAGATCATATAGTGACTGATATGATTGGATTTAGGTCTGACATTGTATTATGTGTTTTCTGTTTGTTCCCTCCGGTTTTTTTTCCTTTGCTTTCTGTTTTCTGCCTTCATTTGGATTGTTTAAATGTTTCTATTTTTTATTTTATTTATTGAGAAATAGAATATAGATTTTCTATTTTTCATTTATAAAATTTGTATTTGGCTCTTGATTAGCATTTCAGTTTCTCTGCTAAAAACGTTCATTTGTTTCAAGAGAGTTCCCTTTCCTCTCCCACCCCACCATGGAACATGGTTATAATAACTGCTTTGAAGTCTTTGTCTGATAATTTCAACATCTGGATCATCTCAGATTTTCCATTTGCTGATTGTCTTTTCCTTTGAAAATTGGTCACATATTTCTGGCTCTTTGTGTGTTGAGTAATTTTGGATTACATCCTGGACATTTTGAATATTATGTGAGAATCTGTTTCCTCATAAAAATCTGGAGAACTTTGATTTTGTTTTGTTTCAGCAGGCAATCAATCCTGCTAGGTTCAGCCGGCATGTTCTGCCTCTCCTTTTGTTGCTAGTGGTTCTGATGTCAGTTCACTTTTCAAAGCCTTTGCTTTGTGCACAGCACATGCACCATTTAGGTTACTGTGGGGCTAAAGTGGTGGTTTATATCAGAATTCATTTCTTTCTTTTTTTTTTTTTTGAGTCAGTGTCTTACTGTGTCACCCAGGCTAGAGTGCAATGGTGTGATCTCTGCTCACTGCAGCCTCTGCCTCCAGGGTTCAGACGATTCTCCTGCCTCAGCTACCCAAGTAGCTGGGATTACAGGCATGCGCCACCACGTGGGGCTAATTTTTGTATTTTTAGTAGAGGTGAGGTTTCACCATGTTGCCCAGGCTGGTCTCGAACTCCTGAGCTCAAGCAGTCGCCTGTCTTGGCATCCCAAACAGAATTCATTTCTCAGAGAGCCATGGCTGTATTGTTTTGGGACTGTTCCATGCATGCACAGGTTAGAGGTGAACGTGGAACTTGGGTCAGTTCAAACACAGAATTTTAGGGTATTCTCTTCTTTAGCTGTTTCTGCTCTGCAGTTTCCCCCATGATCTCCATTACCAAGGAGATCTTTTATCTGCCTTATGGCTAGAAAGACAAGCTCCTCTCAGAGTTGTTACTGCCAGCACTGCCAGATGGTTCCATGTAACTGGAACTGCCTTTGGGGTAAAGTGGCAATAATAAAGTGGTAAAATGCAAAGGGAGAAAAAAATATTTTCCTCATATTCCACAGTACCCTTCTTCTTGGTTTATCTAGAATAGCTTTTCTTATTGAGTGTTATGTGTCCACTCTACCGCTACTATTGCTAGGAACTTTTAAAAGACTGCAAAACAGGCTGGGCCCGGTGGCTCATGCCTGTAATCCCAGCACTTTGAGAGGCCGAGGCAGGCGGATCACCTGAGGTCAGGAGTTCATAGACCAGCCTGGCCAACATGGTGAAACCCGTCTCTACTAAAAATACGAAAATTAGCCGGGCGTGGTGGCAGGTGCCTGTAATCTCAGCTACTCGGGAGGCTGAGGCATGAGAATCGCTTGAACCCGGGAGTTGGAGGTTGCAATGAGCCGAGATCGCACCATTGCACTCCATCCTGAGGGACTAGAGCAAGACTTCGTCTCAAAAAAGAAAAAAAGAATACAAAACAGATTTCTTCCCTCACTTCGCAGGTTTTTGGGCATAATCAGTAGGGAGATAGGCTCTAGTGGGCTTATAACATCTTGACCTGCACCAAATGTCCAGGACATTTTAACACCAAAAACTGGGAGGGGCCGGGCGCAGTGGCTTACATCTGTAATCCCTGCACTTTGGGAGGCTAAGGCGGGCGGATCATCTAAGGTTGGGAGTTCGAGACCAACCTGACCAGCATGGAGAAACCCCGTCTCTACTAAAAATACAAAAAATTAGCCGGGCGTGGTGGCGCATGCCTGTAATCCCAGCTACCCCGGAGGCTGAGGCAGGAGAATTGCTTGCACCTGGGAGGCAGAGGTTGTAGTGAGACGAGATTGTGCCACTGCACTCCAGCCTGGGCAACAAGAGCAAAACTCTGTCTCAAAAAAAAAAAAAAAAAACTGGGAGGAAAGGGGAAACAGTCTTGCGATAAATTGATTCATCAAATAAAATTTAACATTCTTTTAAAATACTGTTGCTGACTTAATAGGTTTTTGTTCCAAATAAGCACTACCCCATAGATGAGGATATTTTTTCCATATATCCATTCAGTTGTTGGATTCTGACTGTAGAATGCCCCCAATCAGCTTGAATGTTCAAGGAGCACCAGAATATGTAGGAAGATTAGGCATGGGCCCAAATAGAACGTTGCAACTAGATCAATGTTTCCTTCATGCTGAAACCCAAGATGATGGTCTCCCTTTTTGAAACCAAGGAGGCAACCCTCTTGATCTCTGATTTGCCTCCGGAGTCATTCTTCCCATGTCTTGAAAAATAGTGCACGGTTTCAGCCATATAACTCTGTGGTCGTATCCTGTAAAAAAAGAATTCCATTATCTGGGTGGCTTAAACAACGCCAAAAAAAAAATTCTTTGGGAGGCCGAGGCGGGTGGATCACCTGAGGTCTGGAGTTCGAGACCAGCCTGGCCAACATGGTGAAACCCCGTCTCTACTAAAAATACAAAAATTAGCCAGGCATGGTGGCAGGCGTCTGTAATCCCAGCTACTCAGGAGGCTGAGGCAGGAGAATCACTTGAACCCTGGAGGCAGAGGTTGCAGTGAGCTGAGGTCGCGCCATTGTACTCCAGCCTAGGTGACAAGAGAAAAACTCCCTCTCTTAAAAAAAAAAAAAAAAAAAAAAAGGTTTCTCACAATTCTGGAGGCTGGAAAGTTTGAGTCAAGGTGCCAGCTGATTTGGTATCTGGTGAGGGCGTCCATCTTCCTGTTTTACATACAGTTATCTTCTTGCTGTGTCCTCATGTGGCAAGGAAAAATCATCTCTCTTCTCTAGTCTTACAAGGTCACTAGTCCCATTCAGTGCCCCATCTCCAAATACTATCACATTGGGTATTAGATCTTCACCACACAAATTTTGTGAGGACACACATGCAGTCAGTCTATAGCCATGCTGTGGAACTTCAATTGTATAAGCTATTGGTAAGTGATATCAGGGTCAGAACTGGAGTACCTTATTGTATTTTATGTCTTATTCTTTACAGGGTTTGAGGATTTTTCCCCAAAAAAAGTTTTATTGGCAAAGTATTCAAATATTAAAAAAAAAAAAAAAAAGGCCAGTCATGGTGGCTGACACCTGTAATCCCAGCACTTTGGGAGGCTGAGGCAGGAGGCTCACTTGAGCCCAGGAGTTTGAGACCAGATTCGGTAACGTAGTGAGACCCTGTCTCTACAAAAAAGCAATTTGAAGGAGACAATGTGGGTCAATTTCGGAGCATACATAGTGACTGAAATTTATTTTAATATATTGACTAAATAAAAGTTCATGAATCCTTACTACTACTAAAAAGGGAATGAGGGAAGACCTTTTTCTTACCAAAGAATGCCAGTATTAAAGGAAGAAAAGAATGACATACTTAGAAGAATCACCCTTTTACAACCCTGTAGCTGATTCAGGTAAGGATCATCAATAGATATACTAAAGCATCATGGGTAACAGGATATTCAAGATGTCAGAGATCACCCCCTGTACTGGTAATTGCCAAGGACAAATTATACCATAGACGTGACATTCAGTTGCCTTAACCAAGTAGCCAAACTTAGCCTTCTCATGTGTTGCAATATAAAGAATATAAGACATATATGAAGAATTCTTACTCAAAATGTTTTACTTGACTCTAATAAAGCTTCTAAACCTAACTTCCTATTTATAGGTTAATACAAAGGGTAAAGGAACAAGTTAAAATGTCTTCACACATTGCCGTATATCCCCTGGAGGGCAAAACTGTCCCCAGCTGAGAAATGCTGGCCTACATCAAATGACAACACATAAGCCTTGATTGGAACTTGGTATGAAAAACATTTTGGGAAAGTTGGATAAATCTAATAAATAAGACTTCATAATAGATGATATAAATTTTTTAAAAAATTTTCTTAGGTATGACAACGATATTATAGTGTGTTAATCTGACTGTTTGCCTTGCCATAAAGGAATACCTGAGACTGGGTAATTTATAAAGAAAAGAGTTTTATTTGGCTCATGGTTCTACAGGCTGTACAGGAAGCATGGCACTGGCCTCTGTTCCTGTTGAGGGCCTCAGGGAGCTTACAATCATGGCGGAAGGCAAAGGGGGAGCCATTGCATCACATAGCAAGAGAAAAAAAGGGGAGGAAGTGCTGTATTCTTTTAAACAACCAGATCTCATGGGAAGGGCACCAAGCCATTCATGAGGGTCTTCCTCTGTTGCCCAGGCTAGAGTGCAGTTGCACGATCGCAGCTCACTGCAGCCTACATCTCCCAGGCTCTAGTGATCCTCCCACCTCAGTCCGCAAGTAGCTGGGACTACAGGTATATACAACTACACCCAGCTAATTTTTGTATTTTTTGTAGAGATGAGGTTTCGCCGTGTTGGCCAGGCTGGCTGGTTTCAAACTCCTGGGCTCAGGTGATCCTTGCATCTTGGCCTCCTAAAGTGCTGGGATTAGAGGTATGAGCCAGCACACCCAACCAGCCTTATACTTCTTTTTAAAAAAACTTTTATTTACCATAGTGAGAAAAAGTGTCAGAAAAGCCTTATACTTTCAATTATAGAGGTTTTGTAATACCTGGCCCTACCAGATATCAAACTATATTATATCATCTGCAATTATATATATAATCTAATTATATCTAATTACAGGTTTGATATATTATCTGCAACTAGAGTTAGTTTTATTTCTGGTCCTTAAATTTCTAGTTGTTTTATTCTGTCTCATTCTGCATCTAACACTGTTTCCAAATAGTGTTAAAAGTGGAGATAGTGGGCATCTTTTTTTTTTTTTTTTTTTTAATTGAGACAGAGTTTCATTCTTGTCACCCAAGCTGGAGTGCAATGGCATGATCTCAGCTCACTGCAACCTCCACCTCCAGGGTTCAAGCGATTTTCCTGCCTCAGCCTCCTGAGTAGCTGGGATTACAAGCACCACTGCGCCTGGCTAATTTTGTATTTTTAGTAGAGACGGGGTTTTGCCACGTTGGCCAGGCTTGTCTCAAACTCCTGACCTCGGGTGATCCACTCACGTCGGCCTCCCAAAGTGCTGAGATTACAGGTGTGAGCCACCGTGCCCGGCCAGCATCCTTGATTTATGTGTGTGCCTTCTTTCTCATGAATTGAGAGAAGAAAAGGTCTCTACAATAAAAAAAAAAAAAAGTTAACTCATGGTAAAGCCATTGCCCCCAACCAGTAAAATAAACCATCTTAGAGTTTATATACTACTTAAAAGTTGCAGTGGTCTCATGTTAGGTGATCATATTCTTTTATTTATATATATGTATTTATGATAGAGACAGGGTCTCAATATGCTGCCCAGGCTGATCTTGAACTCCTTGGCCACATTGATCTGTCTGCCTTGGCCTTCCAAAGTGCTGGGATTACAGGCATGAGCTACCACACCCAACTGCCTAGGCGACCATATTCTTAGTCCCAGTTTCATATAATATTATCTTTCTCAATAAAGTTGTTTTGTGGAGTGGGGAGGACTTAATTGTGTGATTTCTTAATACTTTTAATAAGACTGACCCATTAAGAAAAGTTTTGTAGGATCTGAGAGCTATAGTTAAAAAAAAAGTGGGGGGAAAAGTCTTTGAACATACTATGTTGCGGTAGGTGTTACAAAATGTTGCCTGTTTGTATGCTCAGATCATTGGTAAGGGGACTTACACTCTGAGAATCAGGGCTAGGAATTCATTATGAAGTTATGTTGATTTTTTTCCCCCCAATAAAGCTACCTCAAAAACATTGAAATTATATAAATGCCTTTAAAATTATTATGCTTCAATTGGTAAGCTTTAGGATATGAGCATGGCAGAAGTTCATTTTTATTTCATTTTTAATAAAATTATAGTACGGAAAATGATGTATCTAACTTGTCTAGGCAGATATTCCTACATACGATCCTTAGTCTCTAATTTGTTGTAGATGCTAAGTACTTATAAGTTGAAAGTGATAGGCCGTAAAGCCACATCACCCCTTCTTTACTGCAGGATTCCTCTTCAGTGATCATGGTTGGTATCTCCACAACATAGATTAAGTGGTAGATTAGATAGGGCTAGGGAGCTGCTGCTTCTCCTTTGTTAGCTTTTCCTTTGTCTGGTCATAACCATTCCATTGGCCATAGTGAAGCCCATGGATGGATCATTTCTGTAGAAAAACAATTCAGCATATGCTTTATTTAGAGTGAATCTTCGTTATTGGTTTGCTATGTGAAAATAAGCAGCCCAGTAAGACATGGAGTGCTATAATGGAAAGAGAGATCTGGGCTTTGTTGTTGCTGTCTTCTGTTTTGTTTTGTTTTGTTTTGAGACGGAGTCTCGCTCTGTTGCCCAGGCTGGAGTGCAATGGTGTGATCTCGGCTCACTGCAATCTCTGCCTCCCAGGTTCAAGCGATTCTCCTGCCTCAGCCTGCCGAGTAGCTGGGATTCCAGGTGCCTGCCACCACGCCTGGCTAATTTTTGTATTTTGGGTAGAGATGGGGTTTCACCAGGCTGGGCACGGTGGCTCATGCCTGTAATCCCAGCACTTTGGGAGGCCAAGGCTGGTGGATCACCTGAGTTCGGGAGTTCGAGACCAGCCTGACCAACATGGCAAAACCTTGTCTCTACTAAAAATATAAAAATCAGCTAGGCGTGGTGGCAGGCGCCTGTAATCCCGGCTACTCGGGAGGCTGAGGCAGGAGAATCACATGAACCTGGGAGGCAGAGGTGGCAGTGAGCCGAGATCATGCCATTGCACTCCAGCCTGGGCAACAAGAGTGAAACTCCATCTCAAAGGAAAAAAAGAGAGAGACGGGGTTTCACCATGTTGGCCAGGCTGGTCTCAAACTCCTGGCTTCAAGTGATCCCCCCTGCCTCAGCCTCCCAAAGTGCTGGGATTACAGATGTGAGCCACCGCACCCAGTGAGATCTGGACTTTGAATTTGGGCATGTGTGTTCTAGTACGGGGTGATTATTTTAAGCCATCCTTGTTACATCTTAGTTTCCTATCTGTCAGTAAGGTTGGATTATACAATCTAAGGTCTCTTCTACCTTTAAATTCTCAAACAGTAGAGAAGATTTGCATATTGTATTGATTGTTGGCATTTTAGGCATTTTAATTCCCATATCCCTATTTTTTTTTGGCAGTTAGTTGCTTTAGGTAAAGGGAATATATGTATTATGCATGTATGTATATATGTGTGTATATAGTGCATTCTAAATTTATGTGAAAATATTTGCAAGTGTCCTTTTAGTTTAGCACCGTCTGTTACGGAAGGGTTCTAATACTCCATTTTTCCCCTCACGCTATTGTCTTATGGAAACTGATGCTTCCAGTTTTCAACCGGTTAAAGCTGTTGCTTGAGTCATATCTTGATATTTTCACCTTATCCATGCATTATGGCCTCTTCTTTCTTCATTTGAAGCGTTCCATCATTAAATCAAGGTTTTCAAAGAGGAACCCAAAACAGGAAAACAATTATAATCATACTTAACTTCAGAATTGATTGTTTTTTACCAATGTCAAAATGAGTTTTTGGTAGAATGCTTTAAATTATGTAGTAAAAATATTTAAAATTATGTGTTATTTAGATCTGAGAAACAAGCCTTACTTGGGTTTTCTGTGTGTTAGATCTGTTTATTTGTTACAGAGTGGGAAGAAGTGTTTAAAGATTACAAGGAAAGATAAAGAGTGGGTGAATATGATTAAGAGGTTTCTGAGAAAAAGATGACTTTTGGACACGTTTTGAAGTAAATGTGGATTGATGGGGGAAAGGATATTTTCTGAAATAGATTGTGTGGTTTTTTAAGATTAGATTGCTTTATTAATTTTTTATTTCTCATATGTTAATTCATAGTGCACTAAAGATGGTTGGTTACCTGCAGTTTAAGGATAGAGAAGCAGAAATTTGGGGAATAAAAGATGTTTCCTGTCTTTAAATTCTTCACTGTTAGAGCATGGTACCTAGTCCTATATGCTATGTATGATTACCAAGCATCTCTCTTTTGGTATCAGCAGTCAGAAGATGTGTGAAGCAGATAAAACTGAAAGTTTAAGAGCATAAAATGAAATCTAGTTGAGTATGTATATATTCTACATCTTACAAAAATGTTTGGCTTGGTACAAACATGAGGTACTTAGCTGCCAGGCTGATAATCTATGTCCAACTACTGCATTTTCAGAAATACAGGTTTGTGGCACCACCTGAACTCAAAGGATAAGATTTGGTGAACAAATGCCTAGCAAGTGTACTCTGATAAGGCACAGGAAGTGCATGACAATCAGGGACATTTCTTTAACATTTAAGGAAGGGATTGGGAAGTTATGAAAAGAAGAAAGACAGCCTGTATATTTTTGCCAAAGGACTTAAAGATGTTATTTCATATAGTACCTCTAAGTTCATTTTTACTTATTTAGCAAACATTTATTTGCAGTTTTATTGTATATCATGCATTATTATGAGTGGTTTATGAATATGAACTTAAGTCCTCTTAACAAACCTAAATATTTTCATGTTTTCACGAGAGGATAGTTCAAATGCTTTTGCTAAATGCTAATTTTTTTCCCAGTTATTTATTTAACAAAGGTTAGTCATTTAGTTTAACATGAAGCTTCAAGCCTCAGATTTTGTAGTGAAAATTCTGCACTGCTCTGTGGTTTCACTAAAGTAATTATGTTACAAAGATTTAATCATTTTTTAACAGTGGACATTCTATAGACAGATATTCTATATTATGTTTATAATACAGGCAGAAATAGGCAAATAAAAGTAATCTTCCTTCATGTCACAAATTACCGTGAAACTTTTGACAGCATGTAGATTTGAAAATGCATTGGGGGCCTGTCGCAGTGGCTCATGCCTGTAATTCCAGCACTTTGGGAGGCTGAGGCGGGCGGATCATGAAGTCAAGAAATTGAAACTATCCTGGCCAATATGGTGAAACCCCGTCTCTACTAAAAATACAAAAATTAGCTGGGCATGGTGGCGCGGGCCTGTAGTCCCAGCTACTCGAGAGGCTGAGGCAGGAGAATCGCTTGAACCCAGGAGGCGGAGGTTGCAGTGAGTCGGGTTGCACCAGTGCACTCCAGCCTTGGCGACAGAGCAAGACTCTGTCTCAAGTATATGAATAAAATTTAAAAATTAAAGAAAATGCATTTGGAATGATTTTCCTTAAGCAACATAAACGCATCATCTGTTCTTTTTGTGGGACTTTGTTCATCTATGCTTAGTACAAACGGAGAGAGGTGAAATGAACCTACCTCACATTTGTAAGGAAGGTGTTTTACAATTTTTCCAAGGTACTTTGTACCCTTATTATGATTGTTTTTCTGTTGGCTTCCTCTTTTCAAAGTCCTCTTCCTTTCATTTGCTTTAGTTTTAGGTCCTGAGATTCTTCTGTAGAGGTTTTGTTGTTTTTGTCCATGCTTTGTAATTCTCTCAGAATGACAGGAAAAATTATACTGAGTTATCTCTCATGCATTTAATACATATGAGGCCAGATAATTCTGTAGAAATACTCAGACCCAAAACTTTATTCAGATAAATATCTTACTGAGTCTACCTGCTTACTGTGCCATCTTCCACTTCCTGGTCAGTAAGCTGAGTGTTGTCTGTAAACTGTCTCTAACTCATCTAAATGATAATGTAGCAGAAAATAAAATCAACCTTGCATTCCATCGTGTTGGTGCAATCAGTGGGTTGTGGTTATCAGACCAGATTCTGAACATCTTCTAGAGAATTATGCTCTAGCTGCATTGTCTGTATTATTTGGAAGAGGTAGGGAAAAATCATTAGTATAGACTGTGTTTCTCGCATTTGAATTAAATGTAATAGGCACATCTGTAGTGTTACTCCCAGTAGACACTCAGTACATATTTGTTGATTAAATAAAGAGACTTGGATTCTGTTTCCAGCTCTGCTACTAAATGGATGGGTTTCCTATTCTGCTTCCTCACCCTTTCAGAACTCACCTGTTTTGCATTTCACTAGGACAAGTTAGAGGGCAAAAAGTATTTGAGTTAATGCTGAGTGTTTTAAGTGGAAAACAGCTAGTCTTTTGGTGTGCCACCCTGAGGGGAGAGGACAGAAGAGACCTGACCTGGCAGTCTTTATTGAGAATATAGCCTGGAGAGTAGAGATAGCCCAGGGTCTGGAGTCATTTTATTTTCTGTTTTGCATAGTCCAAATTTCATCTGGCCCTGGGCCAATGAGGGAGTAGTCAATTTCATGGATGCTTTAGAACCAGTTTGAGAGTGATTTCTTTAAAATTGGTATTCTTTCTGCAATTAAATATAGAACATTGAATTTTGACACACACCCTCTCTCCTTCCCACTCGCTGTGTCATTTATTTCCCACCCACTCTTTTCCAACACTCTTCTTATCTTTTCATCCAGCTTCAATTTTCTTTCTATCTTCTATCCCATCTATCAAACTATTCCCTATCTATAGCACTGTATAATCTTACAGAGCCATAAATAAGAATGGCTCTGTAGGTCAGTATGACCCATGGAAATAGATCACAGATAATACACCAGATGGTTATCTGGGTGCAAGGATGCTGCATCAGGCTTATTCCAGCGCTACTACTACATAACATTGTCTAAGGGGAGATGCTGCCACTTGCCCTCTGTTTTCTTCTTCTCTTGGGTTGAAACTAGGGTAGGGTATCATAGTTCTTCTGCTCCTTGTGGTTCGGAGCTAATCCCTTGGCCTAGCATCAAAGATTATCTCTTTTACTCCCAGTTCCTCAAAAAAACTAAAGTACTGATTCTACCCTTTGTAAATTAGTTCCTGTTTGAGTTCCAGAGAAAGGTATTTACAGTTCCTTGACTAAAGTCCAGAGAGTAGAATGCTAGAGGAAGCATTCCTCTAATCAGTTTGTTCATGATTCTGGTGGTTTGGCTCTTCTTTCTCTGGGCACTGAAAAGCAATCTTTTACCTCTTTGGATTTTCTCAGTTCCTACTTCCTGGTTTCATGTGTCCAAGCTACTATTGCCGTTTGCTTCCCCAAGTATCTTGCCTCTCTTTCGTGGTGTCTCTTGACTCTCATATCCTGCTCTTACAGTCTGATGAAACACTTACCTTCTAGGCAGTTCTTTTAAAATGAACAAAACAAAACTTTCATTGTATTAAAAAAAAATTTTTTTAGAGCAGTTTTAGATTCATAACAGAATTGAGAGGAAGGTACAGAGATTTCCTATGTACTCCCAGTGCCTACACATACATAGCCTCCTTTCCCTGATTATCAGCATCCTCCACCAGAGTGGTACATTCATTACAACTATAATTCTCTGGGGTTCTTTAGTTTTGTTTTGTTTTGTTTGAGATGAGGTTTCACTCTCGCCCAGGCTGAAGTGCAGTGGCATGATCATGGCTCACTGCAAACACAACCTCCCAGGCTCAAGTGATCCTCCCACCTCAGCCTCCCAAGTAGCTGGGACCACAGGCACATGCCAACATGCCAGGCTAATTTTTGTGTATTTTGTAGAGATGGGGGTCTCACCATGTTGCCCAGGCTAGTCTCGAACTCCTGGATTCAAGCCTTCCTTCCACCTCAGCCTCCCAAAGTGCTGGGATTACAGGTGTTGAGCTACTGCACTCAGCCTGTAATTCTTTTTAATGATCCTGTGGAGGGTGTACTGAGTGGAAAAGAGCTACCAATTTGTTTTGCATAGAGCAGTCTAATGTCTCTATTCACTTTTGTAGTTCCAAAATGTGTTAGAGGAATTTCAGGATGCACAAATTAGCTAGCAGGTAAATTTCTGGCTGTGATTTTGATGAAATAATCCAAGAGAGGAATGACCAGATAACTTTTGATACATATTTTATAAATTTTGGGTTTGATCTCAGTCTTTTATTTTTCTTTTCAGTTGCTCTAGGTCGTAACCAGCCTTTGAAAAAGGAGAAACCAAAATGGAAAAGCGATTATCCTATGACAGATGGACAACTACGCAGCAAGAGGGATGAATTTTGGGATACAGCACCAGCTTTTGAAGGCCGGAAAGAGATTTGGGATGCCTTGAAGGCTGCTGCACATGCTTTTGAGAGCAATGATCATGAACTGGCACAAGCAATCATTGATGGTGCAAACATAACATTACCACATGGTAGGTTTGGTGTTCCTCAAGGACAGAGGAAACATAATCAACTTTGTTTCTGATAGCAAGAAACCAAATGGGAGAGTGTTTTTCCTTGCTATGAATTATTCTAACTTTTTTTTTTAATGTAGCAAGGAATAGCATTCCTCTTTTTTTCTTGTACATCTTTCAGCTGGAGACAGGTTTTACTTTGTGTGTTTGTGTATACGTATATATTTTTTAAATATATCTTAATTTCAGAAAAGAACTCTTGATCATCTAAAAAGTTTCCGTGTAACCTAGTCCTCCATGAAGACCTCTTCCCTCCACCCTCCCACCCCCACCTCACCAGCCTCATCACCCTGCCAATCTATTGGAGCTTCCACTTCACTGGTTTCCTCCTAGCAGCGCTAGAGATAGAGTCTCAGTTTAGATTTTGTAAGCTGTAGAGACTCAGAGGATGCTCCTTTTAGTCATTATACTTTCTCATCAAGCCTATTTTTGGCATAATAAGCAAACCCAAACTTAGAAGAGAGTCCCGCATGTTTTTAAGGACAGTTTTCCATGATTGTAGCCCTGAGCATTCTTAGGAACTTCTCTCTTTTGCGTAGGAATGTGACTCTTTTAAGGATAACTGTAAGCTTTGAATGTTTCTGGGGATACACATATGCTGGTCCATGTACATACTCTTGTTTGGTCTCCTTGATGAGAAACATAGAATTTTTCATGCTACATTGAGATTTAGGTGTTAATTTTGTATTTACATTTTTTATTTCTGTATTAATATTCTCAGTATTCTCTTTAGTTTTTCAACTTAATATTTTTCAAGGTTGTCTTTTCAGATTTATGTAATAACCACCTTGCATTGATTCTATTCATTATTGTACCTTCATTGTTTTAATCCCTAGTACGTCCCTTTATCTACATTCTTAGAGGAACAGGGACTTTCATTGTTGAACCATCTGCTTTATGTCCTTTCACTGTATGTCACATGAAAGATTTTTATTTTATTCTATTCTTTCTCTCTCTCTTTTTTGAGACAGAGTCTTGCTCTGTCGCCCAGCAGGCTGGAGTGCAGTGGTGCACTCAGCTCACTGCAACCTCCGCCTCCTAGGTTCAAGTGATTCTCGTGCCTCAGCTTCCCCACCATGCCTGGCTAATTTTTGTATTTTTAGTAGAGACAGGGTTTCACCATGTTGGCTAGGCTGGTCTCAGCTCCTGACCTCAGGTGATCCGCCCGCCTCAGCCTCCCAAAGTCCCTTTTTTTAAGAGACAGGTCTCACTCTGTCATCCAGGCCAGAATGTGGTGGCACGATGACAGCTCATTGCAGCCTCGACCTCCCAGGCTCAAGAGATCCTCCCACCTCAGCTTCTCAAGTACCTGGTACTACAGGCACGCATCACCATGCCTGGCTACTTTTTTTTTGTTTTTTTGTTTTGTTTTGTTTTGTTTTTGGAGAGGCATGGTCTCACTATGTTGCCCAGATGATCTCGAACTCCTGGGTTCAAGCAATCCTCCTGCCTTGGCCTCCCAAAGTGCTGAGGTTATAAGCATGAGCTGCTGTGCCTGTCCAAAAGATACTTAACTTACTATATCCTTGCCAGATTCCAAATCACCATTAGTTTTCTGATTAATTGTGCTTCCAAGAAACATTCCTTTTTTTTATAGCTGCCTGTTCTTTATTATGAAAGTTTATTAGCATAGTCTTCTGTTACTAATGTTATTGAGCACCCACTGATCACTTTTTCTATACATGTATAAAAGTGATCCCTCCTACATTTGAAGAATTTATAATAGAATGCCATTTTCAGTGTGACTTTTTTTTTTTTTTTTTATGACAGTGAGTCTTTTTCTTTTGGTAACTTATTTTATTTTTTTGAGACAGGGTCTCACTCTGTTGCCCAGGCTGGAGTGCAGTGGCATGATCTTGGCTTACTGTAACCTCCACCTCCCAGGTTCAAGCAATTTTCATGCCTCAGCCTCCCAAGTAGCTGGGATTACAGGCATGTGCCACCAGGCCCAGCTAATTTTTGTATTTTTTTGGTAGAGACAGGGTTTCGCCATGTTGGCCAAGCTGGTCTCGAACTCCTGGCCTCAAGCTATCTGCCTGCCTTGGCCTTCTAAAGTGCTGGGATTACAGGCGTGAACCACTGCACCTGGCCTCAGTATGACTCTTTAGTCTCAGTTTTCATGGATAGTCTCTAAATTCTTTACTTTTATGTGATTGTGGGTTGGGAGGTGGTGGGCATCATCTTAGTCCATTTACCTTTTTCAGTTTTGTAATTATCGTCTTCACATACCACCTTTATATAATATAACGGGAAGGAGTCTTCCTTTACAGATAGTTTTATCATCCTTCTCTTTTTGATGTCCATATCCTCTGTTTTTCAAGGAAAATATATGTTTTATAGACCTGTATGTGGGTGGAAGAAGAGTCATGTATGTGTGATTGTGTGAGATCCAGAATGTTGGAACTTTGAATTTCTTATTTTGTACTTATAATTACCTACTGGAATACCTGGTTGCATTCTGTATATTGTAGCCTTGTTTAAAACTTCATGGAGCCAAAATAATTCTGTTGCATGTAAGGCTGGGCCTCATGCATATCCTACTGGATGTGGGCTCAGATCACTAAAGACCGAAGTCCCTCATTTCTGCTTCTCTGTGGAAAATGTTCCCGGCAGCCCTGCCTACCAGCAGATCAGGGAGAATTACTCTCAGAAATTCAAGAATTATTAGATGACCCTCTATTTGCCTTCTATGTTTAAGGAATATTTTCTCCTTAAGCATGGAATAATCAAGCCAATATCTGAGCCTTTCTCTTTCAAAACTCTGTGATAACATTCTGGGTGTTAATATTGTCACTGATGCCCTTGATTGACTTCTTTTGTTCATATCTGAATCTTGTCAATATTTCTTGGACCTTATAATTTTGTTTTGTCATGTACTCTAACTCACCATCAGTTTATAACTAGGCTATTGTATGCTTTTACCTAGACTGGCTTAGTGGTATTGCCGAAATTCTTTCCATCTTTTTTGTGTAATTACATGTTTGAGATTTTACTTTGGGCCAGGTGCAGTGGCTTACGCCTGTAATCCCAGCACTTTGGGAGGCCGAGGCGGGCAGATCATGAGGTCAGGAGATCGAGACCATCCCGGCTAACACGGTGAAACCCCGTCTCTACTAAAAATACAAAGGATTAGCCAGGCCTTGTGGCAGGCGCCTATAGTCCCAGCTACTCAGGAGGCTGAGGTAGGAGAATGGCATGAACCTGGGAGGCGGAGCTTGCAGTGAGCCAAGATCGCGTCACTGCACTCTAGCCTGAGCGACAGAGCAAGACTCCGTCTCAAAAAAAAAAAAAAAATAAGGAAAAAAATAAATTTTACGTTGGGCACATTGTGTTGTACTACCCCTTAAATATCCCAAAGCACTTTATATTTTAAGTTTAAATTATTACATAGACTTGACTATTATTTAGTTCAGCCTTCGATATCAGTTCTGGTCTTACTTCTGTCCCTACCGTATTACTTGCAGCTATGTGACTTTGGGCAAATCACATCTTCTGTAAGCTTCAATTCTCTCATATGTAAAATATGGATAATAACTGTCTTACCTCTTGGGATGGTTATGTTGATTAAATGTAATAATAATACATGTAAGTTGCTGATCAGAGTGCTCGGTATCCAAAAAGCACTTAATAAATAGTAGTGCTGATGATCTTATTTCCTGAACTCTGAAATTAACAAGTAAATTCCCTGTTCCCTGCACCAAAATTCTGAATTAAGATTTTGATCATTTTCTAAATTACCTTTTTTTTACTTTGAGACGGAGTTTCACTTTTGTCACCCAGGCTGGAGAACAAAATAACATTACACTTTTTAATTATCTTCCTCTGTTAATAACAACAGTAAGTCTTCAGTTTATTCTCAAGTGGCAATGGGGAGAGTAAGAGGGAACTTGTCATAACTACCTGTTAATTTTATGTATACACATACGGTATATTTTCATTCTGGAAATTGACTCATATTGAGAATGGTATGAACATATACTGTGGAAAAAGCTCCCCATGTGATTTTGATACCTGATACCTTTCAGTTTTCCTGCCCTGTATGAGCTTTATTTTTCATGATTTGCACAGCATGTTATTACTCATTGTCTTACATTTCTTGAAGAGCTTATTTCCTTTTTCTCATTGATTGCTATTTTGCCATTACCTACAAATCCTAAAAATATTCTTAATATAGTAGTTTACCAGTGAAACCAGGTTATAGATCAGCGATTTGCCAAATTGGTATAAACAGGGTAAGAAAAAAACAAGTAGTATTTACACTTTTCACACAGTTTCTGCGTAGTGAATAGTATACTATTCAGTACTTTTCAGTGAAAGCTTATTCAGAAACTGTATCTTGTAAAGATGAACACTTAATGCTTTTTGTAATTATGATATAGAAGATTTAAAAGGATTTTAGGAATTGCCTACTCCCTTCCTCTACCTCCTGATTTTCTAGAAAGGTAGTTGTTGATATTTGTTTAGCATCTACAATTATCTCATAATTTTTAGTGAGAATATTTTTTTCTAACATGTTTTCCATATCCCAGCAATTCAAATGTAAAAGCTCTCCTCTTTTTTTTTTTTTTTTTTTTTTTTTGAGACGGAGTCTTGCTCTGTCGCCCAGGCTGGAGTGCAGTGGCACAATCTCGGCTCACTGCAAGCTCCACCTCCCGGGTTCACGCCATTCTCCTGCCTCAGCCTCCCAAGTAGCTGGGACTACAGGTGCCCGCCACCATGCCTGGCTAATTTTTTGTATTTTTTAGTAGAGACAGGGTTTCACCGTGTTAGCCAGGATGGTCTCGATCTCCTGACCTTGTGATCCACCCGCCTCGGCCTCCCAAAGTGCTGGGATTACAGGCGTGAGCCACCGCGCCCGGCCAAAAGCTCTCCTCTTAACCTCCTTGAATAGATGGAGTAGCTAGCTACTCCCTGTTACTCAAACATGCTTTTCTACTGGGAAACAGAAATTTAACCCCGATTTTATTCATACTTATTATAGCTAAATGTTGCCAGTTCTTCAGTTTGGCTTTTGAGGACCTGTTTCTTTTGTCCTTAACCCTTAAGGGGTATGGGAGGTAGAAAAAGTTAATTCTTAAAAGGCTTAACTTTTTTTATTTCTCTTTTCACAGAGTTTGTTATATGGGTGGGAAAGGAGTTCCCCAGAATGTTTTTTTCTTTATCTCAAAATATATTAAATGTGCATTATGTATAATAAAATTTAATTTTTAAAAAAACAAAGGCACTTACAAATAGTATAAAGAGCATGTTATGTGTAAGGAACCAACGTATGAAAAGAACACTGGACTGAGAATCAGCAATAAAATACTCAAAACTCATGTTGTTTTTATTTATTTGTTTATTTTATGTTTTTTTTTTGGAGACGGAGTCTAGCTCTGTCACCCAGGCTGGAGTGCAGTGGTGCGATCTTAGCTCACTGCAACCTCCACCTCCTGGGTTCAAGCAATTCTTGTGCCTCAGCCTCCCGAGTAGCTGAGATTACAGGCGTGCAGCACCACGCCCATCTAATTTTTGTATTTTTAGTAGAGACCGGGTTTCACCATGTTGGCCAGGGTGGTCTCAATCTCCTGACCTCAAGTAATCCACCCGCCTCGGCCTCCCAAAGTGCTGGGATTACAAGCATGAGCCACTGTGCCCACCCTCATGTTTTGAATTAACATTTAATTCTTATGCCTGTAATAATCACCTACAACAGTCCCCACTTTGCACAGATCAGAAAACTGAAGCACAGAGAGGTTGCATCATTCTTCCAAAGTATAAGTCTTGAAATTGGGATTTGAACTCAAGTCTTGGATCTAACAGTAACTAATGCAACTCAATGCCCTGGACAAGTCATTTCATCTCCCTGTTCTGTAAAGTGATTGCACAAGTAATCTTCAGTGTTTAGTCTATGTCTAATGTTTTAGTTCTCTTGCACACTATATAGAATACTTCAAAATAGTAAATTGTTAAAGAGAAAAAAGCAGATTCTCTTAAGACATAGACAGGAAATGCATGTGTGTAAGTCTTGTTTCTATTTTCCTTAGGTGTTTCAGAGGCCCATTAAGAAGCAGGCCATGAATTTTGGTGTGGACTTTAAAGGTTCCTATAAGAATTTTTCAGGCCGGGCACAGTGGCTCATGCCTGTAATCACAGCACTTTGGGAGGCCGAGGTGGGTGGATCACAAGGTCAGGAGTTAGAGACCAGCCTAGCCAACATGGCGAAACCCCGTCTCTACTAAAAATACAAAAATTAGCCGGGCATGGTGGCGGGTGCCTGTAATCCCAGCTACTCGGGAGGCTGAGGCAGGAGAATTGCTTGAACCCAGGAGGCATAGGTTGTACTCCAGCCTGGACGACAAGAGCAAGACTCTGTCTCAAAAAAAAAAAAAAAAAAAAAAAAAAGAATTTTTCATTTGGCCAGGCATGGTGGCTCACGCCTATAATCCCAGCACTTTGGGAGGCCAAGGCAGGCAGATCATGAGGTCAGGAGATCGAGACCATCCTGGCTAACGTGGTAAAACCCCATCTTTAATAAAAATACAAAAAAAAAAAATTTGTCATTTAACAAAGTTGATAAGTTAATTCATAAACATAAAGCTTAGGAATGAAGGCATGAAGATATATTTACACAGGAGATGGGATTTTTGCTGGACTGTTGTAGGGTTTAGAAATGAAACAGGGCCTTAATGAAGGATCTGATGACTGATTAACCATAAAATAAATGTTATATCATTTTTCTCTCTCTATCCTCAAACAAAAATAGTTCAGGGTTATAAATTGTAAATGTATTCCAGTTTATCTATTCCTCTGCTGTTGTCAACCTTTTCCTTCAATTAGAGCAATAAAGGCCTGCAAACAGCTGAGGTGAGAGGTTGTCCCTGAGTCAGAAGGCTTGTCTCTGAAAAAGACCTCCTTTTTATGCCATTCTGGGTAGTGGAGGTAGAGGAACACAGGGTTTCTACATGGTCCCAGGGAGTATGTTATACCAACTTCTACTTCTGTAAAGCCAGATCAGCTTTACACAGACCACTGTGTTCAGGTGCTTCTAGTCTGCTCCGTTATCCCTTTTAGAGCACTGAAAATTAAAGATCAGTGTCCCCCTTAAAACTGTGGTGCAGTGTTACACAAGCTCTTAATCATGATTTGCCTATCATATGACATCAACAATACGTATACAGGTTAAGCCACTTTTCACTTATGTTTACTAAAAGAGATGATAGACTTAGTTTTTCTGAATGCCACAGTCTTGATGGCTGATTTGGTAGTTTGAGATAGCTAGACCTTCTGCTTCTAAAGCCTGATTGCCAAATATAAACTTGATATATATAATTCCTAGCAAAGTGTTTGCATGAGAGAACCTGTAATTTGTTAGCATCTCTACAATCCTGAAAAACTGCACCTAATATCTGGATGGAAGATAATTTTGATGGCCCTTTGGACATTAGCGTGATTCAGGTTTGTGGAAATCACCATGAAATATGAAGCCATGGACTCAAATTTTATGAAACCTTGATCCTTTGTGACATTGCTGTTGGTGAGTGTTGCCCTGTAAGTCTGATTGTGAGATTTAAAACTTGAGAGAAGACAGCCAACATTATTGTGTGTTTTCTATGGATTTGTTATATGTACTAGGCAATTTTTCACGTGCTTATTATTTAATCTTTACAACAACCTCATAAGGGAGGTACTATAATTCTTGAGGAAACAGACTCACCATATCCAAAATCAGGGTCTAATTCAAATGGGGTATGACTGACTCCAAAGCCATGGTTCCTTCTGTCACATCTCACTGCTTCTCCTGGAGTCTTATGTCCCTCTATCAGGCTTGAGTATACTGCCTGAACGTTCACCCCACTGTTTCATTCCTTTGCATTCATTCTGTCATTTAAGTGTTCTCATTCTTTCTAGCAATTTCCAACTCAAATGTTAAGGCTTTCCTTTGCCATAGCAGGGCATGGTTGTCAAGAAGTAGAAGAGTTCATAATACAAAAATTTGCCAGGGTTGGTGGCAGGCGCCTGTGGTCCCAGCTACTTTGGGAGGCTAAGGCAGGAAAATTGCTTGAGCCCAGGAGGCAGAGGTTGCAGTGAGCTGAGATTGTGCCACTCTCCTCCAGCATGGGCAACAGAGCAAGATTCCATCTCAAAAAAAAAAAAAAAAAAAAAAGAGTTTAAGCCTTCTGACTCAGAAAAGAGAAGTCAGGAGCAAAGACATTTATTCCTACAGGCTTTGGAAGAGGCTCATAGTGCTACAAAAACCTTGGAGTTCTAGAACATTGCCCCTTTCTTTCATTTTGGGAGGATGGTTTTCTGTACCAGATTGCCAATGTGATCTAAATATTAAGTTTGTCAACTTTATTAAGTACACTAAACAGCATGTTTAAAGTGGACAATTTGATCAGCTTTGACATGTATGTAAAACTCCCCACAGTCAAGATAACAAACATTTCCACACCCTTGCCAACACTGATTTTTAACTTTTACAAACCTGTTCATGTAGTGATGCAAGTCTCACGTGGTAAAAATTTTTAACACTGAGCTGCAGTCTTAAGGGAGTGAGAGCACAGAGGGATAAACAGTGAGGCCTTTAAATGCTGAAAAATACATCTTTCTTTCTAACCTGAAAGAGTGCTTGAAAAACAGTATAAAGCATTAGTCCTAATGACATTTAGTAAAGGTATTATTTGTCAGCTAATTTAGTTTTATCGTTCTTATTTTCTAGTGGAATATTTTGAGGCATAATTTAAAATAATCATAGAAGAAAACAGTTGACCAAGGAAAACAGAAACATCTGAGCCAATCATCTAGATAAAAGATAAATAGAAACAACTTCAGAAAATTATGTATGAAATCAGAACAGAAGGTGGAGACTTGGCAGCTTTCTTCCTACCATGAGGAGCTTTCAGGGCTTCCTGGCCTGGGGAAATGATGCCCTGGCACTTATTTAGCCTGGTGGCCATCTGTCTCTGCTAGGACATGAAGCCAACAATAGGTTTGTGAGAAGAAAAAAAAAAAACCTGTCCTTCCACAGAGGATGTTAGGTGAGCAATCTGAGCAATCCTGGCTAGAACTATGTTAAAACTAGTAATTGCTAAATGAACTGCACCCTTGGTGGCCAGTGGGTGGTAATTAAAACGTTTTGTAAAATTTTTTGTAAATTTTGTAAATGTAGCTAAAAGTGATTTTGGAAAAATAGAAAAATCCCTGTATTGTCAACTTTTAGAGTGTTCCTTCCCTTTTGTCTTTAAACATACTGGGTTTCTTTAAGCAAACCTCTCTGTATTAGTCTGTTTTCACACTGCTGTAAAGAACTGCCGGAGACTAGGTAATTTACAAAGAAAAGAGGTTTAATTGACTCACAGTTCCACAGGGCTGAGGGGGCCTTAGGAAACTTACAATCATGATGGGGAAGCAAGGCCCCAAAGGGGAAGCAAGGCCTCCACATGGCAGCAGGAGAGAGAAGAGTGAGGAGCAGAGCGGGAAGAGTCCCTTATAAAACCATCAGATCTTGGCCGGGCACAGTGGCTCATGCCTGTAATCCCAGCACTTTGAGAGGCAGAGACAGGCAGGTCACTTGAAGTCAGGAGTTTGAGACTAGCCTGGCCAACATGGGGAAATCCCATCTCTACTAAAAGTACAAAAATTAGCCAGGCATGGTCGTGCATACCTGTAATCTCAGGAGCCTGAGGCTGAGAATTGCTTGAACGTGGGAGGTGGAGGTTTCAGTGAGCTGAGATTGTGCCACCTCACTCCAGCCTGGGCGACAGGGTGAGATTCTGTCTCAAAAAAAAAAAAAAAAAAAGAAATGAAAAACATCAGATCTCATGAGAACTCATTATTATGAGAAGAGCTTGGGGGAAGCCGCCCCTGTGATCCAGTCACCTCCCACCAGGCCTCTCCCTAGGTACGTGGGGTTTATGGGGATTGCAATTCAAGACGAGATTTGGGTGGGAACAGCCAAACCATATCACCATCTATCTTCTGTTGCCTCATTTTTTTCACACACTCCTCTCAAATACTGTAGATGAGACAGTCTCATACCACTGAAACTTCTCTCAGTCACCACCATTTCCTTTGGACCAACTTGGGCTCATCTTCCATTTCCTTCTTTAAGCTGTCGTAGGCATCATCAGCAAATATGTTGTTGGGCTCCACTGGGCACTGTTGGTTTCTTGCTCCTTGTGATTCATTTCTCAACTTTTTATCCCTTGTATTTGTCCTCTGTCTTTTGTTCTCTTCCAAGTACATTTTCTCCTTCTCATTAACTAATCTGAGAACCAATCCCTGTACCTCCTATACATTATACACTTGGCCACTTACTAGTTCTGTGACCCTGGACAAAAGTTACTTTTTTCTACTTCATTTTTTCCATCTGTAAAATGGGTATAATAGACTTAGCTTATAATGCTTTTGTAAGGATTAAATGTTAATGTATGTAAAGTGCTTAGACAGGGTTAGCAGTGGTAAACACTCCTAAGTGTGCTTTTTTTTTTTTTTTTTTTTTTTTTTTTTTTGACTCCGTCGCCCAGGCTGGAGTGCAGTGGCGTGATCTTGGCTCACTGCAACCTCTGCCTCCCGGGTTCAAGCAATTCTCCTCCATCAGCCTCCTGAGTAGCTGGGATTACAGGAGCGTGCCACCACACCTGGCTAATTTTTGTATTTTTAGTAGAGACAGGATTTCACCATGTTAGGCTGGTCTCGAACTCCTGACCTCGTGATCTGCCCACCTCAGCCTCCCAAAGTGCTGGGATTACAGTCATGAGCCACCATGCCTGGCCAAGTGTTTGCTTTTTTATATTAAATCTTATATGTTGGAAATTATTGCTCTCCAAACTTATTTTACCCTGACTTTTCCCAATCTGCTTTAGTTACTTGTAGATAATTCAGCTGAAGCATCTCATGGAACCTGGAACAATTAAAAGCTAAGCAAAGAATCTTGTAACCCTAAATTATCTATTTTTTTCTGTCATTCTAGTTTCCAGTTACATGATTCTTTCCTTTTGGTTTTCCATCAAATCTAACCCATCATTTGGTTCTGCCAGTTGTCTTTGAATTTCTCAGTTCGATTTTTTTCCATTTCTGTAGTCAGGCAGTCATGATTCCAATCAATCTTTCTTTCTTCAGGTAGATGATAAAACAGTCAGCAGGCTTTGTCTTGTTCACCAGCACAACCTTAGCACCTAGAATATCCAGTAGCATAAAAAAGGCAGTGAATGTTGAACGTTTAATTTACCTGTTTTAGCCACCTCTGGTAATTTCCTGTAGTATTAAGCCTAAACTCCTGAATCTTACTATCAGATTTCACTATTACTGCCTATTTATTAATTTTACATCATTGAATCTGTATTCTACTTCAACAAGATCCCATGGTATTCTCTATTTACCTTGTAATTATTCTTATTTCCGTATCATTTCTATTTCTTGGGATTCCCTTCGTTGCTATTCTGTGTCTTTAAAGTCATGCCCAGAACACACCATTTCTACAGAATTCCTCCATGTTGGCTCTACCAACTCTAGTCACTTTTCTGTTCTGCGATGTCTCAGCACGTGTGTTTGATTTTCATTGTATCCATTTGTACTAAAATCTGTGATGGGTATGCTGTATCTGCTCATGAATATATACTCCTGGAGATCAGGGACAGTCTTGGTTCTCTTATAACCTTCTTTCCTCAGTGCCAGTGACATGCCCTACTCACTTCAAGATGATCAGTAAATGTCTATGCAGTGACTCTAGAATGTAAGAATTGTTTCCTATTGATCCTTGTTAGGTCCTAAAGAGGTTGTGTGGTAGAAACCACTACTATCAGTGCAGCTTTGTCTTTAGTAGAGATTTGGGGCCATTAAATAGTGGAGGATTGGGATTATGTTGTTCAAGAGTCTAGGCCACAAAGGGGCCAGTCTGCTCTGAATAGGTAATTCTGCAGTAATAGTCAGTTATGGACTACAATGTAAAATATTACTTTTATTGATATTTTGTGATCCCAGATATTTAATTCAGGAAGAGCGTAACCCATAAACCTATAGACTTAAAATGAAATCAAATAGTATTTGAGTAAATGATATGGATTTTTCCCTTATTTATTTTAGAGTGGTTTTAAGTTCACAGCAAAATTAAGTGGAGGAAACAGGGATTTCCCATATACCCCCTGCTCCCACACATGCATAGCCTCCCCCAGTATCAACATTCACCATTAGAGTAGTTCATTTGTTAAAAATAAATGAACCTACATTGAAACATCATTATCACTCAGAAGTCCATAGTTCAGGGTTCACTCTTGGTGTTGTACATTCTGTGGGTTTGGACAACTTTATATTGACATGTATCCATCATTAATAGTATCATACAGAGTAGTTTCACTATCCTAAAAAATCCTCTGTGTTCTACCTATTCATCCCTGCCTCCCTCCTAACCCCATGGCAACCATTGACCTTTTTTATTGTCTTCATAGTTTTGCCTTTTCCAAAGTGTGAAATAGTTGGAATCATATTATATATAGCTTTATCACACTATCTTCTTTCAGTTAACTAATATGCATTTAAGTTTTCGCCATGTGTTTTCATGACTTACTGGCTCACTTATTTATTTTATTATTTATTTATAGATAGGGTCTTACTCTGTCACCCAGGCTGGAGTATGGTGGCCCAGACATAGCTCACTGCAGCCTCAAACTGCTGGGCTCAAGCAGTCCTTCCTCAGTCTTCCAAGTAGGTGGGACTACGGGCAGGCACCACCATGCCTGGCTAATTTTTTATTTCTTTGGTAGAGATGGGGCCTTGCTATGTTACCCAGGCTGGTTTTGAACTGTTAGCCTCAAGCCATCCTCCCACCATAGCCTCCCCAAGCACTGGGATTGCAGGCATGAACCACTGTGCCCAGCCTCCTTCTGGGATTTTGATTGGGATTTGCATCAAATCTATAGACTAAGCTGGGAAGAACTGACATCTTGACAATATTAAGTCTTCCTATCCATGAACATGGACTCTTTCTCTATTTAGTAATTATTTTATCAAGGTTTTTTGTTGTTGTTGTTTCATATCTTATACATACTTCGTTAGACTTATACCTATTTTCTTTTTGAGGTGCTAATGTAAATTGTGTTTTAAATTTCATATTCTACTTGCTCATTGCTGATGTATAGGAGAGCAGTTGACTTTTGTATATTAACTTTGTATCTTGCAACCTTGCTATAATTGCTTATTAGGTCTAGTAGCTTTTATGTTGATTCTTCATATTTTTTACATAGACAGTATGTCATCTGCAAACAAAGGCAGTTTTATTTTCTCCTTTCCAATCTGTATACCTTTTCTTATCTTGCCTTGTTTTATTGCATTAGCTAGGACTTCCAGTACAGTGTTTAAAAGTGGTGATGAGAGGGGACATCCTTGTCTTGTTCCCAAATTAGTAGGAAAGCTTTGAGTTTCTCATCATTAAGTATGTCTTAGCTATAAGGTTTTTTTTTGGTTTTTTTGTTTTTTAAAGGAATTTTGCTCTTGTTGCCCAGGCTCACTCCAATCTTGGCTCACCACAACCTCCACCTCCTGGGTTCAAGTGATTCTCCTGCCTCAACTTCCCGAATAGCTGGGATTACAGGCATGTGCCACCACGCTCGGCTAGTTTTGTATTTTTAGTAGAGATGGAGTTTCTCCATGTTGGTCAGTCTGGTCTTGAACTCCCCACCTCAGGGGATCCACCCGTCTCA
Organism: Homo sapiens; assembly: GCF_000001405.40. NCBI lineage: Eukaryota > Metazoa > Chordata > Mammalia > Primates > Hominidae > Homo > Homo sapiens. The sequence continues at coordinate 172,220,400 of NC_000005.10, read as the reverse complement.
GCCTCCCAAAGTGCTGGGATTAGAGGCGTGAGCCACCGTGCCCGGCCAGCTATAGCTTTTTTGTAGATATTCTTTATCAAGTTGAGGAAGTTCCCTTCTATTCCTAGTACAGATAATCAGTGTTGGGTTTTGTTATATGCTTTTTCAGCATCTATTGATATGATCATGTGATTTTTCTTCTTTAGCCTATTGATATTATGGATTATATTAATTGATTTTCAAATGTTGAACCAGTCTTGAATACTTGAGACTAAAGCCTACTTGGTCATGGTGTATAATTATTTATACAGTGTTGAATTTGATTCATTAATATTTTGTTGAGGATTTTTCAGTCTATGTTCATGAGAGATACTGGTCTGTAGTTTGCTTGTAATGTTTGGTTTTGGTATTAGGGTAATGTTGGCCTCATAGAATGAGTTAGGAAGTACAGTGGTACCCCCTTATCCATGGGGAGATATGGTCTTGGAATGTTCCAGAACCCCCAGTGGATGCTTGAAACTGTGGATAGTACTGAACCTAAATGCTGTCAATTGGAACACAATTCTTTTCTTGTCTTCCACCCACAAATGTAATGCCTTTTTCAACTGAACTAATCGCTTGTCACGCACTGTGTTTTAACTATTGGGGTTTGAAGTGCCACGGCAAAACTAGCATGAGTTTTTTTTCCTTCTTTACAACTTCACAAATAAATTTGTTCTTATCTTAGATCTTAGCAACAGCAACATACAGATGTTTTTCTTTATTTATTTGAGAACCTCCACATTTTCATTTTTAAAAAGTACTTTATGGCTTCTTTTGGCATATCTAAATTGCCAGCACCACTACTCTTGTGTTTTAGGGCCATTAAAGCACTGCGATAATGCAACTGTTGATCTGATAACCAAGATGGCTACTAAGTGATTAATGGGCAGGTGGTGTATACAGCATGGATACTCCGGACAAAAGGTTGATTCATGTCCCAGGCCAGATGGAGCAGGATGGCAAGAGATTTTATCATGCTACTCAGAAAGTTAAATAATTTAAAACTTGTGAATTGTGTGATTCTGGATTTTTCCATTTAATATTTTTGGACCACAGTTGACCAAGAGAAATTGAAACTGCAGAAAGCAAAACTGTGAGTAAAGGGAGGAATGCTGTATTCTCTTTTCTGTCTAATGAAAAAGATTGCAGAGAATTGTTATAATTTGTTTCTGAAATGTTTGATAGAATTTACCAGTGAATCCATCTGGAATTGGTTCTTTTCTGTTTTGGAAAGTTATTAATTATTGATTCAATTTCTTTAATAGATGTAGGCCTATTCAGATTGTCTGTTTTGTGTGAGTTTTGGCAGATTGTGTCTTTCAAGGAATGGGTCCATTTTATCTAGGTTTATCAAATGTGTAGGCATAGAGTTGTTCATAATATTCTTTTATTATCCTTTCAACATCTGTGGGATCTGTAGTGATGTCTTCTCTTTCATTTCAGTAATTTGTGTCCTCTTTTTTTCTTGGCTAGCCTGGGTAGAGGCTTACCAATTTTATTGACCTTTTGGTCAATAAAACCTTGTAATCAGCTTTTGGTTTTGTTGAATTTTTTTTATTTTTATTTTTTATTTTTTTTTTTATTTTTTTATTTTTTTTTTTTTTGGTGACAGGGTCTGACTCTTTGCCCAGGCTGGAGTGAGATCACAGCTCACTGCAGCCTCAAACTCCCAGGGACAGGCATCCTCCCACCTCAGCCTCCTGGGTAGCTGGGACTACAGGCATGTACCACCACACCCTGCTAATTTTTGCATTTTTTTGTGCAAAAATTTTTTTGTGCATGTTACCCAGGCTGGTCGCAAACTCCTGGACTCAAGCAATCTACCTGCCTTGGCCTTCCAAAGTGCTGGGATTACAGGCATGGGCCACAGTGCCCAGCCTTGTTGATTTTATTTTTTCATTGATTTTTTCCATTTCATTGATTTCTATTTTAATTTTTTTTCTGCCTACTTTGGATTTAAATTGGTTTTCTTTTTTTAGTTTCCCAACGTGGAAGCTTACTGATTGATTTTAGATATTTCTGCTTCTCTAATATGGGCATTATAAATTTCCCAGTGATCACTGCTTTTGCTGCATCCTGACATTATAAGTTGTTTTCCTTTAATTAAAATATATTTTAATTTCTCTTGATTTCTTCTTTGACCCCATGTGTTATTTAGAAATGTATTGTTTAATATCCATGTATTATGGATTTTCCAACTACCTGTCTGATATTCATTTCCAGTTTATTTCCATTATGGTATAAGCAGACATTGTATGATTTCATTTTGTTATGGTGTGTTTTATGTTTCAGAATGTGGTCTCTCTTGGTAAATGTTCCATGTGAACTTGAGAGAAAAATGTGTAGTTTGCTATTGTTGGATGAAGTAGTTTAAACATGTTCATTACATTAAATCGATTGATGGTATTGTTGCATTCAAGTATGTCATTTCTGATTTTCTTCTTGTTAGATCTGTCCATTTCTGATTGAGGGGTGTTGAAGGCTTCAACTATAATAGTGGATTCATCTCTTTCTCCTTGTAGTTCTGTCAGTTCTGCCTCACATACTTTGCTGTGCGGTTAGGTGCATACCCATTAAACATTATTATTTCTTCTTGGTCCAGGCATGGTGGCTCATACCTGTAATCACAGCAAGCGAGGTAGGCGGATCATTTGCCCCCAGGAGTTTGAGACCAGCCTGGACAACATGAACATGGCAAAACCCTGCCTCTACCAAAAAATACAAAAATTACCTGGGCATGGTGGGGTATACCTGTAGTTCCAGCTACTCATGAGACTAAGGCAGGAGGGATAGCCTTGAGCCAAGGAGTTCAAGGCTGCAGTGAGCTGTGATCACACCAGTGTATTATAGTCTAGGTGACAGCAAGACCCTGTCTCTAAAAGTAAATAAGAAAAAAAATTTTTTTAAAGGTTCTTATTTCACCTTTGCTTATTTCTTTCTTTCTTTTTTTTTTTTTTTTTTGAGACAGAGTCTCGCACTTTCGCCCAGGCTGGAGTGCAATGGCGCGATCTCGACTCACTGCAAGCTCCGCCTCCCGGGTTCATGCCATTCTCCTGCCTCAGCCTCCGGAGTAGGTGGGATTATAAGCACCCACCACCATGCCTGGCTAATTTTTTTTTTTTGTATTTTTACTACAGACAGGGTTTCACTGTGTTAGGCAGGCTGATCTTGAACTCCTGACCTCAGGTGATCCACCCACCTTGGCCTCCCAAAGTGCTGGGATTGTAGGCATAAGCCACCACGCCCTGCCTCTCCTTCAGTTTTGAAGGATAATTTCACAGCATACAGAATTATAGGTTGGTGGTTTTTTCTATGCTTTAGATATTTCACTTCACTGTATACTTGCATGGTTTCTGAGAAGTTGGAGTTGGATATGTAATTCTGTCTTTGTTTTGTGTGTGTGTGTGGTTTTTTTAGGCAAGGTCTGTCTCTGTTGCCCAGGCTGGAGTACAGTGACACAATCTCGGCTCACTGCACCCTTGACCTCCCGGGCTCAAGTGATCCCCTCACCTCAGCCTCCTGAGTAGCTGGAAGTACAGGCACACACCACCACACCCAACTAATTTTTGTATTTTTTGTAGAGACAGGGTTTCACTATGTTGCTCAGGGTGATTTTGAACTCCTGAGCTCAGGCTATCTCAAGCTATCTGCCCATCAGAGCCTCCCAAAGTGCTGGATTACAGGCATGAGCCACCGCGCCCAGCCATTTAATTCTTTTCTTTGCTCCTCTGTGGGTAAGCTGTTTTTTCCCCCCTCTGGCTTTTTTTTTTTTTTTTTTTTTTTTTTTTGGGTAGAGATGGGGTTTCCCTATGTTGCCCAAGCTGGCCTCAAACTCATGGGCTCAAGCAGTCCTCCTACCTTGGCCTCGCAAAGTGCTGGAGTTATAGGCATGAATCAGTATGTCTGGCCAGGAGTTTTTTGTTTGTTTTTTTTTTTAATCTTTGATTTCCTGAAGTTTGAAAATGATATGCTTAGATGTGTGTAGTTTTTCTGACATTAACTCTGGAAAATTCTCAGTCATAATTATTTCAAATATTTTTCCTGTTTCTTTCTCTTGTTCTTCTCTGCTGTTCCCATCATGTGTATGTTACACTTTGGTTTGTCCCACAGTTTCTGGATACTCTGTTTTGTGGTGGGGTTTTTTGTTTTTAGATTTCATGGGGTTTTTTGGGCTTTTTTGTTGTAGTTGTTGTTTATTTGTTTTTTGTTTTTTTTGAGACAGTCTCGCTCTTGTTGCCAGGCTGGAGTGCAGTGGCGCAATCTCAGCTCACTGCGACCTCTGCCTCCCAGGTTCAAGCAATTCTCCTGACTCAGCCTCCTGAGTAGCTGGGATTATTACAAGCGCCTGCCACCACGCTCGGCTAATTTTTGTACTTTTAGTAGAGACGGGGTTTCGCCATGTTGGCCAGGCTGGTCTCGAACTCCTGACCTGAGGTGATACCCCCGCCTCAACCTCCCAAGGTTTTTTGGTCTTTTTTGTCTTTGCTTTTCAGTTTTAGAGATTTTTACTGAGATATCATCAAACTCAGATATTCCTTCCTCATTCGTGTTCAGTTACCAGTAAGCCCATCAAAGGCGTTCTTTATTTCTGTTACAGTGGTTTTGTTCTCTAGCATTTCTTTTTGGTTCTTTTTAGAATTTCCATCTCTCTTATTACATTCCCATTTGTTCTTCTTACATGCTGTCTGCTTCATCCATTAGAGCCATTAGCATATTAATCATGTTTTAAATTCCCAGTCTGATCATTCTAACACTTCTGCCGTATCTGAGTCTAGTTTTGTGCTTGCTCTAAAAAACTGTTTTTTTGCCTTTTGGTACATCTTGTAATTTTTTGGGAAAGGTGGACATAATATACAGGAACTGTGTGAAATGGGCCTTCGGTAATATGGAGGTTTTAGTCTTTTTGTGAGCCTCTGCCTCTGGATCATGAACTGGACCAGTGCTTCTCAGTCATAGTCCCTGCCTTAGGTGGGACAAGATGGCTAGAAGGGGCTAGAGCTGGGTATTTCTCTTCTCCCAAATTAGTTAGGCTCTGATAAAACCCCAGCAGGATAGACTCTAGTTAGTTTCTTCTGAGGGCAGAATTCTCTGGCATATTTAAAAATGGTTCCTTTTGCACCCTCCTCCAACCCAGGGAATTATTCTGACTGTCACTACGAGGAAGTTGTAGAGGTCCAGAAGGTAAAACTCAGGAAGGTATCACTCTTCCCAGACACCCTTCACCAAGTCCCCATGGAGCTTTCTCTCTAAGACTTGTCCACACTGAGCCTTTAGCAATTCACTTGGTTACATTTGAGGTTTCCCTACCCTGCACTGGTTCCACAGAGATTTCAGCTCCTGGGTGTCTGCTATGGTAAATGGTGATGCTCTGTATTACCCTGCCTGTCTCTCCTATTTCGGGGGCAGTGGTTTGCCCTGTGACCTTACTTCTCCCACAGATTAAGAATATCTGTTGATTTTTCAGTTTGCTCAGCCTTTTACTTGTTAGGATGGAGTGGTGACTTCTAAGTTTTTTGCATGCCAGACTAGAAACAGAAAGTCTGATTTTTAGTTTAATGTAAAACTAGAGCATATTTACAACTCAGATTATAATTTTGTAGAAAGAAGTGCCGAAAAGAATAAACTAGAAAATTCCATATTAAATAAAAAACAAATTACTGTTTCTAAAAATACTGAAATACGGGAGCTTCTGTAACCATCTAAATAGCTTACTTCCAGCATTATGGATTGAGCACTGGCAGAGCATGAGTAAGAATATACACCATCCAGCTGTAACTCTTCATGGAGTTTTTCTCTCTCACCTTTTAGAGATTTGAAAACTAAACCCTGACTCACTGGGATGAAGGGCAGAAGGGAAAGGGCAGTGTGAAGTTACTGGTATAGGGACTGCTAGTGATCACAACTGTGCTTGAAGTAGATCCATTTCTACAATAGTATTAGTGAATACACAGAGGCTAAACAGAGAAGAGGGAAGATTCACGTGTGTTCTGCTTTCCAACTAAGCTATCACCCCAGCCCATCTTATGTAACTTAGAAGGCAGACCAGATTGGACCTGTGGTGGGTTGATGACCATTCCAGACTCATTTCAGGTGCTTTATATTTTCATCCTATTGACATTAAACACAAATACCGGTTCATTAACTCATTTGTTCATTGATAACCATTTTTCAGTGCTCTGGATTTGGTAGACATTTTGGTTTTTTATCCAAATTTATAATAAGCTGATACCATATTCTAGTTTGGGGAAACGATATGTTACGTATAACCTTAAAACATTCATTAAGTTATGCTTTTGGCCAGGCACGGTGGCTCACGCCTGTGATCCCAACACTTTGGGAGGCCAAGGCGAGCAGATCACCTAGGTCAGGAGTTCAAGAACAGCCTGACCAACATGGAGAAACCCCGTCTCTACTAAAAATACAAAATTAGCTGGACGTGGTGGCGCATGCCTGTAATCCCTGCTACTGGGGAGGCTGAGGCAGGAGAATTACTTGGACCCAGGAGGCGGAGGTTGTGGTGAGCCAAGATTGCGCCATTGCACTCCAGCCTAGGCAACAAGAGTGAAATTCCGTCTCAAAAAAGAAAAAGAAAAAAAAAAGGTATGCTTTCAAGTTCCCCCGAGGAAGTCCTGGTAACTGTAATGTAGTTTACACACCTAGTCTCAGCTACTCAGGAGGTGGAGGCAGGAGGATTGCTTGAGCCCAGGAGTTTTGAGTCCAGCCTGGGCAACATAGCAAGACCTTGTCTCTAAAATTTTGTTTTTGATTTTGAAATTATAATATATGATTTGTAAGGAAGTTAACCATTAATGCATTTTTTTAAAACCTTGAGTGCTTTTTCCCTTCCCTGAGCTAGCTCGTTATGTCATAGCCCTTTTGTTTTTCCTTTTTAATCCATAGCTTATCTGTACTAGATAGATTAATTGGGGTTAAATAAAACACCTCAGTCATTTCTGTGGTAATTTTACTAATGAGACTCATAGATAAGCAATGAATCTGTGGCAGCTGCTAAGGCTGTCATCTCTAATTTGTGATCTCTGGACTAAGGACTTCTTGCCAAGTGCTTCAATTTAGGAAGTCCAGGCACTGGGCTGGGCATGGTGGCTCATGCCTGTAATCTCAGCACTTTGGAAGGCCAAGGCAGGTGGATCATTTGAGGTCACGAGTTTGAGACCAGCCTGGCCAACATGGTGAGACCCTGTCTCTCCCAAAAATACAAAAATCACCCAGGCGTGGTGGTGTGCGCCTGTAATCCCAGCTGCTCAGGAGGCTGAGGCAGGAGAATTGCTTGAACACGGGAAATGGAGGTTGCAGTAAACCGAGATCACATCCCTGCACTCCAGCCTGGGCAACAGAGTGAGACTCTGTCTCAAAAAGAAAGAAAGAAGTCCAGGTACTAAGAAAACTGCTCTAGGGCTGGGCACGGTGGCTCATGCCTGTAATCCTAGCTCTTTGGGAGGCTGAGGTGGGTGGATCACCTGAGGTCAGGAGTTTGAGACCAGCCTGGCCAACATGGTGAAACTCTGTCTATACTAAAAATACAAAAAATTAGCCGGGTATGGTACCAGGCACCTGTAATCCCAACTACTCGGAAGGCTGAGGCAGGAGAATCTCTGGAACCCAGGAGGCAGAGGTTGCAGTGAGCCGAGATGGTGCCGCTGCACTCCAGCCTGGGCAACACAGCGACACTCCATCTCAATAAAAAGAAAAAGAATAAAAGAAAACTGCTCTGGAACACTTGTGGTGAATTGAGCTTAGAAATCAATTTTTTTTAATTTGCTTGCTTGTTTAAGGTAGCGGATTCATTTCTGTAAAAGATATCCTAATGTAATTTAAATGTTCTCTACGTCTTGTGTAAGCATTAATAATATTAGTAGTACATTTGAGTTGTATGCCATTTTAATGAAATTGTGAAAAGGATATGAAATAACTTAGAAGAGCATAAGCGTAAGGACCTAGCATTCTGGTTCATATAAAATTAAATACTCAAATAATTGGGCATGGGATTTGATAATCATTGATGATCAGCTGAGAGTGATGTTTTTTCTCTACAGTGCCATGCTAGCAAGAGAAGCTTAAGCATTTTGTGAGGCATAAACAAAAATGCATTCATTAAGGATTAAGTTCTTATTCATATCTTCTCTTTCTGAAGGTGCACTTACAGAGTGCTACGATGAACTGGGGAACAGATATCAGCTTCCAGTGTATTGCTTGGCACCGCCAATCAACATGATAGAGGAAAAGAGCGACATAGAGACTCTGGATATTCCTGAGCCACCACCCAATTCTGGATATGAATGTCAGCTTCGTTTGCGCCTTTCCACAGGCAAAGACCTCAAGCTTGTGGTTCGCAGCACAGACACAGTATTCCACATGAAGAGACGGTTGCATGCAGCAGAGGGAGTGGAACCAGGTAGTCAGCGGTGGTTTTTTTCTGGCAGACCTCTCACTGACAAAATGAAGTTCGAAGAGCTGAAGATCCCAAAGGACTATGTTGTACAGGTTATAGTGAGCCAACCTGTGCAGAACCCAACACCAGTGGAGAACTGAACTGAGCCCTGTTGGCCAGCTCCCACATCCCTCTGCTCCTTTTTATGGTTCTTGTTGTCATTTCCTACTCTGCGGCGTGAAATCTATTTCACTGCTCTAAATTCCCTATGAATGGATTTAGTTCTGAGGAATTACCAGTGAAAAATTCCATCTGTGATGGAGACCAACAAAAATAATAAAACACAAAGAGCCAGGCTTTGAGACTCATGTAATTACAATTTCTAATTTGAAAGGCAGTTAAGAAATAGATAACCATTTATTTTAGAACACTCAACAACTATGTAATGGCTATATTTCAGTGACTTGGACTGTAAATGAAACATTGCATCCATGAAGGACAGCACCAAGCACCTTTTTGAATACAGAATTTTTTTAGAAAAATATATCAAATTATATAATTTCCAGAAACCATAAATAATGGATATAAAACTTAACCTTTTTGTTTTGTTTTGTTTTGTTTTGTTTTGTTTTGTTTTGTTTTGGTTAATGGAAACTGAAAAGAGCAGTATTTGAGGTTGCTTCTATTCTGGTTTTTTATTCTTAGCTCAATTAATATTTAGCCATAAATGAGTAGAGACTGGCAAATTGTGCTTTAGTGTTGCTTTCCTCATCCCCACATCTTGAGCTCCTTATTTACATTCACACTAAATTTTGGTGCCTTCCAGCACATTAGTGGCAGGCACCCTTCTGGAACACTAGGCAATAATTTCATCAATACAGTCAGGTCTCTTGAGTTTCAACAGATACTCAGTTGAAAAGTCGCTGTCATCTTGCTGCATAAGTATTTTGAAAGGTCTGTATAACGAAGCCATTTTTATATCCAGGCTTAGAAGGTCACTACTATATAGTACCTTCATTGATCTATCTATTCTGCTTGGAACTTTTCATAGCTAAGTATAACCCCCAAATGCATGGTTCCTGGGTCAGGAGACACCAAAATCAATTATAGCTGTTCCCACTCAAGTTAATAAAGTAAATGATTTCCTCCACTTTGCATGGAGGGGTGTAAGGAAAGCCTATTTTATCTGTGCCTGGGAGAACTGTGCCTATTTTCAGTCTTTTAGAGGAAATTTCAACTCAAAATTTTTAAGTGTGAAAGATTTACTGGTGTCACATAAACATTAGCAGTGAGACCAAATAATGAAACATTGCTTTATACCTTAGTGCTTTCCAGTTCACTGTTACCTCTAGTCATGGTAGATGACAATTTTCCTCCCTCATCTTTTGTAGCAAAGAAGCAAATTAAGAGCCTTTTGCAAGTTAGATTAGGGGACTGAAAAATCCAGGGAGATAACCTGATTCTTCTATACTATGACTGGAGTAAAGCTGCCAAGAGTTAGGTTGAATTTGGAGCCTTTTAAAAGTTGGTTCCATAAGTGAGAAGGGGGGCTAACATGTGACCACTGTGCCCCTGAGAATCCATGAGATGGAAAAGTACAGACAAGAAGGCACTTAACGCTGTTCTCAGTTGGAAAATGTCAGCCCTCCACACCTGTTTGGATGTGAAGTGCATTATTAATTTTAATGACAAAATGAAACTGCTAATTAGTTTAAATGTAATGTTTAAATGGTATTGAATTTCCTATTGCCTGATTAAATATATCTGTAATTGTAACATCATGTTTCTGAGAGCTTTAACTACTTCCTTATTTTTATGCAATCATTTTAAAGATTGTGGCTATATCTAATTTAAATTTGCTGATGATTGAATCTAAATTCAAGTGAAGACCACAGCATTAATCCCAAAGGAGATTTTTTTTATGTTTAGAGGTGGAGATATTAGGGTAAATCAGTATATTGCTCCTGTCATCAAAGTTTTTGTTCATTTGTGTGCCACATCGAATAGCAGCACTTCTCAAAGTTTGTCAACTGGAAAAAAGTGTTTAAAACTGTTTTTTTCTTAAGCAGATTTGGTGATGTCATCAATATCTATGATATCGATTGGTAAAAGGTCTTTCTTTGTTGAGGATTTGAGCTCTCTTTTTAAGAGTTTATTTTATTTTAAAGGAACATATGCTTTGAATAACAATTCTCTGGGCATGTTTAACTAACCTAGGTGGGAAAACCATGGTGCTGTTTAATTGTAAATAGATTGATATAAGATTGGACCAGTACTTGATGTGTATAATTTTAGTATGTAGGGTTTATGTGCTTTTTTTAAAAAAAAAAAAAAGGTTCAATTTTTCTCTTTGTCTTTGCCTTTATTATTGGTTTCTAATTGTTTTTACTCTCTATAAGGGTAATTGCCTCATTCTAAGTGAGAATTATGAAGGTTTTCCTCCTTTTTAAAACCTCTGCTCAGTAAATAACAGGTTCATTATCACCAAACTTAGGCTCTGCTATGCCAAGTCATACATGGTAATTTATAAATGTGCTTCATCTTCTGCACTGAAATCTTGGTCTAAAATAGGTTGTTGTGGGTTTTTTTTTTTGTTGTTTGTTTTGTTTTGTTTTGTTTTGAGACGGAGTCTTGCTCTGTCGCCCAGGCTGGAGTGCTGTGGCATGATCTCAGCTCACTGCAAGCTCCACTTCCCGGGTTCACGCCATTCTCCTGCGTGAACTCAGCCTCCCGAGTAGCTGGGACTACAGGCGCCCACCACCACGCCCGGCTAATTTTTTTGTATTTTTAGTAGAGACGGGATTTCACTGTGTTAACCAGGATGGTCTCAATCTCCTGATCTCGTGATCTGTCCGCCTCGGCCTCCCAAAGTGCTGGGATTACAGGCGTGAGCCACCACGCCCGGCTGTGTTTTTGTTTTTCTTTTTGTTTTTTAAGAATCATGCTGGCCAGGTGCCGTGGCTCATGCCTGTAATCCCAGCACTTTGGATGGCCAAGACGGGAGGACTGCTTGGGCTCAGGAGTTCAAGACCCAGCCTGGGCAGCATAGAGGAGACCGCATCTCTACTAAAAATTAAAAAATTGGCCACGCGTGATAGAGCATGCCTGTAGTCCCAGCTACTTGGGAGGCTGAGTTGGGAGGATCACTTGAGCTGGGATGTCAAGGCTGCAATGACCCATGATCATGCTGTTTTATTCCAGCCTGGGTAAATTTCATGTAAAGCAGGTGATACTTCATAACTTTATGAAGTAGGCAATACACACCCATGGTAAAAGAATCCAGATATATCAAAGCAAAAAGAGTCTTTCACTCCTGTCGCTCTTCTGTTTCTCCTCCCCAGAGGCAACAACTTTGACCATTTTCTGTGTATCTTTAAACTTGAGCATGCATCAGAATCACCTGAAAGGTTATTAAAACAGATTGCTTGACCCTTTCCTCAGACGTTCTGAGTCAGTAGATCTGAATGTTGCCCTATAACTTGCATGCTTAAAAGGTCCCGGGTTGTGCTGCTTCTGCTGATCTGGGAGACACACTCAAAAACCACTCTTTTAGTGTATATGGGTATATTCACTCCACCTCATTTTTTTCCATAAATACATATACTATTCTGCACCTTTGATTTTTCTAAAATGGTAAACCTCAGAAATCATTCCGCATACATAGATCTAGATCTGCATCCTTCCTCTTCATAGGTGCAGTGGTACTCCATGGTCTGGGCATACCACAGTTACATCAGTCTCTATTCTGGTCGGCTTTGCTGTTCCTAGTTTTTTGCTACTGTGAACCATGCTGCAATGAGTTTCCTTTTATATAGGTAAGATCTTTGTATACATAGATGGAGGAATTGCATTCTATAGATTTATGTGACATGTCTTCCAAAGCGATTTTACCAATTAATCCTTATACTACAGCAATATGACTGCTTTAATTTTCCTACACCCTGACCGCCTTTCTGATCTTTGACAATCTGATAAGTAAAAACTTTGACCTGTGGTTTTGCTTTGTATTTTCCTTATGAGCAAAGTTTAACATTTTACTATATTTTAAGGCCATTTTTTTTTTCTGTGAATGTTCTATTTGCCCATATTCCTATCGCATGTTGGTCTTTACTGTCAAGACTTGTGAGTACCTGTCCTTTATTGAGGAAATTGGTTCTTTTCTATCATGTGTTGTCATTTCTTTTGTTTGGGTGGAATTTACCATGTGCAGATTTTAAGTTTTTCCTGGTCAGATCTGTCAGTCTCTTATTTTACAGTTTCTGAGTTTTTTTCTTAACCTCAAACGATCTTCCCCAATTTGAGGTTATAAAAATGTTTCCCCAATCCGAGGTTACAAAAATGTTTCTTGTGTGTTTCCTTTTTGGTTTCATTGTTATATGAAATTTATTTTGGTGAAAGAAGTAGGGTAGCAATCCACATTTATTTTTCCAAATAGCTACCCCACTTTTCCTGATAATACTTACTGAATAACTTTTATCTATCTTTTCCCCATTGATGTGAAAAAATCCTTATTTTATGACAAGTTTTTAAGACACTATAGTTTTTTAATGGTCTTTTCTTATCAGTTGGACAAATTAGCAGATATACATTATGTCTACCTCCAACTCTCAAATACTGTAATTTAGTATTTTCACTTATGGAGAGGAAAGAATGAAGCTGATAACCTCCCTTGCTATAGCCAATCTTCTGTGATGTCTGTTTGGGTTTCTTGTGGCTCCTCTGATGCTCCACGTTCTGTAGGCTGCTAAGGTGGATAACTGTCCCACTCAGCAGATGTCAGCACAGTTCATTTGGCTCTTTCTAATCATTGTCTTTGGTATGAGGCTTAAGATGATAAGACATGAACTCTAAGAACTGGTGGAAGATGTTGAGTTGGTGCAAAGGGGATTGCAGTTTTGCCATTGCGTTTAATGCTTTTAATGCCAGTGGCAAAAACAGTTCCCTTTGCACCAACCTAATAAATGATCTCACTTGATTTATAGTTAGCTTCCTCCAAATGTCTTCCCTCTTTGTAGCGGATATAGATTATGGAGGAACCAGTCTGGGCCTGGGCTGAAACTGTAGCTGGGTCAGCCCTCCCTCCCATCAGGCCTGCATTCCCCTACCTCTGCAGGTGCTGCTCTCTTCCCAGGGCACAGGCCACCTGAACACACTTGGTTGACCAAAACATTTTAATGCAACTATGACTTAGTAATAATACAGAGGGTTGGTACCATCCAAAAACATACCTAAATGTACATTGTCTAATAAACTCTACCCTTAAAAGCACAATCTGATGGGTGAATTCACTGTGGAAATAGTGAAACTTAAGTTGAAGCATCTCCACACATACCTACAAACACATTTAAAATTTGTTGTCATAGAATGTAATTGTGAAAAAGTCCTAAAGTGTACATTAGTAGATTGTTTTATAAATTGTACTACTAAGTCCCAAAAGAATGTCACTGAAGTGGTGCGTTTAAATTTCCTTTTTGACACTAAGTTTCAGTGTGAGATATTCAGAGAGATGCTCAGTTTCCCGATACCACTCTAGAAGCATCCAGTTTAGGAAAATGCTCTTAAAAGGAAGAACATTTTAAAAATCTGATAGTTGGGCCGAGCACGGTGTCTCACGCCTGTAATCCCAGCACTTTGGGAGGCTAAGGTGGGCAGATCACCTTAGGTCAGGAGTTCAAGACTAGCCTGGCCAACGTGGCGAAACCCCATCTCTACTAAAAATACAAACATTAGCCGGGCGTGGTGGCGGGTGTATGTAATCCCAGCTACTCAGGAGGCTGAGGCAGGAGAATCGCTTGAACTGGGAAGTGAAGGTTGCAGTGAGCCGGGATTGCGTCATTGCGCTCCAGCAAGAGCGAAACTCCATCTCAAAAAAAAAAAAAAAAAAAAAAATCTGATAGTTGGTTAATTATACCTTTTATAGCCACCCTAATGGTTTCCAGAGTGGAGGGGAAAACTTTTATAAAATTGCTCATTCCTGAAACTTCAGTCATTTGATGTGGTTTTAAATTAGCCTAAATCAGTACCTATATGTACGTATTATCTTTGGCCATCTTTTCTCCCTGCCCCCATTCTGAAACAATAAAGAGTATAGTATTTTCATTGCTTTAGAGACCATGTCTGAAAAAATACATATCCATTGTTACCCTTTTGTTTTGGTTTGGTTTTAATAGAGACAGGGCCTCACCATGTTGCCCAGGCTAGTCTCGAACTCCTGAGCGCAAGTGATCCACCCACCTCGGCCTCCCAAAGTGGTGAGGTTACGGGCTTGAGCCACTATGCCTGGCCATGGTTACCCTTTATATATCTCAGGACCCCTCTGGAAGGTAGGACAGAGAAGCCTTCCTGAGACCTCACTAATTTCTTCTTCCAAAACCATGCATAGATCCCAAGGCTGTCTGGTGGCAAAAGCCATCGAGGCTGCCACAAGAGGCAGGAACGGTTTATGCCAAGATGAGCTTAGTGGGGCACTTTGGAACTATGGCTAATCTCTAGCTGCCATTTTCTGACCAGATAGTGCTCATCTTTCAGTACAGTGGGTAGGTGTAGTAGTGTCCATACTTGCTTGCCAGAGAGTCTCCTTGGAGAATAATTGCAAACTCTTCACCAAAGCAAAGGAAGGGAAGAGCACTGTTGTGAGATGCGTTGCATCTTTTTGTTTTTCACAGTTCCACGAGGTAGATACCATTATCCCTAGATCAGAGGTCAAGTATCTTGAGTTGGGTTTGTTTTTTCTGGTACCATTGTGGGGAAGAGAAGTTTTGGCTGCTAATTACATTTGTCACACTTGAAAGCATGAAATCAAAATCCTATGTCTATTAAATATAGAGAGAGAGTAATTATTTGCTGTTATTTACAAGTTTAACTTATGAATGACAATCTTAAGCAGTATTCTTGTCTGTTGCACATTGACAAAGTTATTAAGTTTTATTTTTGATATTAAGTACTCTGGAACTCATGGAATTCCTTAAGGCCAGTTATGTAATGTATCCTTAAGAAATCCTTGGTTTATAGTAAATGAGCTGTATTTCTTTTTTTTTTTTTTTTTTTTTGAGCTGTATTTAACTTCTTCCCTGAGAAATTTATGGTAGTAGGAGATGTGGTGATTAATAACATTATGCAAAATAGATTTCCAAACCAATGAAATCTCAGCTTAAAACTTGGATCTGCTGAAACTAAAATGAGCTGCTCAGATACTGGCTCTAAGCACAGGCATCTAATTGACCTTGAATTTGAATCCTGGTCCGCCCTCTTGCGAGCTTTATGTTCTTGAGTAAGGTTCTTAACCTTCCTAGGTCTCAATTTTCTCATCTGCACATCAAGGATGACACCTAATTCATAGGGCTATAAGGATAAATCATGCCTCTAAAGAACTACCGAACCCATAGCAAGCACATGATAATATGGTAGCTGTCATCAGTAACATTACAGTACAATTGGGTAGAGAGGATTCATAAGTTCCATCCCCAAAAATATTTTTAAATTATTCAAGGCATAAAAAAATTAAAATTATTCAATGGCATATAATAATTATTTTACCAAGCCAGGCACGATGGTTCACGCCTGTAATCCCCACACTTTGGGAGGCCAAGGCAGGTGAGTCACGAGGTCAGGAGTTTGAGACCAGCCTGGCCAATATGGTAAAACCCCGTCTCTACTAAAAATACAAAAATTAGCCAAGCCTGGTGGGGTACGCCTGTAGTCCCAGCTACTCGGGAGGCTGAGGCAGGGAGAATCGCTTGAACCGGGGAGGCAGAGGTTGCAGTGAGCCGAGATTGCGCCACTGCACTCCAGCCTGGGTGACAGAGCAAGACTCAGTCTCAAAAAATAATAATTATTATTTTACCCTAGTGAATTTGGTACACTTGTTTAAGTACCTAACTCAGAGTAATTAAGATTCTAGGAAGAACATAGCCTCCATATTCTTAAATGTCAACTACTGTGTGGTTGGAGCACGTCACCATTGGCTAATTTGAAATCTCTGGCACCTAGGTGGCCTTAGCCTAAGAAGTAGGAGGCTGTTGGACCACTATGACCAATATCATGAAAGCTGCACCTTCTTTCGCCTACCTGGCTCCAGTATGTTGTGTTAGCAATTAGTTGGATACAGCGGAAGCTATTGATCAGGGTTGATCTGAAAAGCAGCAGCAGAATTAGGACATGTCAACAAAACGAAAGTGGTTATTCCACATTATTGTGAGTTCTGTGTGAGATCAAGAGGTTATTAAAATTCAAAACCTGGCTGAGCACAGTGCTCACACCTGTAATCCCAGCACTTTGGGAGGCTAAGGTGGGTGGATAACTTGAGGTCAGGAGTTCGAGACCAGCCTGAGTAACATAGTGAAACCCCATCTCTACTAAAAATACAAAAAATTAGCTGGGCATGGTGGTAATCCCAGCTACTCGGGAGGCTGAGACATGAGAATCACTTGAACCCAGGAGGCAGAGGTTGCAGTGAGCCCAGATCATCCCACTGTACTATAGCCTGGGCGATAGAGCAAGAGTCAGTCTCAAAAAAAAAAAAGTCATTATAAAGATATCTACTTTGATGCTCTGAATTTATTTTTAGACATGTTAACAGTCTTCATCAATGTTCATGTTCTGTACTTTCAGATCCCATTTTTTTCCAAGACTCTTTCAGCTTGTATCTACTTGATGTGACATTTTGAGTAGAGACTTCTCTTTCTCTCTCCTTTTTCTTTCTCCTCTGTTTTCTGCCTCTTCTGTAATTTGTCAGTGTAGATGATTGTATACAGCTTAAATTCCTGATAATTAAGACGCTTTGGTTAGGGTGGGGGGGAAAGAAAAATTATTTCAGGAAAAACTTCATACTTTGTTTCAGATGATAGGATTATATTCATTTCTATTTTAAAAACTTGGAAAATTAAAGACACTCAGTAATTGGGACATAATTATAGTCCGATTGTAGTCGAGTACCCAGGAATAGAGAGTCTATTGTAGATGCTAAAGGAACAAGGGCCACTTTTATTTTTTTGAGACGGAGTCTCTCTCTGTCGCCCAGGCCGGAGTGCAGTGGCGCTATCTCGGCTCACTGCAACTCCACCTCCCAGGTTCAAGTGATACCCCTGCCTCAGCCTCCTGAGTAGCTGGGATTACAGATGCACACCACCACGCCCAGCTAATTTTTGTATTTTTAGTAGAGATGGGGTTTCATCACGTTGGTCAGGCTGGTCTCAAACTCCTGACCTCATGACCCGCCTGCCTCGGCCTCCCAAAGTGCTGGGATTACAGGCGTGAGACACTGTGCCTGGCCTTTTTTTTTTTTGAGACGGGGTCTCACTTGGTCACCCAGGCTGGAGGGCAGTGGCGTGATCTCAGCTCACTGCAACCTCCGCCTCCCGGGTTCAAGGGATTCTCCCATCTCAGCCTCCCGAGTAACTGGGCTTACAAGCGTGTGCCACCACGCCTGGCTAATTCTTGTATTTTTAGTAGAGACAGGGTTTCACCATGTTGGCCAGGCTGATCTTGAACTCCTGGCCTCAAGTTATCCACCCACCCCAGCCTCCCAAAATGTTGGGATTACAGTCATGAGCCATGGTGCCCAGCACAAAGGTCACTTTCTTCCATTAGGTTGGTAGAAAAGGCAAAAGTAATTGCGGCTTTTGCCATTACTTTCTTTTTTTTTTTTTTTTTTTTTTTTGAGATGAAGTCTCACTCTGTCGCCCAGGCAGTGGCATGATCTCGGCTCACTGCAAGCTCCGCCTCCTAGGTTCACACCATTCTCCTGCCTTAGCCTCCCGAGTAGCTGGGACCACAGGCACCTGCCACCATGCCCAGCTAGTTTTTTTGTATTTTTAGTAGAGATGGGGTTTCACCGTGTTAGCCAAGATGGTCTCGATCTCCTGTCCTCGTGATCTGCCCACCTCGGCCTCCCAAAGTCCTGGGATTACAGGTATGAGCCACCGCGCCCAACCCCAGCCTGCCAACTTTCAATGGCAAAAACCGCAATTACTTTTTTCACCGATCATTACCATGTGAAGTCCAGAGGCTTCAGGCTGGCATCTAAGGTTGTTCACAGTGTGATCATTGTTTTCAACCTTAGCTGCCACTTGTTTCCCCAATGTGGATTTCCTCTTTAAATAGGCAGAATTCACTGTCTTCACCATAGCTTTCTCTTAGGAATTTTTTTTGAGACAGGATCTCACTATGTTGCCCGGGCTGGCCTGGAACTCCTGGGCTCAAGCGATCCTCCCTTCTCAGCCTCCCAGGGAGCTGGGACTACAGGTGCGCACCACAGTGCTCAGCCTTTAGGATTATGCTCACATGCTCCCATTCATCATATAATCTCTTCCTGTTTAATTCAAATCTACAAACTCTTCCCCCAACACTAAACTACTGTCATATTATATTTCCTCCAAAGTATAATTTTGTATCCATATTATATGATGTAGCATTTTTTGTTTGTTTGTTTGTTTGTTTGTTTTTTAAGATGGAGTCTCCCTGTGTCACCCAGGCTGGAGTGCAATGGTGTGATCATGACTGACTGCAACCTCCGCCTCCCGGATTCAAGTGATTCTTCTGCCTCAGCCTCCCAAGTAGCTGGGATTACAGGCACCTGCCACCACGCCTGGCTAATTTTTGTTGTTGTTGTTGTTTTTAAGTCGGAGTTTCCCTCTTGTTGCCCAGGCTGGAGTACAATGGCATGATTTAGCTCACTGTAACCTCCACCTCCCAGGTTCAAGCGATTCTCCTGCCTCAGCCTCCCAAGTATGTGGGATTACAGGCATGTGCCACTGCGCCTGGCTGATTTTGTATTTTTAGTAGGGACAGGGTTTCTCCGTATTGGTCAGGCTGGTCTCAAATTCCCAGCCTCAGGTGATCCACCCACCTCGGCCTCCCAAAATTCTGGCATTATAGGCGTGAGCCACCACGCCTGGCCAATTTTTGTATTTTTGCATTTTTAGTAGAGACAGGGTTTCACAATGTTAGCCAGGCTAGTCTCAAACTCCTGTCCTCAGGTGATCTTCCTGCCTCAGCCTCCCAAAGTCCTGGGATTACAGGCATGAGCCCCCGAGCCTGGCCATGATACAGCAGTTAGTCCACCCTTTCTCTTCAAGATCCCATAAGTCTCTTAAGTTTTTTTCTGATCCTTGTGCCATGCAATGTGCTTATTTGAGTAGGTTTTTCCCTCCCTCCTCCTCTCCCATCTCTCCTATATGTAGTAGGACATTTTTCTCTGCTTTTGGGAAGAGACTGCCACACACATGCCACATTTTGGATCTGTACTTACATTGTCACCTGTAATGTCAAAGTCACGGAAGAGATCTTTGAGTTCCTGTTTTTGAATATTGAAGAGAAATCTGTACATTTCGAAGTTTTTTGCACCAATTCTCAGATCCCCTTTCAGGTCAAGCAGGTCAAAGACAGGCCGGGAATGACGATACATAAACTGTCCTTCCAAATGGTTCTATTGCGAGAGAAATAGGTGAGATGAGCAACAGTGTTGTCGATGCTGCTTTCTAAACTTGTTTCCTCAAGACATATCTTCACCAGCCCCTTCCCTAGAGAGCTAAAAGCAAAAGAGAAAATCAGAAGCTCAGGGCTGAAAGGGTTCTATCAGCAAATGCAGCAAGTCCCACTTCAGCATCTGCATTCAAAAGGAACTTGAATTCTGCCTCTTGTAATAATCAATTCTGCTAGACGGAACCCTAGTTACTATAATGCATTTCCTTACCTTCAGTGAAAGTCTTGTGAAACATCATGGCGTGGGTGATAAAACGATGACCTCCTTCCCTCAAAAAAATGGGAACTGAGGCGGGGTGTGGTGGCTCACACCTATAATCCCAGCACTTTGGGAGGCTCGAGGTGGGTGGATCACTTGAGGTCAGGAGTTTGAGACCAGCCTGGCCAACATGGTGAAACCCCATCTCTACTAAAAATACAGAAATTAGCCAGGTGTGGGGGTGTGCACCTGTAGTCCCAGCTACTTGATCTATTGAACCCAGATGGTGGAGGTTGCAGTGAGCTGAGATCGCGCCATTGCACTCCAGCCTGGGCCACAGATTGAGACTCAGTCTCAAAAAAAAAAAAAAAAAAAAAAGGAAACTGGGTAAGTACATACTGGAAATGTATATACGGTAAGAAAAGACCTCAGAAGGTTCTCTGAGGAAAAGGATCATTGAAGGAGTGAGGCATTTGAGCTAACTGGTGATTCTCTGAAAATCACCAGCTAGAGCAAGTGAGGAAAGGAATGCCAAGAAGGGATGCGATGGGCCACATCTGTCCTTTACGAGGGTGGGCAGAGTAGGAGGGCGGCCAAGAGGCTGGGGCTGCCTCAGGGAGAAGCTGTTGAAAAACCTGAACCATTCGGGAACCAAAACTCATTTTCCCCACCACCCATCTTTTCTTCCTCTTTTTAGTGAAAGGAGGAAAACTTCTGATGCATTCCTAATTCAGTGCTCCCATTAGCAAGAGGATGGCAGCAGCCGCGCGGCTACTTGCCTGGTGGGCCAGCAGCATGCACACCAGCATGTAGAACTTCTCAAAGTCGATCTCGCCCACAGCGTTCCAGTCCAGCATGTCAAACACAATGTTGATCTGTGCCTTTTTCAAGTCAGTCACATGATGAAGGAAGTGATAGAACAGCACATCTGTTAAGGTGGGCAGGTGAGGAGATGTGTTATTTGGATATAGTTCCAAAATGCTAAACAGCTAGAAGCCATGTAAATGGTAGTGATGTTGGAAGCTTATTGATCTAGGAAGAATGATGATAATATTTTGTTTCTGGCTTTGCCACTGTACTTTCTATAGTTCCTGAAACCTTCGTCGCCCTTGAGCTTGTGGAAAAGCACTGGACCTGGAGTTGTGGAGAATGAGATCGTGGACAGGGCTTGGCTCCTGCCCCCAGCTCACACACTCCATGGAGCAGACAGATATGTACACAGCACTGATAAAAGGCAAGGCGCTAACATATAAAATGGGCACAAAGTGCTCCTTATGTATGAAAGGAGAGCTTAATTCTCACTGGGGACTGAGAACACTTTCTTGGAGATGCTGACATTTTTCCTTTGCCTTTCCCTTGAGATAATTAAAATGAGGAATACAAAATCATTCCCCTTCGGCCAGGCACAGTAGCTCATGCCTGTAATCCCAGCAGTTTGGGAGGCCAAGGCGGGCAAATCACGAGGTCAGGAGTTTGAGACCAGCCTAGCCAATATGGTGAAACCCTGTCTCTACTAAAAATACAAAAATTAGCCAGGCGTGGTGGCACACACCTGTAGTCCCAGCTACTTGGAAGGCTGAGGCAGAGAATTGCTTGAACCCGGGAGGCGGAGGTTGCAGTGAGCCAAGATCGTGCTGCTGCACTCCAGCCTGGGCGACAGACCAAGACTCCGTCTCAAAAACAACAACAACAAAAGTCATTCCCCGTCTATAAACGCCTTGATGTGCCTCATGCTTGTATAAAGCAAATGCATCTGGCTGTAGGGGGAAGGGACCAAACCTTATTTACCACCTTATGTGTTAGGCACTTTATTTTTTATTTATTTTTTGGCTGGAGTGCAATGGCACATTCACAGCTCACTGCAGACTCAACCTCCCAGGCTCAAATGATCCTCCCACCCCAGCCTCCCAAGTAGCTGGGACCACAGGTGCATGCCACCATGTCCAGGTAATTTTTTAATTTTTTGTAGAGATGGGGTCTCCTTATGTTGCCCAGACTCGTCTCGAACTCCTGGGCTCAAGCAATCCACCTGCCTCTGCCTCCCAAACTGCTGAGATTATAGGTGTGAGCCAGTGCACCCAGCCATGTTAGGCACTTTAAATGCCACATTTCACTAAATCCTGACAACCCTACAGAGAAAGTGGCATCATGCTGAGAGGTGAAGTCAGCTGGACTTCCTGGGTCGAGTGGGGACTTGGAGAACTTTTCTGTCTTGCAAGAGGATTTTAAAAACACACAATCAGCACTCTGTGTCTAGCTAAAGAATTGTAAATGCACGAATCAGCACTCTGTAAAAACACACCAATGAGTGCTCTAGGTCTAGCTAAAGGATTGTAAATGCACCAATCAGCACTCTGTGTCTAACTAAAGGATTGTAAATGCAGCAATCAGCACTCTGTAAAATGGAGCAATCAGCACTCTGTTAAATGGACCAATCAGCAGGACGTGGGCAGGGACAAATAAGGGAATAAAAGCTGGCCACCCCAGGCAGCAGCGGCAACCTGCTTGGGTCCCCTTTCATGCTGTAGGAGCTTTGTTCTTTTACTCTTCACAATAAATCTTGATGCTGCTTACTCTTTGGGTCTGTGCCACCTTTAAGAGCTGTAACACTCACCGCGAGGGTCTGTGGCTTTATCTTGAAGTCAGGGAGACCACGAACCCACCAGAAGGAACCAACACCAGACACAATACCCTTTATAGTAAGTCTCAGATATCAATTAGTCTATATTAGCATTTCTCAAACTGTAATGGGGATACCAGTCACTTGAGGGATATTATAAAACTACAGATTCTGATTCAAGAAATCTGGCATGGAACTTGAGACTGCCCATTTCTCCAAGCTCCTAGGTGATGTGGCTGTGGCTAATCTGAGGACCACACATTGAGCAGCAAAGGTGTGCCTCACGTTGGGCGCGGTGGCTCATGCCTGTAATCCTAGCACTTTGGGAGGCTGAGGCAGGCGGATTACCTGAGGTCACGAGTTCGAGATCAGCCTGACCAACATGGAGAAAACCCGTCTCTACTAAAAATACAAAATTAGCTGGGCATGGTGGCGCATGCCTGTAATCCCAGCTACTCGGGAGGCTGAGGCAGGAGAATTGTTTGAACCCGGGAGGCAGAGGTTGTGGTGAGCCAAGATTGTGCCATTGCACTCCAGCCTGGGCAACAAAAGTGAAACTCTGTTTAAAAAAAAAAAAAAAAAGTTGTGCCTCACATAGCAAGTGGCAGAGCTGGGGTTCGAGTGTGGATTTCCCTCACCGTGGTGTTTTTTTCCATGGTGAAACTCTATCTTTTGTGCATTAGTTAATGCATATTTAATCATACACATTCAGAAGAAAAAATACTGAAAAACTCTTTAAAGAACTGGGAAGTTTTTTGTTGTTTTCTTTTTTGTTGTTTTCATTTTCAAGATCTTGTTGCAAACCAAGTACAGAGAAGTTTTTTGCCTGCCACTCATTAATCATGAATAAAATATGAAAAAAACAAGCATGGCAATACACTTACACAGTGGTGTGTGGCTGTCTACAGTTGTATGTACAAATTACAGTAACAAGGGATTTTTACGTTTATCTACATGTGTTTCCCCTTACTCACTGATGACAGAAACTCTCTCCTGCATAAGAAATGGCTCCAGTGGGCAGGTGCGGTGGGTCACACCTGTAATCCCAACACTTTGGGAGGCCGAGGCAGGAGGATGACCTGAGGTCACGAGTTCAAGACCAGCCTGACCAACATGGAGAAACCTCGTCTCTACTAAAAATACAAAATTAGCCGGACGTAGTGGTGCATGCCTGTAATCCCAGCTACTAGGGAGGAGAATCGCTTGAACCCAGGAGGCGGAGGTTACAGTGAGCCAAGATGGCGCCACTGCACTCCAGCCTGAGCAACAAGAGTGAAACTCCGTCTCAAAAAAAAAAAAAAGAAATGTCTCCACTGAATAGGTAAAACGTATCTGTGTAATGTGGAGTCCCAGCTGAAGCCAGCTAAAAGCACAGCAAATTAGTAGTCACAATGTCATGATTTGGGGGCTTCTGACCGCCTCTTGATGTTCCTTCTCCACGCCTCTCTGGATATGAGCACCTGGAAACAACACACCATATATATGCACAGTGATGTTTGTGTAGTTGCTGCTTGAGAAATGTTTCCATGTGCAACTTAGTAATTACTTAACAAAGACTGTTTTGAGGCCGGGTGTGATAGCTCACGCCTGTAATCCCAGCACTTTGGGAGGCTGAGGTGGGCGGATCACTTGAGGTCAGGAGTTCGAGACTAGCCTGGCCAACAGAGACTAGCCTGGCCAACATAGTGAAACCCCGCCCGTCTTTACTAAGAATACAGAAATTAGCGGGTGTGGTGGTGCACAGCTGTAGTCCCAGCTACTCAGGAGGCTGAGGCAGGAGAATCACTTGAACCCGGGAGGTGGAGGTTGCAATGAGCCAAGATTGGGCCACTGCACTTCTGGGCGACAGAGCGAGACTCCGTCCCAATAAATAAATAAATAAATAAATAAAAGACTGTTTTGAAACCGGTGGACTCTGGCTCACCCAAGTCTCCAAAACCTTAAGTCATTCCCCCACAGGAAGGCAAACATTAAGGCTGTGCCTTCACCCTTCCAGGTCACTCTCCAGTCCCTCTGTGACCAGAAGACATGAGCATGGCGTTACCTCCTGGGTACTGCATCAGCAGGGAGGTTACCAGGGAGCTTAAACTCCTCAAGCATCCCAGAGAGACTCAGCATGGGCTTTGCAGGCAGAGAGCCCTGCGTTTCCATCTCAGCCTTTTATTTACAACTAGGTCCCCTGCAGCTGCCTTATCTAGGGCAGGGTTATTGCGAAGATTTGGCAATGCACTGTACATAAATCTCTATGTAAAGAGAGAAAGAAGGTGTTCTTTTTTAATTGTTTTTAAAAATTGAATGAACTCCTTAAAATCATGACGGAGGAACCCCTTACTCACGGATGACATTTCTCTCTCTGAGGTCAGAACGAGTGAATGGATAGGATACCTTATTTCTACTCAGTCCTAAAAATAACCTCAAGTGTTTAATTGGACTTCTATTAGTTTGTGAACTCAACAAGCATGGCTGAGATCTGCAGCTTTTATATTTATTTATTTATTTATTTATTTTTATTTATTTATTTATTTATTTATTTATTTTTGGTCATTCACAAGTACCAATAAGTAGAAGGGATCCTGCAGCTCATCAGATTCAAACTTCCCACATGACAGATAAATCTTGCTGAGGGGTCTCCAGAGTTAATGCCTGAGTGGGGCTCAGCTCCCAAGAATAATAATTACAATAATAACAAACACTTATTAAGTCCTTACGATGTGTCAGACACTGTGCTAAGCATTTGCCATACTCTCATTATCTTTTTTTTTTCCAACTATGAGATGGACTCCATTATGAGAAGCCTCACCTCTAGATGAGGAAAATGAGACTTAGAGAGGGCGATGACGTGTTATCCACATCACCAAGGAATAATGGGTGTGGAGCCAGGATTCCACCAGAGTCTGCAATTTTCTCCTCCCGGCTGAACTGTCCCCCGTGTCAATTCTGAGTTGGCAACTTCTCTCTGTGCTTCAACTAGAAGATAAAATATTTACTAACAGGCCGGGTGTGGTAGCTCACACTTGTAATCCCAGTACTTAGGGAGGCGGAGGCGGGTGGATCACCTGATGTCAGGAGTTTGAGACCAGCCTGGCCAACATGGTCTGGTCATCTCTACCGAAAATACAAAAAATTAGCCAGGCGTGGTGGCAGACACCTGTAATCCCAGCTACTCAGGAGGCTGAGGCAGGAGAATTGCTTGAACCCTGGAGGCGGAGATTGCAGTGAGCTGAGATCGCGCCATCGTACTCCAGCCTGGGCAATAGAGCGAGATTCCGTCTCAAAAAAAAAAAAATGTACTAACAAAATAGTTTCTGGCTCTGCAAGTTTTCTTACACATTAGCTAAAACCCAGGTAAGGACCCAGAGGAGACATGTCTGAAAGTACTGACCATTCAAGGTGTTCTTGCCGTGCACGTCCAGAATATGAAAATATTCTGCCAAAGCCTTCACGTTTCTCACGGATAATAAGCAGTATATTTTGTCCAGATAGAGGTACCACAGAAACGATCCTTGCTTCAGTCTCATCTTAGTACTGTGTCAACTGAAGGCTCTGGCAACCAGAAATAGAATACAGAACCCTGCCTCAGAAGTAGAATGTTGGATATAGTGTCTGAGATCTGGCAGCAGTGAAGGTAAACACGTCAGAGGAAACAGTCAAAAATTAAAATTGCTGCTTCTTAATTTTTCCAGCTATGCTATAGATAGATATCTGCTGTCCGAAACCTCTTGGTAACGTGATTATCCTTATGTCACTAAAATACAATCAGTTCTAAAGGAGATCCACAGGCTGTTCAGAAATGAATGAGAGAATGTGCTACATAGGAAAACTGCTACACAGCCCAAGTGGTTTTCAGAGCATTTATAGCCTAAATCATTTATTAGAAAGAAGAAAAATTGAAAAACACATGGAAAAGTACTAAAAGAGCCTAGAATAACTACAGTATAATAATGCCAAAGAGAGGAAGTTTTTCTTTTTTCTTTTCTTTTTTTTAATTGAGACAAGAGTCTTGCCTTGTCACCCAGGCTGGAGTGCAGTGGCGCGAGCTCTGCTCACTGCAAGCTCCGCCTCCCGGGTTCACGCCATTCTCCTGCCTCAGCCTCCTGAGTATCTGGGACTACAGGCGACAGGCGCCCACCAACACGCCCGGCTAATTTTGTGTATTTTTAGTAAAGACGGGGTTTCACCACGTTAGCCAGGATGGTCTTCATCTCCTGACCTTGTGATCCGCCCGTCTTGGCCTCCCAAAGTGCTGGGATTACAGGTCTGAACCATTGAGCCCTGCCTCTTTTTTTTCTTTTTTTGAGACAGAGTTTCACTCTTATCATCCAGGCTGGACTATAATGGCACAGTCTTGACTCACGGCAACCTCTGTCTTCTGGATTCAAGCGAATCTCCTGCCTCAGCCTCCCGAGTATCTGGAATTACAGGCATGCACCCCCACGCCCAGCTAAATTTTTGTTTTTATTTTTTATTTTTTATTTTATTTTATTTTTATTATTATTATTTTTTGAGATGGAGTCTCGCTCTGTCTCCCAGGCTGGAGTGCAGTGGCGCGATCTCGGCTCACTGCAAGCTCCACCTCCCAGGTTCACACCATTCTCCTGCCTCAGCCTCCCCAGCAGCTGGGACTACAGGCACACTCCGCCACTCCCGGCTAATTTTTGTATTTTTAGTAGACACGGGTTTCACCGTGTTAGCCAAGATGGTCTTCATCTCCTGACCTTGTGATCCGCCTGCCTCGGCCTCCCAAAGTGCTGAGATTACAGGCGTGAGCCACTGCACCCAGCCCAATTTTTGTATTTTTAGTAGAGATGAGGTTTAACCATGTTGGCCAGGGTGGTCTTGATGCCTGCCCTCAAGTGATCCACCCGCCTTGGCCTCACAAAGTGCTGGGAGTACGGGTATGAGCCACTGTGCCCTGACATTAATTTTTTTTTTCTTTTTTCTTTTTTTTTTTTTTGAGACAGGATCTCACTCTGTCTCCTAGGCTGGAGTGCAGTGGTATGGTCATACCTCACTGCAGCCTTGAATCCCAGGCTCAAGCTATCCTCCCACCTCCACCTCCTCATAGCTGGGACTATGCCCATGTGCTACCACGTTGTATTTTTTGTAGAGATAGGATCTTGCTACATTGCCAAGGCTGGTCTTGAACTCCTGGCCTCAAGCTATCCTCCCACCACAGCCTTCCAAAGTGTTGGGATTACAGGTGTGAGCCATGGTGCCCAGCCCCTCCTCTGTCTTAATTTTCTACTCCCTACTCACTCCCAAATAAACCACTTACACTCAAATCCTTGCCTCAGGGTCAGTCTCTAAGGGAATCCAACCTAAGAATACTATAAAATGCTTTTTCTGTGACTATTAAGACTATGTGATTTTTCTCCTTTACTCTGCCAATGCAGTGCTATTACAGTAGATTTTCTGATGTAGAACCATTCTTTT
This sequence comes from Homo sapiens, assembly GCF_000001405.40. Lineage (NCBI taxonomy): Eukaryota > Metazoa > Chordata > Mammalia > Primates > Hominidae > Homo > Homo sapiens. The sequence continues at coordinate 172,192,257 of NC_000005.10, read as the reverse complement.
ATTCCTGGATAAACCTTTTGTGGTTACGATATTTTTATTCACCTCTGGTTTGATCTTGCTAGCATTTGTATTTTCCCTGTCTTTTTAAGAACTGAAATTAGGCCGGGCGTGATGGCTCACACATGTAATCCCAGTACTTTGGGAGGCTGAGGCGGGCGGATCACGAGGTCAAGAGATTGAGACCATCCTGGCCAACATGGTGAAACCTCATCTCCACTAAAAATACAAAAATTAGCCGGGCGTGGTGGCACGTTCCTGTAGTCCCAGCTACTTGGGAGGCTGAAGCGGGAGAATCGCTTGAATCTGGGAGGTGGAGGTTGCAGTGAGGTGAGATCACACCATTGCACTCCAGCCTGGCGACACAGCAAGACTCTCTCTGTCAAAAAAAAAAAAAAAAAAAAATGAAATGAAATTAGTCTACAATTTTCTTTCTCTCTCTCTCTTTCCTCTCCTTCCCTTCCTTTTTAAGACAGGGTCTCACTGGAGACCAGGCTGGTGCAGCGGTGAGATCACTGTTCACTGCAGCCTCGGCCTCCTGGGCTCAAGGAATCCTCCTGCCTCAACCTCCTGAGTAGCTGGGACCACTGGTGTGCACCACCACGCCTGGCTAATTTTTTGACTTTTTGTAGAAACAGGGTCTCACTTTATAGCTCTGGCTGGTATGGAACTCCTGGGCTCAAGTGATCCTCCCACCTCAGCCTCCCAAAGTGCTGGAATTACAGGTGTAAGCCACTGTGCCTGGCTTACAATTTTCTTTTACTGTCCTTATCTAGTAATAGTAAAACTCATCTTATAAAATAAATTGGCAGATTTCCTTCATTTTCTATCTTTTAAAATAATTTATATAAAGAAAGAAATTATTTGTAAAACCACACAGACTGATGTCTTTCACCAAGAACAAGCTTTTGATTCTTGATTTTTGTGGTTGTTGTTTTTTGGGTTTTTGTTTGTTTGTTTTTGTTTAGAGACAGAGTCTCACTGTGTTGCCCAGGCTCGAGTGCAGTGGTGTGATCTCGGCTCACTGCAACCTCCGTCTCCTAGGTTGAAGGGATTCTTGTGCCTGAGTCTCATGAGTAGTTGGGACCACAGGCACGCACCACCACACCCGACTAATTTTTGTATTTTTAGTAGAGACAGAGTTTCACCATGTTGCCCAGGCTGGTCTCGAACTCCTGACCTCAGGTGATTCACCCGCCTCAGCCTCCCAACGTGCTGGGATTACAGGCATGAGCCACTGTGCCCGGCCTGATTCTTGATTTGATTTCTTTATTGGTTACTAGTTTATTTAGGTTTTTATTTCTTATTGAAATTATCTTTTACCTATCATTTATATTTTCTTCTCAATAATTACCCATTTTATGTAAATTAAAACATTTATTCACATAAATTTGTCTAAAATATCACTTTATGATTATCAAAATTTCTACAGTATCTAATCTGATGTTCTCTTTTCATTTTTTATTTCTTCCAGTGAATATTTCTTTCTTGCACCAATTTTTTTTTTTTCTTTTCTTTTTTTTTTTGAGACGGAGTCTTGCTCTGTTGCTCAGGCTAGATGGAGTGCAATGGTACGATCTCGGCTCACTGCAACCTCCATCTTCTGGGTTCAAGTGATTCTTCTGCCTCAGCCTCCCAAGTAGCTTGGGTTACAGGCGTGCACCACCCCGCCCGGCTAAGTTTTGTATTTTTCGTAGAGCTGGGGTTTTGCCATGTTGGCCAGGCTGGTCTTGAACTCCTAACCTCAGGTGATCCACCCAGCTTGGCCTCCCAAAATGCTGGGATTACAGGTGTGAGCCACCGTGCCCGACCCTTTTTTTCTTTTTCTTTGACTAGTCTTGTCTATTAGTTATTTCAAAGAAGTAGCTTTGATTCTATTGAACCTCAATGTATTTCTTACAATGCTATTGAGGTATAATTTACACATAAAATTCATCCATTTACAAAAATGAAAGTTTAAAATTCAATTATTTTTGGCAAATTTACCAAATTATGAAATTGTCACCATTGTGCAGTTTTAGGACATTTTCATCACCCCAATTAGACTGTTTATTGTTCATGTACAGTTAATTCCCATTTCACACCCAGCTCCAGGCAACCATTAATCTACTTTCTGTCTGTATGGATTTGCCTTTTCCAGACATTTCATATAAATGGAAATTTATAGAACACAGGGCCTTTTGTGTCTGGCTTCTTTGACTTAGTGTTATTGAATGAATGAACCTCTCCGTTTTTCTTTCCCTTCCTTCCTCCCTCCCTCCCTTCCTTCCTTCCCTCCCTCCCTCCCTCTTTCTCTCTCCTTCTCTTCCTTTCCTTTTTCTTTCTCTCTTTCTTCCTTTCCTTTCCCTTTCTCTTTCTTTCTTTCTCTCTTTCTCTCTTTCCTTTCTCTCTTTCTTCCTTTCCTTTCCCTTTCTCTTTCTTTCTTTCTCTCTTTCTCTCTTTCCTTTCTCTCTCTCTTTCTCTCGCTTGCTTGCTTTTCTGGAGCTCTCAGAGCTGGTCAGAGCCCTCCAGGCCTACAGCTTTCGTGGAGTCAGAGCCTTCATCTCCTAGTATGGAAGCAACCCTCTTGGTCTCCCCACCCGCTTCGTACAGTTGGCCAAATGGTCTGAAACAAATGAAAGACCTGCCTTTCAGCATGTTTTGGGAGGTTCAGACAGCGCCTGACTCAATGAGAACGGTCAGCGACGAGCGGCGTTTCCTTCTTTTAAAGACCCTCTACAATTCCAGGCACTCCTGCAGCTGTGGAAACATTCCGAACGGCTTAGCAACCAGGACACCCTCTGCGCCGACCACTACCAGCATCGCAGGCTTCTTGAGCTGGCTTTCCCAGTGGAAAACCATGCTTGGTGTTTGCACACTGTTCAAAGGATGTTTTCGAACAAAGCACCGAGGAAGGGGCGAAAACACCTCAACACAGCCGTTCTCTGGGGTTGGAGCTATTGAACTGTGACATTTGCGAAGACTCAACTTGTTTATGACACGGTCCAAATAATAACCCTTGCAGACTGCCCGCCCCCCCCCCCCACCCCCAGCACTCTCCTTAGATTCAGGTAAAAGCATGTTATAACCGTCTATAGGACAAACAGGCAACAGTAGCAGTGAAGTGACTCAAGTAGCCAGGATCGAGAATGAAGGTGCTCAAAGAAGACTTTAGTTTGATCTGTATGTAGTGCGCTCATCTTTTTTGAAACTAGGAAATTAAAAATTAGAATAAAGTTTTTATTTAATATGCAAATACATCCGCAAACCCATCAGGAAACATAAGAGAAATCAGTGCCAAAGGAGCTCTTTCTCCCAGCCCTCTAATCCTGGCAGGTTTGTGGATCGTGGACGGGGAGCCCCTGGAAAGGACCGCGCCGGGAAGCCGGGCCCTGCAGGGACTGGCCGCGGCTGCACCGGCGTTGCCCGTCGCACACTAGGAGGCAGCACCGCGCCGAGGAACCCGCAGCAGACGGGCAGCCAGCGTGTGTGCCTGGGGCGAGTGCCCTCGCCTGCCGGCGTCCCCATCGGAAAAGTGGGGGCGAGGGCAGCCTAGCGGAATAGCTGCGGGAGGATTAAATGAACGAGTGCAGGTTCACCTTCTGGGCGCTGACAACGATCCGTGGGCTCTCGCGAAATGCCAAGTCGCCGTCCCGCTTGCTCCCATAAAAGTTTTGGGAGCCACGCGGCGCGGCGGGCGGGCTCCTGAGTCCATGAGCGGTCCCACCGAGCGGTCCCCGAAGCTTCCCCAAAGCCCAGCCCGCGGCTCGCGGAGCGTGGTGTGGGGGGACTACAGTTTCCAGAGTGCCCTGCGGCGACGGGCGGAGCCGGGGAGCGCCCGCAGCCAATTAGGGGGTCCCGGGGCTCTGCCGGGGAGCGGCGGGTGGAGCCGGGCCGGTGGGCGGGCGCGGGGACGGTCCCCTGGAACGGGTCCGAGGCTCTCGCAGGCAGGGCTGGGCCGGGCAGGAGCTGCGAGGCCGGCACAAGGGAGGCGGCCCTGGGGACCTGACAGGGCGGGGGCGGGGGCGGGCACGCCGCCGCCTGCGCGGTTCCGGGTGCTCCCGGCGCGGCGCTGCCCAGGGCACACTTGACCGAGGTCGGGCTGCGGGGAAAGGCGGGTCTGGGGAGAACCCCGAGAGACGCGGCGTCCTCCAACTCCTCCTCCTTCTCCTCGCGGCCGCCGAAGCCACAGCCCGAGCCCGAGCCCGAGCCCGAGCCGGCGCCACCGCGCCCCCGGCCATGGCTTTTGCCAATTTCCGCCGCATCCTGCGCCTGTCTACCTTCGAGAAGAGAAAGTCCCGCGAATATGAGCACGTCCGCCGCGACCTGGACCCCAACGAGGTGTGGGAGATCGTGGGCGAGCTGGGCGACGGCGCCTTCGGCAAGGTTTACAAGGTGAGGGCGCTGAGGTGGGTGGCCGGACGCGCGTCGAGGGGCTCCGGAAGGAAGGGATGCCTGAGCCGGACCCGGCCAGCCTGGCTCCGGCTCCGAGGGCTGCCCGGCGCTGAATTCGGGGTCCCTGGCCCTCATCCCGATGACTCTTGTTTTTTGGGGGGAACATCACTCGGCCCGGCCGAGTCCCTGCGCTCTGGGCGCCCCCTCCGGGCACGGTTGCCGCCCCCACCCTAGCCCTGTTTCGGAGCACTTCCTGTGTGTCCTGCACTGCGCTCGGCGCCGCACGGGGAGACAAAGGGGCGTTGACAGGACCTCAGCATCCGAGAGGGCCACTCGAGGGACCTTCCAGGGACGTTCCGTAAAACGGCGATACGGGCACACTTTTTTTTTTAAGAGAGACCACAGATGCTGTGGGAATATCGAGGCGATGTGGACCGAGAAACTCGGCTGCGCTTGGACGGGTTGGGAGCTAGGGACACATCTGAAGATGAGCCAGAGACAGGGAAGTGGGGTGGGCGAGGGGTGGCCCATGGACTGAGAGGTGGGGCTTGGAAAGGTGGGTTGGGGCTGGTCAGAGGGGGAGGTCAGGATCTGGTGAATGCTGAGCCTGGGGGAACAGATTTGATTCCGTCGGTCTGAGTCACAGCTGGGGAGTCTCCCAGCCTGCAGTCACCTCTCCCCTAGAGGAAGACGCGGCAGAGAGCTTTTGTGGAGTGGGTGGGGCAGAGCTGATTGAGTCTAGAGAAGTGTGGCAGCAGGACGTTGGTTTCTGCTCCTGGGAGCTAATTCTGAGGTGGTGAGTTGTTTTAGGGAGCCAACACCTACAGCTTGACTCCCCCCTTTCCCCTAAGAAAATTTTTACTGGGAGACGCCCACTTGTTAAATTGGTGTATACCTCCAGGAGAGCACCTCTCTTCTAAGCCACTATCCTCCTCCTTGGGGCTCCTGTAGCTTGTAGGGCACTCTGACCCTAGGATTGCCGTTCTATGAGGCTGGACCACAGAGAAGGCTTCTCCAGGCCTTCTCCTCTGACTTGGAAGTGGTCTATCGCCTAGTTACCGAAGTAGTTCCTAGATGACCGGTGTTATAATAGCATCATTTGGGAGCTTGTCAGAAGTGAACAATCTCATGCCCAGCCCCGACCTGCTGAATTAGAGTCTACGTTTTAATAAGATCCCAGGTGATTCCTAAGCAAATAGGTTTGAGAAGTACTGCCCTAGAGGCTTGGAGTGGTGGCGTTTTTTCTTTTTTCTTTTCTTTTTTTTGAGACAGGGTTTCCCTCTGTTGCTCAGTCTGGAGTGCAGTGGCCCGATCTCGGCTCACTGCAACCTCTGCCTCCTGGGCTCAAGCAATTCTCCTGCCTCAGCCTTCGGAGTAGCTAGGTCTACAGGTGCACACCACAGCCCGGCTAATTTTTGTATTTTTTGTAGACTTGGGGTTTCGCCACGTAGCCCAGGCTTGTCATGAACTCCTGAGCTCATGAAATCAGCTCGTTTCAGCCTCCCAAAGTGTTGGGATTACAGCGGTGAGCCACCCTGCCTGACCTGGAGCGGTGGCAATTTTGAGACCAACCAGGCCCACTCAGTGTCTTTTTTTATTTTTATTTTTTGTGAGACGGAGTCTCACTCTATTGCCCAAGCTGGAGTGCGGTGGTTTGATCTCGGCCCTCACTGCAACCTCCACTTCCTGGGTTCAAGCAATTCTCCTACCTCAGCCTCCCAAGTAGCTGGGATTGCAGGCACACACCACCATGCCTGGCTAATTTTTGTTTTTTTAGTAGAGACGGGGTTTCACCATGTTGTCTAAGCTGGTCTCGAACTCCTGACCTCAGTTGATCCACCCACCTCGGCCTCCCAAAGTGTTGGGATTACAGGCGTGAGCCACTGTGCCTGGCCTGGTGCCTGTTTTGTTTCCTTGCCACCTCCCCTCTGAGCCCACACTTCCTGTTATGGGGTAGGGAGAGGTCTTGTGATCCGAGAGGCAGTGCTTTTGGACTGCCCCGACTTGCTGTCCTCCTTTGCCTGAGGGCCTTGCCCATATTTGAGGGCAGCCAGCTCACCCTGTCCTCAGCACGTCTTTTCTTTACTCTCCTCAGAGCTGCATCTTCTTCCTGGTGGCACCAGAGAACGATCCTCAGCCTTGCAACTGTCTCTGGACACTGCCAGTGTCCTTGACTGCCTTAGACAGAGCCTGCTCCTGCAGCTGTGCTCTGACTACTGTGAGGGCAGCTGGACCCCTGTGGTCAGCTCACCACAGGACCCACTTTCTCCAGAAGGTTCAGTTGGTGTTTTTAGCGTATGCTAAACATATGGGTTTTTTGGGCCGGGCGTGGTGGCTCACGCCTGTAATCCTAGCACTTTGGGAGGCTGAAGCAGGCAGATCATGAGGTCAGGAAATTCAGACCATACTGGCCAACATGGTGAAACCCTGTCTCTACTAAAAATACAGAAATTAGCCGGGCATGGTGATGCATGCCCGTAATCCCAGCGTCTCAGGAGGCTGAGGCAAGAGAAACGTTTGAACCAGGGAGGTGGAGGGTGCAGTGAGCTGAGATAGCGCCACTGCACTCCAGCCTGGCGACAGAGCGAGACTCTGTCTCAAAAACAAAACAAAACAAAACAAACATATGGGCTTTTTTTTTTCTCCGTTAGGGGCTTTCAATTGCATTCTTGTCCCCTTCCCCGCAGTGTGTCCTGGCTTCACAGGGTTCATCTTCCTTTAAACTTAAACGCAGAACTTTGCTTTCATGCTGGTAAGATTTCCCCTTGTCATTTTCAGTTGTGTTTCCTCCTGCTTTAGTCCCTTAAGACTCCCCTGCTACTCTGAAAGTTTCATACAAAGGAACTCATCCGATCCACAATCGATACTGTCTCCTCTTGGTTCTCCAAAGCACGTGGAAAGTCAGTTTTTAAAAAAGTGACTCCAGGGCCAGGTGCTGTGGCTCACGCCTGTAATCCTAGCACTTCAGGAGGCCGAGGCGGGTGGATCACTTGAGGTTAGGAGTTTGAGACCAGCTGGGGCAACATGGTGAAACCCCACCTCTACTAAAAATAAAAAAATAAAAAAATTAGCCGGGTGTGGTGGCGCGTGCCCTATAATCCCAGCTACTCGGGAGGCTGAGGCAGGAGAATTGCTTGAACCCGTGAGGCGGAGGTTGCTGTGGGCTGAGATCATGCCGCTGCACTCGAGTCTGGGGGACAGAGGGAGACTCTGTCTCAAAAACAACAACAATAAAAACAAAAAGTGACTTTAATTCTCAAAGTTGTGAGCTGTCTCCACCACAGCCCTCTCCGCCTACCTCCGAATCCACCATTTTCTCTTAATTAAGGGTGAGCCAGACCAAGAGAGCTGTGTGATTGCTGATAGACCTGAACAATCTATTACCTACTTGGCCTTAGCATGTACCCCTCTGACCTAAGCCAACCCCATATGTCCCGGTGCCCAGAGAAGAGAAGGGACTAGAATCCAGGGCTCTGGGCTTCAGTTGAACACTTTTTCCTTAGTCACCAGCTAAGGAAGACCCATCCTGGATCAGAGATCCCTGTCACCCAGGCTGCCTACTCGAGAGGTGCTGTTTACTCACCCCTCCTGCCTGAAGTCGAAGTAGGTATTGCTTTTACTAAAGACCCCTCTAATCAAGGACCACGACTCCTGCCCACTTGGTTTTCCCTGGCCTGGTTACTGAAGTAACCCAAACCAAAAATTCCATCTTGGTGTTATGGCTGGAACCAGAGATTCCATTTTGACACGGCACCTGAGAAAGCAATTGGCAGGGAGCTGAGGAGGGACTGCCAGTAGCACTGTTTTTCTTCTGACAGCCTAAGTGTCGAAGGCTTCCTGAGGTCTTTCTGGGCCTTGGAAGTCTGAGTTTGTCACAGTGTCAGGAGAGGACTCTGACTCCAGATTTCCTGAGGAGTCTTCACAGGAGCAGTCTCCGAGATATCAAACCTCTTTTTTTCCTCCTCTCCCTGATAAGCCTTAATGTGTCTGCCTCAGGAGAAAAAGAGGAGGATAGGATTGATTTTGTGCAAAGTCAAGCTCATTCTCACTCAATGCCTATGTGAATGCAAATTGATTTCAAAAGAAAACCAGTCCTACAAATTGGTTTCAAAAGAAAACCATTCCTAGTTAATTACTAGAATACAAAGTAGACTGTAATCCCAGCACTTTGGGAGGCCGAGGCTGGTGGATCACTTGACGTCAGGAGTTCAAGACCAGCCTGGCCAACATGGTAAAACCCCATCTCTACTAAAAATACAAAAAATTAGCTGGGCGTGGTGGCGCATGCCTGTAAGCCTGTAATCCCAGCTACTAGGAGGCCGAGGCAGGAGAACTGCTTGAACCTGGAAGGCAGAGGTTGCAGAGAGCAGAGATTGTGCACTCCAGCCTGGACAAGAGAGTGAAACTCTGTCTCAAAAAAAAAAAAAAAAGTAAAGTTTACAAGCTATATGGTTTCAAAATTCTTATCACTGAAAATAATCTTCATTTTGAAGAGGAGGTAGAAAGGGGAAAAGGTGATAGATTGAGTGGGAAAAGCTGACTTTAGCGGGTGTGCTTGCTGTGATAGCAGCAGGCAACACAGGTACTCATGCACACAATGTGGACAGGGAGCATGGAGAAATGAAAGGAGTTGGGTTAGCAGGCTGAGATGATTTTTCTGCTTCTTTTTGTTTGTTTTTAGAGACAGTGTCTTACTCTGTCTCAAGGACTGGAGTGCAGTGGCACCATCATTGCTTACTTCAGCCTCGAACTCCTGGGCTCAAGGGATCCTCCTGTCTCAGCCTCCAGAGTAGCTGGGACTACAGGCACACGCCACCACACCTGGCTAATTTTTAAATTTTTTGTAGAGATGGGGTCTCACTATATTGTCCAGGTTGGTCTTGAACTCCTAGGCTCAAGTGATCCTCCTGCCTCAGCCATCCAAAGTGCTGGGATTATAGGTATGAGCCACTGAGCCTGGTATCCTTCTTAAAAATTGCTTTGCCAGCCTGAGCAACATGACGAAACCCCATCTCCACCAAAAATACAAAAAATTGGCCGGGCGCGGTGGCTCACACCTGTAATCTCAGCACTTTGAGAGGCTGAATTGGGTGGATCATGAGGTCAGGAGTTCAAGACCAGCCTGGGCAACATGGTGAAACCCCGTCTCTACGGAAAATACAAAAATTAGCCAGGCGTGGTGGTGGGCGCCTGTAATCCCAGCTGCTCTGGAGGCTGAGGCAAGAGAATCGCTTGAAATTGGAAGGTGGAGGTTGCAATGAGCTGAGATTGTGCCATTGCAAACCAACCTGGGTGAAAGAGCGAAAACTCCGTCTCAAAAAAAAAAAAAAAAAAAATGAGCTGGGCATGGTGACATGCGCCCGTGGTCCCAGCTACTCAGGAGGCTGAGGTGGGAGGATAGCTTGAGCCTGGGAGGCAGAGGTTGTGGTGAGCCACTGCACCCACGCCTCTGCACTCCAGCCTGGGCAACAGAATGAGACCCTGAGACCCTGGCTCAAAACAAAACAAAACAAAAAATAGAAAATTGCTTTGGTTTTGATTTTTTGTTGTTTTTAAGCCTTTTTTTTTTTTTTTTTTTCCCTCTGAGACAGAGTCTAGCTCTGTCACCCAGGCTGGAGTGCAATGGTGCGATCTCAGCTCACCGCAACCTCCGCTTTCCAGGTTCAAGCAATTCTCTTGCCTCAGCCTCCCAAGTAGCTGGGATTACAGGTGCGCACCGCCACACCCGGCTAATTTTTGTATTTTTAGTAGAGACGGGGTTTTACCATGCTGGCCAGGCTGGTCTCGAACTCCTGACCTTGTGATCCGCCCGCCTCAGCCTCCCAAAGTGCTGGGATTACAGGCGTGAGCCACCGAGCCGGCCTTTTTAAACTTTTAAAAGATTTATTGTTTTGCAAAATTGGGAGTTTACCAAACAAATAGCAGCAATTAAGAAGAAAAAAATTACCCTGGGTTCCATCAGCGTCTGTTGACATGTTGATATATTTCCTTCTAGACTTTTGATGTTGTGGTGAATTTTTTTTCCTGCTTGGTTCTAATCATATGTATCTGTAGTGTTTTATTTCTTTTTTTCTTTTAGACAGAGTCTTGCTCTGTCACCCAGGCTGGATTGCATTAGCGCGATCTTGGCTCACTGCAACCTCCACCTCCCGAGGTGGGAGCATAACCTGAGGTCAGGAGTTCGAGACCAGCCTGGCCAACATGGCAAAACCCCCTCTCTACTAAAAATACAAAAACTAGCCTGGCATGGTGGTGGGCGCCTGTAATCCCAGCTACTCAGGGAGGGTGAGGCAGGAGAATCGCTTGAACCTGGGAGGTGGAGGTTGCAGTGAGCCAAGATTGTATCACTGTTCTCCAGCCTGAGTGACACAGCGAGACTCTGTCTCAAAAAAAAAAAAAATTAAAATAAATTAAATAATCGTATGCCAGGCACTGTGCTAGGCGCTTTACGTAATACGTAATAGAAGACAATTATCCCTTCGTAAAAATCACAGAGCTATGCAAAATCATGCAGTAAAAACCAGAGGCCTTATGGGAAGAATGGGGTTGAGGGCACAGCACTTAAAAACTTCATCAGTGGCGTCTTTTAAAAAAAGTTCAGAATCTAAAATCCAGTAGTACAGTTTTACGCAAGTTACGTGGAGAAGAAATACGCACATGCTGCGGTAAGTAGGCATTTTACCTGAAAAAAGATGCACCACATGGGTGGATGTGGGTGCTGGGAAGGCAGCAGCGTAGGGAGCTGTGGAAGGAGGTGTGTGTGCAATCTGATGGCAGATGCACATGGGTGTGGCTCAGAGGTGGTTGATGGATGTCAGAGGTGTGTGCCTGTGTGTTTTGTGCATTCCTTCAACACCTGAGTCAGCTGAGTGCAGTTTTCTGCATTCATCTGCGGCGTTCACTTGCTGTTTCTATATGTAACCAAATACGACCTTAGCATTATAGCAGAATCACTCCCTGGTATGTTGATGGTGTTGGAGCAAAGTTGGCAGGTTCAAAATAAGGGTTCTCACAGAGCCAACTGTATCTTGATGAACAGCTTTGTAGAGTTCTTGCTGTATGTTATTTTATTTTACTTTAGACAGAGTCTCACTCTGTTGCCCAGGCTGGAATGCAGTGGTGCAATCTCAGCTCACTGAAACCTCTGCTTCCTGGGTTCAAGTGATTCTCCTGCCTCAGCCTCCTGAGTAGCTGGGATTACAGGTGTGCGCCACCACGCCCGGCTAATGTTTTTTTTTTTTGTTGTTGTTGTATTTTTAGTAGAGACGGGGTTTCACCATGTTGGCCAGGCTGGTCTTGAACTCCTGACCTCAAGTGATCCGCCTGCCTCGGCCTCCCAAAGTGCTGGGATTACAGGCGTGAGCCACTGCACCTGGCCGTTGCTGTATTTTAATTTACCTTTTAGGCTAGACTTTCTTTTTTGAGACGAAGTCTTGCTCTGTCGCCCAGGCTGGAGTGCAGTGGCACGAACTCGGCTTACTGCAACCTCCGCCTCCCAGGTTCAAGTGATTCTCCTGCCTTGGCCTCTCAAGTAGCTGGGATTACAGGCGCCCGCCACCATGCCCAGCTAATTTTTGTATTTTTTAGTAGAGACGAGATTTTGCCATGTTGGCCAGGCTGGTCTTGAACTCCTGACTTCTGGTGATCTGCCCGCCTCGGCCTCCCAAACTGCTGGGATTACAGGCGTGAGCCACCACGCCCGGCCTAGGCCGGACTTTCAAAGGGAATTACTAGGTCAAAGCATATGCCTATTTGAGGGTGATTTTAAAAATAAAATGAGATAAATTAATACAGGTCCCCTTTGTCTCTTGCTATTGCTGAGAGCCAATTCCCAAGTCCTCTTAGACCCCTCAAGTGCACAGGGGGCCTTGGCAGCTGCTGCTCAGAGCTTAGGTGCCTCTGCTGTGTGCTGGCTTTAGGAGTGATGTGACATTCTGCCCTCCCTGCCTGGTTGAGAGGAAGCTCAGGTTAAGTGAGGTAGGAGCCCTCCCAGGCCGTCTTGCCCGTCCCTGAGCCAGAGTCTTCTCCTTTCACCTCCTCTCCTGCCTACTAGTTTGAAAGCTTGGGTTTCCACTTCCTCTGGGGATGGGGAAGGTCTCAGTCCTCCCCTCCTCCTCCGGAAAGAGATCTGGCCCCAGGCAGTAACCTTGTTTCCGCTCAGCCAAGTATTTTTAAACCCAAGTCCATGCTATTGTGAGTGGGTTTCTAACTCGTGACTCAGCCCTCATCCAAGGGGGTCTGAACTTCCCGTGGATGACGCCCTTCGGCTTCTGCGTGGGGCCCTGCCCACAGCCCTGCGGGTCTGATTTCACACTGGCCGTTCTGGGAATTTTTTTTGGCTGATGCGAAAGCAAGCTGCGGTGGAAGGGATCGAAACAAACAGATGGACCCGCCCTCCACCTAGGACTCTCCTGTGGCCTGGCCTGCCAAGGTTACCTAGATTAGGGGGACTCTCCAGAGGTTGTCACCCCATAGCCCCCAGAACAGCCCTGGGTGGTCACTCTCAGGCCCCCTGCTGCTGAGGGTAGTGGAACAGGGTGGTGGTGAAGGGAAGAGATTTGGGGCTCAGTAGGATCTGGGTCCTAGTCCTGGCCCTATTTGAACCCCAAATAGGTGACCACCTCCTCCTCTGAACCTGAATCTTGTGTCTGCAAAGTGGAGTTGGCCACAGGGCTGAGAGGAGTTGAGGAGGTGATGTGTTTAGCATCTGATTCTCACCCAGGAAGGGCTCAGGAAATGACGATGAGGTGTTATGATTGCTGCTCTTGGTGTCAGATGGAGAAGCTCCTGACCTGTCACTATGACTTTAGGGACAAGGCAGGAATACCTCGGTGTTGATAGCATAGCCCTCATACCAGCGCTTCCTCACCTGGCACTACTGGCATTTTGGGTGGGGTCGTTCTTTGTTATGGAGCTGTTACGTACATTATAGGGTGTTCCACAGGATCCCTGGCTTCAGCCCACTGGATGCCAGAACACCTCCTTGCAGTTGTGGCAACCAAAAGTGTCCCCAGACGTTGCCACATGCTCCATGGGGGAGGGAGGCATAATGGCTCCAGCTGAGAACCACTGTCTTGTGCAGACGAGCGTTCCTTTATTCAGCCCGGCAGACGGTATTTGTTGACCTCCTCTGTCAGGTCTCTGGGTGTGCAATGAGAGAGTTGGGTCTTTCAGTCAGAGAAGCCAGGGTTTGCATCCCGGCTGTGCCATTTAGCCACTGTGTCCTTTCAGGCAAGTGGCTTGTCTCAGCCTCCCTCAGCTTCCCCATGAGTACAGTGGGGCTGACTACACCTGCGGGAGCTATTGTGAGAATTGCCTGAGTAGCTCATACAGCGGGTATCCAGTTAGCCACCGTAGGTGCTCAGGATAAGAAGGCGGCCTCCCCTGCTGCTTCCAGTGTGTCATGGGGGAGGAGACCGAAAGGTGCTGCCTGAGATGAGAGTTGTACAGGGACAAGCAGGCAGCCAGCCGAGAGCGGGGAAGCTTCCACCTGGTACGGCAGGCGGGATGGTGATAAGGTGGAGGGAAGGAAGTCCAGGCCAGGAGAGAGGCCGGCCCATGAGTGGCCCGAGGTTGCTGACTGCTGGCCGTTGAGCCTGATGTAGCGGCCTGATGTGGCCTGAGGATGGGGCCACACGGTGTGGCCCCCACGCGGGTTGAACCAAATTTGACTTGATTGCCAGTATTTTTAAATGAAGAGATTTCACAGAAAATCCCAGATTTCGGTCTTCTCTGTAAGTATCAGATAATTTGATCCTGGGCTGGGCGCGGTGGCTCACACCTGTAATCCCAGCACTTTGGGAGGCCGAGGTGGGTGGATCACCTGAGGTCAGGAGTTCGAGACCAGCCTGGCCAACATGGTGAAACTTCATCTGTACTAAAAATACAAAATTAGCTGGGTGTGGTGGCTCATGCCTGTAGTCCCAGCTACTTGGGAGGCTGAGGCAGGAAAATCACCTGAAACCTGGGAGGCAGAGGTTGCAGTGAGCTGAGAAAGCGCCATTGCACTCCAGCCTGGGCAACAGAGCAAGACTCTGTCTCAACAAAACAAAACAAAACAAAAACAGGTAAGTTGGTCCCTTCTGTCTCTGGGCTAATGATGCTGTCCAAGGGAGTGTTACGCAGGCTATACAGGCAATGGCAGGTTTCCTAGTCACCTCATTCAAACCAGAGGAAAAATAGGGAAATGAATTTTAATGGTATATTTATCACTTCAGCATGTAATAAATGCAGAATTAAAGCAATGTGTTGTATTCTTTTTCATGCGAAGTCTTTGAAATTGGTGGGTGTTGCACTTATGGCACATCTCCATCTGCACCAGCCACATGTCAGGTGCTCGATAGTGACATGTGGCTAGTGACTGCCATGTTGGGCACGACAGATCTGGCCTCTACTGTTGCCTCCTCAAACCCAGTGGTCACTGGATTTGGGAAGTGGGCATGGGCCAGGGCCAGGCCAGATCTGCAATAGCATTTGGGGGCGTGGCTCATTCGGGCTGCCGTGACAAAATACCATAGGCTGGATGGCTTGCAAACAATAAACATTTTATTTCACATAGTTTGGAGGCTGGGAAGTCCAAGATCAAGGCTCCCACAGAGTTGGTGTCTAACGAGGGCCTGCTCTGCTTCATAGATGGTGCCTTCTCGCTGTGACCTCACATAGTGGGAGGGACAGAAGGACAGCTAGCCTTCTAGGGTCTTTTCTTTTTTTTTTTAAAGACTGCACTCCTTCATCCAGGCTGGAGTGCAGTGGCATGATCGCGGCTCACTGGCGGCATGATCGCCTCCTGGGTTCAAGTGATTCTTGTGCCTCAGCCTCCAGAGTAGCTGGGATCACAGGCGTGCACCACCACATCTGGCTAATTTTTGTATTTTTAGTAGAGATGGCGTTTTACCATGTTGGCCAGTCTGGTCTCAAACTCCTGGCTTCAAGTGATCCACTCGCCTCGGCCTCCCAGAGTGCTGGGATTACAGGCGTGAGCCACCGCACCGGCCTCTGGGGTCTGTTTTACAAGAACACTAATCTCATTAAGACCTAATCATTTCCCAAAAGGCCCCTCCTTCTAATGCTATCACCTTGGAGGTTGGGATTTCAACATAAGAATTTTGTAGGGACACAGACACTCGGACCATAGCAGGGACCAAGTCAAGAGAGCTTTGAATGCTAAGCCAATGAATTTAGACTTGGCAGTTTTGATCTCAAAAAATGTCCTGCCTGCCTTAAGTCCCCCAGGGCCTGATCAGGTCAGCCCATGTAACATTAGAGAAGGACTGTCTTTTGATGGGGGAGGAGGCCATGACCAGAGAGGCGACACAATTGCAGGGTGCCAGAGCCAGGATTCCTGGCTGCCCAAAACTAAGGTGGTCCATGCTGAATGGAGGCTGGGCCAGAGTGACCGACCCTGGTGACCGAACCAGGTGGGTGTGGGAGGGAAGGCCAGAGCTGTAGTTGGAACCCGAATCAGAGCTGAGGGAGTGAGGTGACAGGTGAGAGGTGACCAGCCTGAGAAGATGTTTGTGAGACAGGAGGCATGAAAGAGTCTAGGGCATCTTAGGAGATGGAAAGAGAGCAGAGAGGATGAGACAGGAAGGCAAGCTTGTGTCTGCTGCGGATCAGAGGTTGTCTGGGAACCTGGAGGAATTCCTGCAGTTCAAGCCTGGCTCTACCTCTTGCAGGCTGTGTGATGCTGAGGAATTTACTTATCTCTGCCTCAGTTTCTTAAGCTGTGAAATGGTGATGGTAATGGTACAATCACATAGGGCTGTTGGAAGATGAAATGAGACAACCCATGGAAACCACTTAGTCTAGGACACTGGAAGAAGTCATGTAAGTGTTAGCTCTAGATTGTTTATTGAGCACCTACTTGTGCCAGGCCCTGTGGGTTCCAAAGTGAACAAGATAGATGAGTAGGGAGTTGACTTTTGCTCAGTTCCTACATGTCCATCATTTATTCTTCTCGTATCCCCATGAAAGGTAGGGGGATATCCTCACTCCACACCTGATGAAGCAGAGACCCAGAGAGGTACAGTGACTTACTCAGGGTCACATAGCTTTTTTTTGGCAGGGCTGGGACTTGCATCCAGATCTTTCTGGCCAGGAGCGTGTCTCTTTTCTCTTGCATAGCACAGAGAGAAAGACAAACGGGCTTGTTGGGCAGTCCACGGTCGCTTCAGTGCGGTGTCTACTCTTGGCCTTGTGGTCTCTGTGCCCAGGAATGTCACCCTTCTTTGCAAGCGTGCCTCAGCTGGATGGCGATGGATGGTGGCCTCTCATGCAGAGGAAGTGGTGAGGGGTGCAGGCAGGACTAGCACAGGAAGTGGCAGGGGAAAAGGGCGGGTGTCAGGGCGGGGAAGCTGAGTGCTCCTGGGGCCCCTCCTGGCACCCTGGTGGGTGGGGCTGCTGGGACCGCAGCAGCCTGCAGTGCAGGGTGTCTCTGGGTCTTGTCAGCAGAGCAGGGAGGGTGAGTGCTGAAAGGCTTCCTTCTCCCTTCTCCCTCTCTCCACCATACTCACCTTCCACTTCACTCTTTCTCTTCCCCTTTCTCTCTGCTTCCCCTGTGATGCATTTTTTCCCTTCTCCCCCCATAGCTTACCGATTTTTTCATACTAACAGACTATAGCAGGGCTGGCACTTCGGGTGGCTAGGAGTTCACGACCAGCCTAGGAAACATAGGAAGACTCCATCTCTTCCAAAAAATTTAAAAAATTAGCCAGGCGTGGTGGCACCAAATCTAGTCCTAGCTGCTCTGGAGGCTGAGGCAGGAGGATCACTTGAGGCCAGGAATTCAAGGCTGCAGTGAGCTGTGATCACACCACTGCACTCCAGTCTGGGTGACAGGGCAAGACCCTGACTGAAAAGCAGGTTGTCTGAAAACAACAATAACAAGAAAAAACAGGCTATACCAGAGCCAGAATTAGACACTAAGACTTGGGGAGAAGGATGGGGACGAGGAGGGACTTTACCAATGCACTGGTGACTGAAGAGTTAACTCCAGCCAGCCTGGGTCAGGTGGTGCAGGGTGGTGGAGGCCAGTGGTGCCTCTGGGAGGAGCTGAGGGAAGCGCAGCTCCTTTCTGCTTCCGGACCATTGCCATTGCGCTGGCGGGTCCCCTGCCTGCCAGTCTACCTGTGACTCTGTACAGCTGGCTCCTCCTCATTCTCCGGGTCTCAACTCAGATTCCCTCCTCAGAGAGGCCTGTCCCGACCACCGCTCCCTGACCATGGTGGCAGCTGCCTGTAGATTTCCTTCAGGGCTGTTGTTACAAACTGGGATTCTCTTGTGTTTCTCCTTCTTTATTTTCTGTCCCCTCCAGCAGATGTGAAGTCCCTGAGGACAAGGAGTGATCTTTGTGTCCCCTGCATTTGGAACAGGGCCCGCGGAGGGTAGATGTTCAGTTCATAACTGCTGAGCTGCAGGCGTGCAGTGGCTCGCTCATACCTGTAATCCCAGCACTTTGGGAGGCCGAGGCGGGTGGATCATCTGAGGTCAAGAGTTCGAGACCAGCCTGGCCAATATGGTGAAACGCCATCTCTATTAAAAATACAAAAATTGGCTGGGCGTGATGGTGCGCGCCTGTAATCCCAGCTACTCAGGAGGCTGAGGCAGAAGAATAGCTTGAACCCGAAAGGCGGAGGTTGCAGTGAGCTGAGATTGCGCCACTGCACTCCAGCCTGGTCAACAAGAGTGAAACGCCGTCTCAAAAAAAAATTAAACAACAACAACAACAAAAAATACCTGCTGAGCAATTGAAAGGATGAGTGAGTGAATGCCGGGCCTCGCTTGTTGCCTCTCCCTGGACAGGCCCCGCATTGTGGTTATGACGTGGCTACACTCGGGAGGCCGCATTGTGGTTATGATGTGGCGCTGGAATCAGTTCTGAGCTTCCTCCTAGCTTCCCTGCCTGTTGGCTGTGTGACTTTGGGCAAGTCACCTCACCCCTCTGATCCTCAGCATCTTGAGCTGTGACGTCTAAATCAAAACAGCCCTTTGCCCCGACTTTGCGAACATTGATGCTTGTGGCCAGCCCTCACTGTCCTGCCTCACACACAAGATGTAAATGTGGCTGTTACTGTGATTGTTGCCATTTCTGTGGGGTGACTTAAGCTGATCTTCCCCTTCCTGGGGCTTGACAGAGGCAGATTGCCTTGAGGCCCTGAACTCCTCCCTTGCCTGTTACACTGCAGGGTGCTTCTGGGTGGAGGGATGTAAAGCGTTCTGGGATCAGCCTCAGTTTGTTGCTCTCTCTGTTATGAAGATAAAATAAGCCTGCATCCCAGCCTGGAGACGGCACAGGGCTACTGGGGGGTCTGGTGGGATGAGTGTAAGGTCTCAGCTCCGTGCCTGCCCCAGGGTGAGTTGTAGTTGAGGGCACCAGAAGTGGAGCATTTGTGCCCTGGAGAAAGAAGCTAATGCTGATGCCTGGCTTCCCTTCACTCTCCTTCCTGGAAAGCTCCACACAGTCTTGTCTGGGAGCCCAGGCCCAACGCTTGGCCCTATGAGGCAGTTGCCACTGTCAGAGCCAGCATTGTCACCCTGAGGCAATGACCCTTGTCAGAGCTGGCGAACCTCCCTGGTCAGCCCTGAGATTCTTTCTACCCTTGCTTTGCATCTTAGAGGGCCCTGATACGGGGTTGGGGAAGCCTGAGCTCCCTCTCAAGACCCCTTCTTTTTGGGGGCCCTCACTGCCCTCCCCACAACCGCCACTTTGAGGTGATAGGAAACCCATCTTTGAGCTGGGGAGAGGTGACTGGGGCGCCTCTGTTAATGAGGAAACTGGAGCTCCAGACACTGGTGCTGGCCTCTGGTCTGGCTGCAGGACCATCTACAGTGGCTAGGAGAGGACCCCTGAAGACCCCAGCCCACCCCACGCGGGTCTCCTCGCCTCAGAGGCTTTTTTTTTTCTTTTTTTTGACAGAGTCTTGCTCTGTCACCCAGGCTGGAGTGCAGTGACGCGATCTCGACTCACTGCAACCTCCGCTTCCTGGGTTCAAGCGATTCTCCTGCCTCAGGCTCCCGAGTAGCTGGAATTACAGGCACGTGCTACCACACCCAGCTAATTTTTGTATTTTTAGTAGAGACAGGGTTTCACCATATTGGCCAGGCTGGTCTTGAACTCCTGACCTCAAGTGATCCACCCGCCTCAGCCTCCCAAAGTGCTGGGATTACAGGCATGAGCCACTGCGCCCGGCCACTTCAGAGGCTTCTGACCTGGGGATGCTGTTCATCTTACAAGTCGCAGCTCAGCAGTTGGCATTGCTGTGTAACCCTGGGCAAGTGATGTCACCCCTCTGAACCTTGGTTTTCTTTTCTGCAAAATAGGGACAATAGTGCCTCTCACAGTGGGACATAGGCATCTTTACACCTGCACCATCATGAGGCCAGTGCCAAGGACACACAGCCAGATGTGGCAGAACTGACCCAAGCCCAGCGTCACATCTGGATGATACCTAGTGTTGGTGGAACACGGGTATAGCTTGGTCCTGCCATTTGGAGAGCATTTGACAACATGTAAATCAAGGCCTATGCTTTTGGATGCGGCACCACGCGACCAGGGTGGCATGGCCCCATGATAGGGAGCTGCTCAAATAGAGGAGGGTCCCGTCACTCAGTGGAACATTCTGCCACCCTTGGAGATGACGTTGGGGAAGAGTGTTTTGTGCTCCGAAGGGCTGTGCATGCCATACTGTTTGTTTTTTTGAGATGGAGTTTTACTCTTGTCACCCAGGCTGGAGTGCAGTGGTGCCATCTCAGCTCACTGCAACCTCCACCACCTGGGTTCAAGAGATTCTCCTGCCTCAGCCTCCCGAGTAGCTGGGACTATAGGTGCGTGCCACCATGCCTGGCTAATTTTGTATTTTTGTAGAGACAGGGTTTCACCATGTTGGTCAGGCTGGTCTCAAACTCCTGACTTCAGGTGATCCACCCACCTCCCCTCCCAAAGTGCTGGCCTTACAGGGGGATTACAGGTGTGAGCCACTGTGTCCAGCCATGCTATACTGTTAAGTGAAAGTAAGAATGACCAGTGTATACAGTTTAATCCCAATTTTGTAAAGTATGGAAGAATATATTTGTGGCCAGAGAGAGTATAATGAGTGAATATTTCTAGACTTTCACTCTGGACCCAGCCTATTCTATTCTATTCTATTCTATTCTATTCATTTTATTTTATTTTAAGACAAGAGTTTCACTCTGTCGCTCAGGTTGGAGTGCAGTAACGCGATCTTGGCTTACTGCAACCTCTGCCTCACGGGTCCAAGTGATTCTCCTGCTTCAGCTTCCTCAAGTAGCTGGGACTACAGGAGTGTGCCACCATGCCCGGCTAATTTTTGTATTTTTAGTAGAGATGGAGTTTCACTCTGTTGGCCAGACTGGTTTTGAATTTCTGACCTCAGGTGATCCACCTGTCTCAGCCTCCCAAAGTGCTGGGATTACACATTTGAGCCACCATGCGCAGCCAAGGACCCAGCCTCTTCTAAGCGCCTTTCACGTATAACTCATTAAATGCTCACAACAGCTTCTGGAGGAGGAGCGGTTACATCTTCATTATGTAAAGGTATAAAAGGCTGGGAAGTGAGGACAAAGAAGTCCCCTCAGGGGCACACAGCTGGGAAGTGTTAGAGCTGGGATTGGGAAACAGTTCAAGAACGTCCCACCGCAGAATACCAAAGGCGAGTCCCTTGGATTATGAAAAGCTTTGATTTTCTTCCTTGTACCATTATATTTTTAAGATTGTCTTTAACGCACAGATGTTACTTCAGCACCACAAGGACTGTTGATGGAATAAACAGGCCGACTTAACCTCTCTGAGGTTTGATACTGTCTCTAAAACAGAGTTCATGAATGGACACGACCCCCAAGGTTGTGGTGAAGATTAAATGAGTGTCTTAAACACATGCAGGCAGGGGGCATAGGTGGCCCTCCATAAAGTGCTTCCTTCCTCACTTCCTCCTCCTCTGTGGACCCCGGAGTCCTCTCCCCTCTGCAACTCCGCATTGAGTCTCACTGTCCTCCTCTGGGTAGCGAGGAGCCTGGGAAAGGTGGGAGCGGTCCCCTGCAAGGAGGCAGAGCCCATGGGCACCTTTCACGCCTCCTTTATCAGTGATAGGTGGGTTGGATTCCCCATTGGTTTTGGAGAGCTAACATCTGAGGGCTCCCACATCCCCAGCCAAGTTGGACAGGTTGCTCCCGTTTTCAGCCAAGGCCAAGACTTGGTATCTTTGGGCCAATCCCGTTTGGGTTTCCGTATTTTATTTGCTGGTTCACAAGAACTTTTGCGGCTCAACATTTCCCTGAGCTGTGCCAGGGTGGCTGGCCAGGCTTCCCCTCCCTGAGGGAGACAGTGTTCAAGGCACGTCTTTGAAAGCCACGTCATTCTGCTTTTGGGCTTCATGATCTTTGCCATCCTTACATGTCACTTGTTCTGAAACTTGGCCATCTCACTTGTCGTTGAGCTGAAACTTGGCATGGTGATGATTGATTGGGAAGTGGTTTCTCTCTGCTTGGCAGGACTCAGCTGTGTACATCCTGGCCCAGTCGAAGGCTTTGGCTCCTGCAAGGTAAAGAGGTGCCATCTTTCAAAACTGGAGAACAGCCAGAGATTCAGAAATAGAAATATGTTATGGAGAAAGTCGACTTCTTATCACTTTCCTTTCCTCTCTTATGTGGAGGACCTCATTTCTCTCTGTTTGCAGGGAGGCACAAACACCAGTTTTATTCATTCATTCCTTAGTCATTTAAGAATACATACTGAAAAAAAAAAAAAAAAGGATACATACTGAGTGTCTGCCATGACCAGAGTAATAGATACATTGGTGAACAAAATAAACATGTTTTTAGGCTTTCAAAAACAAAAAATACACAGTTCCAAGAGAGAACAGTAACAACCAATAGTCAACTGGCTAACCCATAGTGGTTTATTGATTTTCCCGTGCGTCACTGAAATTGTTTATGTCTTCATCAGGAAACGAAGGCCTGGTGTCCTGGCTTCCGCAAGCACACTTAGCTAGTAAGTAGTAGAGTTGGGACTTGAGCTTAGGTCCTGCGCTGTTTCCACAAATTGCTCGATAGAAATTTGCTCATTTCTAAGTTTGCCAAGATGGGGACATCGGAGGGAGCGGGGTCGATTCCTGTAACAATAACTTTATTGGCTACAGGATTGAAGGAAGGAGAGAGGCTGATGTTCATAGAACCCAGCAAGGGTGGGCTCAAGTGCCTTTTGGAAAGAAGGGAAGATGATAATTGTCTACTCCCTGGACATACATGTCATTCCTTTATCCCTCTCATACCCACCTAGTCTCATGCACACCCATTCATGCCCCTGCCAACTCACTCTCCCATGCATCTGTCCATCCTTCCATTCATCTGCCCATCCACCCACCCTCCCATTCTTCTGCCCACCCATCCATTCACCCAACCTCTCATCCATTCACCATCCCACTTAACTCATTTTCCCATCCATTCCTCCAGCCCCTACCTCCCATCCGTTCACTCCTCCATGTGCTTGTCTGCCCACCTATCTTCCCGTTCACTCCCACTCCCACTGTCCCATCTACCCACTGGCTCTTCTGTGCCAGGCTCTGTAGGGTAGACTGAGAGGAGTCAGGTGGGCTGAGCCTTTCAGAGATCACAGCCAGGTCAGAGAATCTGTGATGCAGATGCCCAGGGGACAGGGCAGTCTGCGATGAAAACCTTAACAAGGTGCAAAGAGATTCTAGTCGGGGAGGTGGGCTGGGGTTCTGGGGAAGATGTCATGAGCTAGGCTGGGGTTGAGTTCGAT
This sequence comes from Homo sapiens, assembly GCF_000001405.40. Lineage (NCBI taxonomy): Eukaryota > Metazoa > Chordata > Mammalia > Primates > Hominidae > Homo > Homo sapiens. The sequence goes on along the minus strand of NC_000005.10, from coordinate 172,169,111 downwards.
TTTGCTGGCTGATTAAACGCAGGTAGGGAGGAGGTGTTCTCTGTGGAGGAGGGAGCATGAAGAGGGCTGGGAAGTAGGCAGCAGGCACGGGGCTGAGTGAGAGGGAATGGCGGGACCCTGGGGAAGTGGGCAGGGGCAGGTCATGAGGGTGTGAGTGCTGGGCCAGGGAGCTCCTGCGTTAGCTTGTCAGCAGCTAGGAGCCCTTGAGGGTTCACCCTGAGTGTTTCTGGTTGAAGGCCACGGAGGGAAAGAGGGGAAGGAGGGCTGGCACACTGAGCAGCTGGGCGGGAGACCCCTGGCATGACAACTTTGGTGGGCTGCTGAGGGCACAGAGCACTGGGCGGAGAGCCAGAGCTGAGCTCCAGGCCTGCCAGTGCCTCCTAGCTATGTGACCTGGGACAAGTCAGTTTCTCTGCCTGGGCCTCCCTTTTCTCTTCCATAAAAGGCGATGGTGGTACCTCTGTGTACTTCATGGGCCTGTGCTGGAGAAAGGCGGGCTGCTCGTTGCCCTGCAGCAAGAGACCATAAGAGGGTTTGACAGGCCTTTTTCATCCTGAGCCCGCAAGGACCTGGGCCTCCCAAGGCCCAGGCCCGTGGTGCATAAGGCTCCTGTCCTCTGCTGACTCACGCCTGCCAGCCAGGGGCCTTAGTGGGCTCTAAACTCAAGCCCATGTCAGCTGGCCACCCCGGCTCTGTGTCTGCTGTCCTCAGGTCACCCCCTTTGGCTTTATGTTGGGCCCTTTTCCTGCACATAGTCAGTTCTGCTGTGACCGTGGTTTTCTCTGGGGCCAGATTTTCTCTCTCCTAAATAGAGTCGCAGCCCTTCCTGCGATTGACCGCCTTCATCACCATGCAAAGATTAACTGTGTTCAGGCAGGGACAGCACAGCTGTACATTGTGTGACACCCAGACCAAGCCCTGCTTTGGTTCCAGTGGCCTGAACCATATTTGATACATGCCTGGCACGGCCGTCCAGAATAAAGACAGGGAAATAGGAACCCTGAGCCCTGACTGCTCCGTCCTTTGGCTCTGACCCACACCCAGGCTTTTCATCCGACAGGTCAGCTGGGAGCCTTCCCTCACACCTGCCACTCAGCCAGGTTGCTAGGAGACTTCCGTAGCAAATGATCATTGGGTGGGGTTCCTCTGCTGATTCCTTGCACATGTCCCCTTTTGCTTCCTAGAAAAAGAAACCCATGTTTCAGAATCTGGGTCTGGGACAGTGGAGTGAGTTTTAGATGCTCCCTTACCTCCGAAGAGGCATTTTCTGCCAGAGAGGGCTGGGGGTGAACTTTCTACAGTGATCGAAGTGTTCTGTATGTACCTGCTCTGTTCAATACGGTAGCCACAGTGTGGTGGCACGTGAAATGTGGCTAATGCAACTGAGGAACTAAATTTTTGCTTCATATCTATTAATTTAAATAGCCACGTGCGGCTAGTAGCTACTGTATCAGACAGTGCAGCTCATGTGGGTTCCGAAAGAACGAGGGTGTCTGTCTCTGGAACGTGTAAGGCAAGCTCAGATGAAGTGGTCTCTCTCTATGTGGGAGGCTTATTTGCACCAGTCCCAGTCTGCCCTCGCTGGGACCCCTGTGGATAATTGCCAGATGTCACTGGGTGAAAATCATCTTTATAAATCGCTTGACTTCATTATGCTGTGTTTTAGCTCGTCCCTGTCCATAGGCACATGCAGTTTTCCCAAAGGAAAATTGTAGCCTAGTTACAATTTCATTATCCTATTTTGTTATTTACTATTATGGCTTAAGGATTTTTTCTCATTACTGTATTATCTTCTTGTTTATCATTTAAGGGTTACTTAATATCCCATTAAGTTAATTTAACCATTGTCTTTAGTGATTTCACCTTTTTTCTATTATTATGGACTAATATAAACTGAACATGATCCTAGTACATTTCTTTTGTTGCCTTTCTTTTTTTTCTTTTTTTTTTTTTGAGACAGATTCTTGCTCTGTTCCCAGGCTGGAGTGCAGTGGCACGATCTCAGCTCACCACAACCTCTGCCTCCCAGGTTCAAGTGATTCTTCTGCCCCAGCCTCCCGAGTAGCTGGGACTACAGGTGCGCGCCATCTTGCCTGGCTAATTTTTGTATTTTTAGTAGAGACGGGGTTTCACTATGTTGGTCAGCCTGGCCTCGAACTTCTGACTTTCTGATCCGCCCGCCTCAGCCCCTCAAAGTGCTGGGATTACAGGCACGAGCCACCGTGCCTGGCCTGTTGTCTTTTTAAAAGTATTTCCTGGCCTTAAATTCCCAGGAATGAGGGATAATAGGCTGAAAAGGTATTTTCATGGCTTTTAAAACCTATTTCCAATTGTTGTCTTTGAAAGATTGAATCAGTTTCTATTCTTGTCAGTAATGCGTTCACCCATTTTACTACATCGTCTCCAGTGCTGGGTTGTCACAATTGCATGTTTTTGCTAATTTATTAAGTGTAAAATGATCCTTTCCACTTTTTTGGAGGAAGATTCTTTTGGCAGAAGAATTCCATAGTTGCTGTTGGCCTCTGTCCTACGTGTTTTCCATGTAGGTCTCCAAATCCTAGATTATCAGTCAGCTCTTTGGTGAGGTCTCAGTGAATGTCACCTTATAGATTATGGTGGGCTTGGGAATGAAGGTGGCCCTTGATACACGCGTGTTGTGTGGTGAGGCACTCCTCTAGATATCTGTTCCTTGCTGGAACAGCCCCAGAGAGAGGGAACTCATCTCCTTCTTGGTGGCCAATGGCAGGAATCCAAAAGGGAATTTATCGGCTCATGTAACTGAGAAGTCTACGGGTAGAGTCCGCCTTCAGGTACAGCTGTCTCCAGGTGTTCCACAGAGCCAGTAGCACTCCATTTGTGAGCCCTGCTTCTGCCATCTTGGCCTCACCCTCCGGCAGCCACTCTGAAGGAGTGGCAAGATGGGCTACAAGACCCTTCAGCCTTTCATTCTACCGATTTAGCAGCGCCAGAGAAAGAAAAAGCTGCTGTCCTGATAACTTCAGCAAAAATGCAAACAACTGGCCGAGCGCAGTGGCTCACGCCTGTAATCCCTGCGCTTTGGGAGGCCAAGGTGGGCGGATCACTTGAGGTCGGGAGTTCGAGACCAGCCTGACCAACATGGAGAAACCCCGTCGCCACTAAAAATACAAAAACAGCCGGGCGTGGTGGCGCATGCCTGTAATCCCAGCTACTCGGGAGGCTGAGGCAGGAGAATCACTTGAATCCGGGAGGTGGAGGTTGCAGTGAGCCAAGATCGCACCATTGCACTCCAGCCTGGGCAACAAAGAGGGAAACTCCGTCTCAAAAAAAAAAAAAAAAGCAAACAACCAAAAACAAATTTAAAGAGCCACCCAGGCACGACCCTGTTGGCCTGCCTTGGGACCATGCCCAGGCATCTCTGAACCAATGACTGTGACAAGTTTCATTTTCAGGCGCCCTTGGTTCAGTCCTCTGATTAGCTGGGCCTGGGGTATGCCCCGGCCCAGGGTGAGGTCAACCCGCTATGAATCCCTTGGACTCAGAGCGAGGGAGAGGCAGTGTCCAAAAGCAACTAGAGTTTTGAATCCACAAGGGGGAATGGATGCTGGCCAAGTCCCCCACTGCTCCCCAGCCCCAGGGTCAATTTCCCAGCAGCTCCAGTGGCTCCCAGACCTGAGGTTAGGGGTGCCCCAGGAACAGGCCCCTCTAGGCTCTTTGCTCTTGTGTTCTCATTTACTCTTCTTGAGGCACACCTGTGTCACAGATGAGACAAGTGTCACAGATGGGACCCTGGTCTCTGCATTCGCCTTGGTGGACTCAGCTTCCTCATCTGCAGAGTTGGGTTGGGGAGCTGGAGTTAAGGAGGGGTGGCTAATGTTTTCTCACTGTCCTGAGGTCTGTGATATCAGCTATTTCCCGGGAAGCGGTGGGAGCAACACACTGATCAGTGGGCAGCCGGGAGGGAAGGGGAGGGCCTGGGGGTGGGTCCCCTGCTGGCCTTTGTGCAGCTGACTCTCAGGAAGCCCCCAGCCCCTGACTGGGCTGGCTGGGCCCCTTGGGTGAAGCAGTGTCCCCGGCTGGGAGGGTTATCCCCACCTCCTCCAGGCTGGGCCCCTTGCGGGTACAAGGGGGAGGATTGTTCCCACAGAGGTGCTTGGGCCAGAAAACACAAGTGGCCACTGTGTATCTGCTCGCAAGGGTGTGGGCTGAGGCGTTAGTCACTGCCAGCCAGCAGTGGAAGGCTGGGCCAAGGCTCCCCTCATCGTGCGCCGGAACCCGGCCTTGCTTCAGCCGCTGGGAGAGAGGGACATCGGAGGCCACAGACAGCCGCTTGTTCTTTATGCTATTCCTTGCCTGCCAACTCCCACGTGGGCCTCATCTACTTGGACCACCCTTAGCTTTCCAAGACTCACCCACTCCCTAAGACGGCTCTCATCAGAGCATGGAGAGAGTTGGACATCATTTCACCATCCATCCTCCCCCATATAGGGGGGAGACTGAGGCCCAGATGAGACTTTTGCAGAATATACAGGCATCTCTGGCAAAGCTGTCAGATACATGGAATTTGAACCCACATTGGCCGGAATTCAATTCCTAATCCTTTGAACCTGCTGTGTGACCTTGGGCCGGTGACTTCATCTCTCTAAGCATCGGTTTTCTTATATATAAAATAAAGCCCTTAATAGAGAGTTGTAAAAGTTAATTGAAGGGATCAACGGTCTTCTCATGCCCTCTCTCAGCTTTAGTGCCTCAGACCTAGTTTGATTTTCAGGCCCCCTTAGGGGCAGGATGGCTTTAGGCTGGAGGCTAGAAGTCAAGGAGAGCTTGCAGCAGTCTCAGCTGGCTCAGCAGTTGTTCTGAGAATGCATTTCATTGGCTGACTTGATCACATGCCAATTTTTTTTTTTTTTTTTTTTTTTTTAGATGGAGTTTCGCTCTTGTTGCCCGGGCTGGAGTGCAATGGCGCTATCTTGGCTCACTGCAACCTCCGCCTCCCGGGTTCAAGTGATTCTCCTGCCTCAGCCTCCCGAGTAGCTGGGATTACAGGCATGCACCATCACGCCCAGCTAATTTTTGTATTTTTAGTAGAGGTGGGGTTTCACCATGTTGGCCAGGCTGGTCTCAAACTCCTGACCTCAGGTGATCCACCTGCCTAGGCTTCCCAAAGTGCTGGGATCACAGGGGTCAGCCACCGCGCCTGGCCACGTGCCTATTCTTGAGCCAATCACTGTGGCCAGAGGGAGCGCGGTATTCTGATTGGCCAAGATGAGTCCCTACCCACTTCTAGATATTGTATTTTAGGGACTGGAAATGAGGGCAGGTTGGTCCCTGCTGAAGAAAAATCGGGGAAGGGTGAATTATGATATGGGAGGGCAGTGATTCCCTCATGCAAATTTTCCTAGGCAGAAAATTGCTTGTCTTGTTCATTAGAATTTAGCCAAGTAAATAGTGGTTGAATGAATGACTAGGGAATAAGCTGCTTCCTGGCAGTGTGGTGTAGTGAACACTAGGCCGGGAGTCAGGAGGCCACTGTGACAGCTCACAGTCCTGCTGGATTCCCAAGCCTCAGTCTGCTCACTTGGGAAACCGGCACCAAGGCTAACGCTGGCCTTAACGGTTTGTTGGCAGATGACATTCTGGCTGCCTGAGCACTCCTCAGCTGCCAGGCACTCCCTTGCTGTGAGTGGTTGCTATTGGCTGTGATTGTCATTCATCTTTAGCAAAGGGAGATAGAACAGGGAGCTCTGGACAGTCATCAGGAAAGGTCTTTGGGGGAAATGTTTTGGAGGTAAGGAAGGCTTGAATTGGATCCAGCCTTTACCCTCCACCCCCACTCGCTGTGTGACCTGAGGCACATCACCCCACCTCTCTGAATCTTTTTCCTCATCTGTAAACTGGCAATAATATTTGTCTTTAAGGGCTGGATGGAGGATGAAGTGAGAAATTCCGTTTAAGTCCTGTCCTGGAACACAGAGAGTGCTCAGTCAGTGTTAGCTGTTTTTATCATCAGCCGTATTACATCTCCTGTGGCCTCAAGGTGATGGATTGCTGCCTCAACGAGGCTTTGAAAGAATTTAATTTTGGCCAAGTCACTTTTTGGTCCGTGGTTCCTACTAACCTCTGTCTGGCAGGTTCTGGTCTCCATGGAATCTGAGTGAGGTGCTGGGTAGCGGGCGTGCCTTGTGTTGACACTGGTACTGGCTGAGGCCTGGCCGTCTGGTCAGTGCTGCCTTTCAGGATGGTGGGCAAGGCAAGGTTTGTGCACTCCTGGAAAATGGTCCCCACCTGGGCCTCCTCCACCATCAGGAGACAACATCCCTTTTCAGGAAACCCAGGTAAAGGTGACATGCGGCCTTCTTTGCCAGCTTTCAGGACTGAAAGATGAGTGATTGAAGGGGGGCCCTTGGCCAGCTCAGCATGGTCAAGGTGGTTGCCTTGGTCACTGGCCCTGGCTCTAGCCACTCCACTAAGCCTTCAACCTTCCTCTCAGGAAAGGAGCAGAGCTGGTGTAACCTCTCTTCTGGGTTTGGAGAGGAGGAAGGGGAGGAGTAGGAAGAGAAAGAGGAATGTGTGCAGAAGGAAAGGATTCTTTCCAGCCCTCTGGTGGGGATGTACAGAAATCAGCTTTACAAGGAATGAAAAGGCAGGGACACAATCAGTTAAGACTGTGTGTGTGTGTGTGAGAGAGAGAGAGAGAGCAAGTGAGCGAGCAAGCACCAGATAACTTAAATGATGGGTGGCTAAGGCATTCTAAACAAGCTTTTTTTAATTTTAATTTTTATTTATTTATTTTTTGAGATGGAGTCTCACTCTGTTGTCCAGGCTGGAGTGCAGTGGCGCAGTCGGCTCACTGCACCTCCACCTTCCGGGTTCAAGCAATTCTCCTGCCCCAGCCTCCCGAGTAGCTGGGATTACAGGCACCCACCACCCTGCCTGGCTAATTTTTGTATTTTTAGTAGAGATGGGGTTTTACCATGTTGGTCAGGCTGGTCCCCAACCCTTGACTTCAGGTGAGCCACCTGCCCCGACCTCCCAAAGTGCTGGGATTACAATCGTGAGCCACTGCGCCCGGCCTAAACAAGCTTTCAAAATTGAGTTTAGGGGAGAAGTCCCCACAGAGTTAGAGCCACATGAGCTGGTAAATTCTAGGACAATGACTGGCTCTGGAAAATGGCCCATCATGAAATGTCCTTCCCTGAACTGGGCTCCTGGGCCCAGTGTGGAGGCATCCCAGGCTCTGGCCTGCAAGGGACTTGGATGGAGGAAGAATGTGGCCACCAAGAGTGTGCACACCTGGGCATGGGACTGCCTTAGTTCCAAGCCCACTCTGCCGCCTCATTCCTAGGGTACTCTGCCTCGGATCGGTCTCCTCATCTGTCTATGAGATATTGACAGCACCACATTGTAGGGTGATCCAGGAGATAAATGCACTGACACATATAAGCAGCACTGCCTAGTGCTGCATGCAGAGTGGATCAAGGGTCCACTCCAACATATTATTATCAATGACATAATATGACAAATGGCATATTATTATCACTGCATGGGATCCTGGGGACTTTGCAGCTCAATTAATGAAAGAAATATTTATCTAAACTGAGAATGAGTGTACAGAAAGCAAATGTGGAGAGAAATTGCCTGCTTGCACCACTCCTCAGTATTTTTTTATTTTTTTTTTTTGAGACGGAGTCTCACTCTGTCACCCAGGCTGGAGTGCAGTGGTGTGATCTCGGCTCACTGCAATCTCCACCTCCTGGGTTCAAGCGATTCTCCTGCTTCAGCCTCCCGAGTAGTTGGGACTACAGGCGGTCACCACCACGCCTGGCTAATTTTTTGTATTTTTAGTAGAGACGAGGTTTCACCATTTTGGCCAGGCTGGTCTCAAACTCCTGACCTCAAGCAATCCACCCATCTCAGCTTCCCAAAGTGCTAGGATTACAGGCGTGCGCCACCACACCCGGCCCACCCCTTAGTATTGCTTCCTTCCAGAAGGCTCCTTGGTGGGGTTAGGTGCCCTCTCCCACACCCCATCATAAGCATGCTGTCTCGTCACTTTCAGTAGAGGGCTGTGTCTCTCTAGCTAGACTTTGAGCTGGCCAGGGAGAGGGTTGCTCTGTGTCTGTATTGTGGGCACCCTGTGCAGGGCTGGCCCAGTAGTGCTCTGTTAAATGTCTGTTGGCATCTGGTCTTAGAGACTTCTAAGTGGTGGAGATTGTAGGGAGACCTTGTACAGTGGTGGAAAGTGCAGAAAATTTTGACGTTAGAGGATCCTGATGCAAATTCTGGTGCCACTCCCCTAGTTCCAATCACATTTCCCCTCTAAACCTGGACTTGCACGTCCGTCTGTGGAATGGGGGAAACTCCAAGCCTCGGGTCCCTGTGATGACAGGAATGAATGCTCATTGTCATCCATAGGGTGCTAGATGTGCAGGAATAACTTGGCCAGCCGGAATTTCCGGTGCAGTCAGGTTCCAGAGTTGTTATGGAAGGCAAGGGTGGAGCGTGATCAATATTATCCTTAGGAAGGTGCCACGGTGGAGACTAAGCTATAATATGTTCATTCAGTCCAGAGGAGCTCGTTTTCCCTGTGCTTTGCAATAGATTGCTGTTTAAGGTCTCCAGATGAGCAGCGTGCTTTTAGGGGCCTTTTTTTTTTTTGAGATGGCATCTCACTCTGTCACCCAGGCTGGAGTGCAGTGGTGCGATCTCGGCTCACTGCAACCTCCACCTCCCAGGTTCAAGCAGTTCTCCCACATCAGCCTCTTGAGTAGCTGAGATTACAGGCATGTGCCACCACACTTGGCTAGTTTTTGTACTTTTTAGTAGAGACAGGGTTTCACCATGTTGGCCAGGCTGGTCTTGAACTCCTGACTTCAGGTGATCCACCTACCTTGGCCTCCCAAAATGCTGGGATTACAGGCATGAACCACCGCACCTGGCTAGGGGCCATTTTGTAGGGAAATGTGTTTGTGGTTTTTTTTTCTTTCTTTTTTTTTTGAGACAGAGTCTCACTCTGTCGCCCAAGCTGGAGTGCCGTGGTGCAATCTCGGCTCACTGCAATCTCCGTCTCCCGAGTTCAAGCAGTTCTCCTGCCTCAGCTTCCTAAGTAGCTGGGATTACAGGCGTCTGCCACCACGCCCAGCTAATTTTTGTATTTTTAGTAGAGATGGGGTTTCACCATGTTGGTCAGGATGGTCTCAAACTCCTGACCTTGTGATCCGCCCACCTTGGCCTCCCAAAGTGCTGGGATTACAGGCATGAGCCACTGCGCCCGGCCTTTTTCTTTCTTTTTTATTTATTTATTTTTTTTGAGACAGAGTTTTGCTTTGTTTTCTAGTCTGGGATGCAGTGGTGCCATCTTGGCTCACTGCAACCTCTGCCTTCCGGGTTCAAGCAATTCTTGTGCCTCAGCCTCCTGAGTAGCTGGGATTACAGGTGCTTACCACCATGCCCAGCTGATTTTTTGGTATTTTAGTAGAAATGAGGTTTCACCATCTTGCCTAGGCTGGTCTCGAATTTCTGAGCTCAGGCAATCCGCCTGTCTCGGCCTCCCAAAGTGCTAGGATTACAGGCATGAGCCACTGTGCCCGGCTGTTTTCTTTTTTTCCTGTCACCCAGGCTGGAGTGCAGTGGCAAGATCTCAGCTCACTGCAGCCTCCGTCTCCTGGGCTCAAGTGATCCTCCCGCCTCAGCCTCTCAAGCAGCTGGGACTACAGGTGCATGCCATCATGCCTGGCTAGTTTTTGCATTTTTTTTTGTAGAGGCGGGATTTCGCTCTGTTGCCTGGGCTATTCTTAAACTCATGGACTCAAGCAAGCCACCCGCCTCGGATTCCCAAATGCTGGGATTGTAGGCGTGAGCCACCGTGCCTGGCCATGTGTACTTGTTCAACACTGGAACCCCATGCAGCAGGGTGGGTGAGATGTTTGCTGCAGCATTCCCCACCAACGTCCTCGCAGGATCCTTGGGGAGCTGTGGGTCCTCACCTCCCATTTCCCAGACACTAGCTCCTTGTGTGCAATGGGGTGGGATTGCTTGCTCCATTTACATGATTATTTCTCTCTCTTTTGAATTGTGGTAAAATATACAGAACATCATATTTATCATTTTGGCCAATTTTAAGTGTAAATTTAGTGGCATTAAATCAGTTCACAGCTGTGTAGCCATCACTGCTGTCTACACCTCAAAATTTTCATCATCCTCTACAAAAACTCTTTACCCACTAAACAATAACTCCCCATTTCCCCTTTCTAACCCCTGGAAACCTCTATTCTACTTTCCACTTCTATGATTTCAGCTACTCTGGGTACTTCAGGTAAGTGGAATTATACACTATGTTTCCTGTGTCTGGCTTATTTCACTTTACATAATGTTTTCAGGATTCATCCATGTAGTTTGTGTCAGAATTGCCTTCCTTTTTGTTCCTTTTTATGGCAGAATATTTTAGTGTGTGGATATACCGCATTTTGTTTATTCATTCATCTTTTTTTGTTGTTTGTTTGTTTTGAGATGGAGTCTTGCTCTGTCATCCAGGCTGGAGTGCAGTCGCATGATCTTGGCTCACTGCAACCCCTGCCTCCTGGGTTCAAGTGATTCTCCTGCCTCAGCCTCCTGAGTAGCTGGGATTACAGGCGCCCACCACCACGCCCGGCTAATTTTTGTGTTTTTAGTGAGATGGGGTTTCACCATGTTGGCCAGGCTGGTCTCGAACTCCTGACCTCAAGTGATCTGCCTGCCTCCGCCTCCCAAATATTCTTCATCTATTGATGGACACTTGGATTGTTTCCACACTTTGGCTGCTATGAGTATATAAATATCTCCTTGAGTCCTTGCTTTGAGCTTTTTTTTTTGGGTATATACCTATGAGCAGAATTGCTAGGTCCTAGGATAGGTCTATGTTTAACCTTTCGAGAAACTGGCAAACTGTTTTCCACACTGGCTGCACCATTTTACATTCCCACCAACAATGCACAAGGGTTCTAACTTCTCCAGTCCTCACCAACACTTGTTATTTTCCATTTTTTAAAATTATAGCCATCTTAGTGTGTGTGGAGTTTTCTTACCCTCTTATTCCTCACATAAGGAAGACTTGTTTTGCCTAGGTGACATGCATCTACGAAACAGTTCCGCTGTAACTGGTGGGCACTTACGCAGTCTGCCTTTTCATTCTACTGTTAGTGCGTGGGAAATGTTGCAAATAAACGCATCAAACATTCCTATCATAAATTTTAAACAAATTTTAGGCCAGACACAGTGGCTCACACCTGTAATCCCAACACTTTGGGAGGCCGAGATGGGCGGATCACTTGAGGCCAGGAGTTCGAGACCAGCCCAGCCAATGTGGTGAAACCCTGTCTCTACTAAAAACACAAAATTTAGCCAGGCGTGGTGGTGCACATCTGTAGTTCCAGTTCTCGGGAGGCTGAGGCAGGAGAATTAGCTTGAACCTAGAAGGCGGAGGCTGCAGTAAACAGTGATCACACCACTGCACTTCAGCCTGGGCGACAGAGTGAGACTCCATCTCAAAAAACAACAAAAAAAATTTTTAAACAGATTTAAAAAAATGTTTTTTCTTTTGGGATGGAGTCTCACTCTGTCACCCAGGCTGGAGTGCAATGGTGTGGTCTCTGCTCACTGCAACCTCTGCCTCCCGGGTTCAAGCGATTCTCCTGCTTCAGCCTCCCCAATAGCTGGGACTACAGGCGCATGCCACCACACTGGCTAATTTTTGTATTTTTGGTAGAGATGGGGTTTCACTATGTTGGCCAGGCTTGTCTCGAACTCCTGACCTTGTGATCTCCCTGCCTTGGCCTCTCAAAGTGCTGGGATTACAGGTGTGAGCCACCGCACCCGGCCTAGATTTTAAATTTTAAACAGAGTGAAAGTACCCTTTGAATGCCTCCCTATTTCTGGCCCCTCCCCAGCCTGCTGTCAGGCAGTATCTTTCCTGAGTTTTCCATACATTCACAGATGCTTGTGAGCATGTATGAAGGCGTAGTTTTCCATTTTTTATGCAAAAAGTATTGTGCCATTTTTATTGTTCAATGACTTGGGTTTTTTTCTTCGTTTTTTACTGAACAAATCAACAGTCTTTCCATGTTGGTATTTGTAGAGCTGTGTCATTCTTGTATTTTTGTTTATTCCATAGTGTTGTAGGGGTGTATGGTACTTACTCTTAAGTACAGACATGATGTGTGGCTATTGTTAAGAACAATGTACGTTCCGGTTCAGCATCTGGACATCCGGCCTCTGTTTTCACACTCATGCAGGACTGCGGGCTCACGTCCAAAGGTCAGTTTCCTGCGGAGCATGCCTTGTTGACCTCCTGTATCTCCTCTTTGCAGGCCAAGAATAAGGAGACGGGTGCTTTGGCTGCGGCCAAAGTCATTGAAACCAAGAGTGAGGAGGAGCTGGAGGACTACATCGTGGAGATTGAGATCCTGGCCACCTGCGACCACCCCTACATTGTGAAGCTCCTGGGAGCCTACTATCACGACGGGAAGCTGTGGGTAAGGCTGCCGCCCTGTCTGTCCCAGCTCAGCCCCCATGGCCTGGTGCTCTGGAGCTAGCCTGGTCCTGAAGTCTTCAGCTCTTTCTCAGCATCTGCTTTGAGGACGAGGGCTAGGGCAAGGAGATGGTGAAGTAGGGAGCTCCTGGCCACTTACCCACCCTTTCCTGTGGTGCCTCCCCCTTGGGAGTAGAACTAGTGATTTGGAACAGAAAGCGCTATGGCCTGGCCTCGAATCCCAGCCCTGCTGTTTACAAGCTTAATAATCCTAACCAAGTTCCTAACCTCTCCATGCCTTAGTTTCTCCATCTGTAAGGTGGGGCTAATAATAGTACCTAGCTCATAGAGTGATTACTGCGATTAAGTGAGTTAATTCATGATAGGTGCTTAGAAGAGTGCTGGGCACATGTAAGAGCCCGGTAAGTATTGGCTGTTTTGTTATTTGTCATAGTAGCACTTCTTCTGCCACTGCTACAGCTGTTACATGGAGATCCTTCTCGATGGCTGCACTAAAGAAGGGGGCTCTTTACCAGCCCGCTATTCTCCATCAGCATCCTCACAGTGTGGTTGTAGCTTCAAGCGCCATCTTCCAAACTCAGCAACACCCCTCAACTTCTTTTTTTTTTTTTTGAGATGGAGCCTCGTTCTGTTGCCCAGGCTGGAATGCAGTGGTGTGATCTTGGCTCACTACACCCTCCGCCTCCCGGCTTCAAGCAATTCTCCTGCCTCAGCCTCCTGAGTAGCTGGGATTATAGGCATGTGCCACCATGCCCAGCTAATTTTTGTATTTTTAGTAGAGATGGGGTTTTGCCGTGTTGGCCAGGCTGGTCTCGAACTCCTGACCTCAGGTGATCCGCTGGCCTTGGCCTCCCAAAGTGCTGGGATTACTGGTGTTAGCCACCATGCCCAGTCCTCTTCATTTTTTTTTTTTCTAATTCTTCCAAAGAAATCCATCTTCTGACTGTGCCCTTCTCTACTGTTGGGCATTTAGGCTATTTCCTTTTCTTTCTTTCTTTTTTTTATTTTTATTTTTATTTTGCTCTTATAAACAACTCTGTGATGGACATCTTTGGATTTTTTTGTGTGTCCTCTGAGAGCTTTTTTATGAGAATTTTTTTTTTTTTTTTGAGATGGAGTCTCACTCTGTTTTCCAGGCTGGAGTGCAGTGGCACGATCTCGGCTGACTGCAACCTCCGCCTCCTGGGTTCAAGCAATTCTCCTGCCTCAGCCTCCTAAGCAGCTGGGATTACAGGTGCATGCCACCACGCCTGGCTGCTTTTTATATTTTTAGTAGAGACGGGGTTTCACCGTCTTGGTCAGGCTCTTCTTGAACTCCTGACCTCAGGAGATCCACCTGCCTCGGCTGCCCAAAATGCTGGGATTACAGGCGTGAGGCACTGTGCCCAGCGAGAATTTTTAAGAGTCTTTAATGTCTATTGCCAAACTGGCCTCACAGAGCCACTTTTGATATTAACCAAAGGAGATCTCCCATTGACCCACCCACCCACCCAGCCACCCACTTTCTGTCCATTCATCTTCCTCTCTGTGCATACAGCATTTGTTGGCCTGCTGACTATGTACCCATTAAGAAAAATAGCTATTATGTTTCTATTCCTGTTATTGATTGTGGCTGGGTACCAAGTTCATAACTTTCCCAGGTCCAAAGATACTACTTATAGTAGCTAGCATTTATTGAGAGTTTACTGTGTGCTTGGCCTTTTGCTATGAGTTTCACTTGCATTATGTGGTTTAATCTTCATTCTGTGAGGTTGTTGCTTTATCCCATCTTACAAAAGAAAATGAGAAACAAAAAAGCTATGTGAGCTGCTCCCCAGGCCACACAGCTAGCAAGTGGCAGAGCTGGAAAACCAGGTAGAGCCAAACACAGTTTGTAACTAGACTGCGACTGTCATGCTGTTGTTTAAATAAATACGCTAGACTTTTCCGTCCCTAAATTGTCACTTTAGGCTGGTGCTTTCTCCTCCAGGCCCACTGCTGTGGCCAAGACCATTTCTTTCCCTCCTCTATTGTAGCTGCCCTGACAGCCTACATTTGTTACTTTGTAGAAGGCCCCAGCTCCTCCGATTTGCCTTTTAGACACTATGAGATCAAGGAAGGTGGCCCTGGAGCTGGGTAGATAAAGAGGGGGAAAGGATGGCAGGCAGGAGAGACAGCGTGGGCAGCGGTGTGGAGGCATGAAAGGTACAGCCTGTTTGGGAGGTGGCTAGTCTAGGGCCAGGGCAGCATGTGGTGAAAGATGAGGGTGGTAAAGTAATTGGGGGCCATGTTGTAGAAGGCCCTGCATGCCAAGGTGAAGACTTATCCCTCCATCTTTTACTGCAGTGGTTCTCAAAGTACAACCCTTGGATCAGCACACCCTGGATCTTTGTTAGACATGCAGGTTATCAGGCCCCTCCTGAGGCCCATTGAGTCAGTAACTGAGGTGAGGCCCAGCAATTGGCGTTTTAAGGTAGGGCCCAGCAATCTAAGTGACTCTGATGCTCGTTTAAGCTTGAGAATCACTGTTTTAGGTAATGGAGACCCAGTGGTACTTTTTTGCAGGGGAGAGGCATATTCTGTGTTACAGAAAGAAGTCAGGTTTGAGAGGACAAGAGAAAAACGTGGAGGCAGTTTGAGAAGTGGTAAGAATAGACTAGGCCAGAAGCCCAAGGATGTGATGTGGAACATCATCTGGTCAGGGGAGGCTTCAGAGGAAGGGACATTTGAACGGGGTCTTGCAGAATGCATAGGAGTCCTCTGGGGAGATAAGAGAAGGAAGAACAGTCAAAGTAGAGGGACCAGCAAATGGGCAAAAGTGTAGAAGGGAGAAGTCCAGAGATACAGGTTGAAGGATGCACCAACCCTTTGATATTTCCTTCTGTGTGATGGTTCTCAGGCGCATCTTGTGACCAGGCCTGGGCCCCTGTGGCTTTAGGAGCCCACTTTTCCATGTGGATATCTTTGACAAAACCAGTTCTGGACCTGGGGTCTGCTCTCAGGGACTTTGGGATGAGAAACTGGCTGTTCCCCAAGTGTCTTAGGTCCCTTCTGTAGCCATGGCAGACAGGGACAGACTTTCCCCCGAGTGGGGTGGAGGTCATTCACCACACCACCCCATGTGCAATTTGACAAGATTAGCTCATTTTTGTTCAGAATTTGTAATCATGGCAAAATCCGTCTGTGCTTCCTTATCACTACTTCTGCTTTTGAATATCAAATGGTGCAAGTTGGAGAAAAACAAGCCAAAATGCTCTAGACCAGTAGAACTATAATGTGAGCCACATGCATCATTTTACATTTCTTTCTTTCTTTCTTTCTTTCTTTCTTTCTTTCTTTTTGAGATGGAGTTTTGCTCCTGTTGCCCAGGCTGGAGTGCAATGGCGCGATTTCAGCTCACCACAACCTCTATCTCCTGTGTTCAAGAGATTCTCTTGCCTCAGCCTCCTGAGTAGCTGGGATTACAGGCATGCACCACTACCCCTGGCTAATTTTGTATTTTTAGTAGAGATGGGGTTTCTCCATGTTGGTCAGGCTGGTCTTGAACTCCCGACCTCAGGTGATCTGCCTGCCTCAGCCTCCCAAAGTGCTGGGATTACAGGCATGAGTCACTGCACCAGGCCTATATGTATAATTTTACATTTCTAACAGCCACATCCAAAAGAGCAAAAAGAAACAGATGAAATTAGTTTCCATAATATAATTTATTTAACCCAGTGTATAAAAATATGATCATTTTGACATGTGATCCATTGAAAGAGTTATTGAGCTATTTTACTTTTTTTCATTCTAAGTCTTCAAGTCCAGTGTATATTTTACACTTTTAACACATCTAAATTTGGGAGCTAAATTTTCATCAGAAGTCCTTGATCTGTGTTTAGATGTCATAAAATTTACAGTTGAGAAAGGTAGATTCACACACCCAAGTTGTTCCAACATTCTTAAACGTTTCCCAGTAACTGAACCAAGTCTCAGTTTTCAAATTTAAATGAATTAGAAGAGAATGGAATAATACATTTAGGTCTCTACCGTCGCCACATTTCGAACACTCAGTAGCACATGTGTTAGTGTCTCCCATATTGGACGGCATAGACAGTGAAGCTCTAGATGACTCCCAGGGCCCAAAATGAGTGACTGCAAGAAGGCCTGGGCTGACCTCGTGAATGTCCTCTGCTAATAGCTACCCCCATCCTCCACCCCCAGCCCTGAGCCAGATTTTGGTCTCTGGGCAAATCTTTCAATGGCCGGGGGATCTCTTTTCCAACATGTATTACAGGAGCAAGAGTGAGTTCTTTGGGAAGAAAAGCTCTGGTGTCTGGCATTTGGCCCATTTCTGAATGCACATATGTCCACCTGATCAGTTTCAAGCTACCAACTCGATGTCATTAACAGAGTTGGGAAGGCCTCTGGCCTCACGGAGCTCAAAGTCTAGTGGCAGAAACAGACGGTATGAAGGCCAGTGAAGAAGTAGATGAGAGGACTTGGGCAAGTGACAAGTGAGTGGAAGAAAAATCAGTGGGGAAATGCAGTAGGCATTCCTGGGTAGGGTCAGGAGCAGGTGCTGTAAACACGATGGACAGAGAAAGCCTCTCTCATGAGGTGACATTTTAGCTGAGAGCCAAAAGACCAGATGGAGGCAGACCTCCAAATGTGTGGGGGCAGAAAGTGCCAGGTAGAGGGAATCAGAAGTGCACAGGCCCTGAGGCAGGAGTCTGCAGAGGACCCCACAGAAGGTGTTGCGGCTGGCGCGTGGTGGAGGGAGAGCGGCAGAGTAACGTGAACCGAGGCTAGACTGTCTGCAGCACATGCTGCTGAGCAGCTACTAAGTGGAAGGCCCCATGGTGGGGGCTGGGGATTCATCAGTGAGCAAGAGGGAAACGGTCCTCATCCTCATGGAGCCTCCAGTCTACATGTGGGAGACAACTAACAGCGCATGAACACATAACTCCAGCAGTGATCAGGATGGATATAAAATTGTGAAGTGGGCCGGGCGCAGTGGCTCACGCCTGTAATCTCAGCACTTTGGGAGGCCGAGGTGGGTGGATCACGAATCAGGCGTTTGAGACCAGCCTGGCCAATATGGTGAAACCCCGTCTCTACTAAAAATACAAAAGTTAGCCGGGCGTGGTGGCGTGTGCCTGTAATCCCAGCTACTCAGGAGGGTGAGGCAGGAGAATTACTTGAACCCGGGAGGTGGAGGTTGCAATGAGCCAAAGATTGTGCCATTGCACTCCAGCCTGGGTGACAAGAGTGAGACTCTGACTCAATTAAAAAAAAAAAAGAAAAAGAAAAAAAAGAAAAACGCAAAGGTCGGCCTCTGAAGCCTGCAGGTTCGCAATCCGTCTCCTGCCTGCCACTTACTGTGAGACCAGAGCCAATTCCTTCTGTCCTTGTGCCTCAGTTTTCTCAACTGTAGAATGGGGATCTTCACAGTAGTGCCTGTAGGAATAATTGAGCTAATAGTTGTTTACAAATAGAAAAGGTCTATAACAGGGCTGGGCACACAGAAACTTCGGTAAGTATCAGCTGTCACCTTCATCGTGCCTCTCCTTCACTTTCTGTTCTCTTTGGTCCCCGGCACGGGGCCTGGTGTGAAATCTGTCCATGGTAGATATGCACTGGGGAGATGAAAGGAGACAGGACGTGCCTGCCCTTGGTGGGGCAGGGGTCTGTCGCGAGCAGCCAAAGTCCCTTTGGGGTGGCCCAGCCCAAGAACGCTCCCTAAGACTTCCTGATGAGGAAGTTGGCTGGCGCCGTGGTTACCCTCCCTGAAGGAGTGACTGTGGGCCTTTCTCAGTGTGGCTTCTTGCCTCAAACTGAGCATTCTGTAAAGAGGAAGTACTGGTCCCAGGATCAAGAGCAGGGCATGGATGGGATGAGCCTGCTGTCCACATGTGTCCCCATATGACCACACGTTGCTGGCCAGGGTTTTTGTGGCTTGTAGTCCTGGGCTCAGAGGCCAGCCCTTGGTCATTGACAGAGATTGCATATCTGACCTCAAAACAGCCAAAACTGTAAAGAGAATGTGACACCCGGAAGTAGCTGACAGTGCTGTGTACTTTAGAAAGTTGTTCAGTGTGGCAGAAGGGATCTGGGGCTGGAATCAGGAGACCTGAGTTCTTCTTTCTTTCTTTTTTTTTTTTTTTGAGGTGTTGTTTCGCTCTTGTTGCCCAGGCTGGAGTGCAGTGGCGTGATCTCGGCTCACTGCAACCTCTGCCTCCCAGGTTCAAGCGATTCTCCTGCCTCAGCTTCCCGACTAGCTGGGATTACAGGCATGCACCACCACACCCGGCTAATTTTTGTATTTTTAGTAGAGACGGGGTTTCGCCATGTTGGCCAGACTGTTCTTGAACTCCTGACCTCAGGTGATCCAACCTCCTCAGCCTCCCAAAGTGCTGGGATTACAGGCGTGAGCCACCATGCCCAGCCTAGGAGACCTGAGTTCTGCCTGGGACCAACTGGCTGTGTGACCCGAGATGAGCTTCCTTTCCTGGGCCTCTGTTTCCTAATCCATAACTCTAGGGGCTTGGAAGGGAGGATCCCAAGGAGGTCTTTCTTTCTTTTTTTTTTTTTTTTTTTTGAGACAAAGTTTTGTTCTTGTTGCCCAGGCTGGACTGCAATGGCGCGATCTCGGCTCCCTGCAACCTCTGCCTCCTGGGTTCAAGCGATTCTCCTGCCTCAGCCTCCCGAGTAGCTGGGATTACAGGTGTCTGCCACCACACCCAGCTAATTTTTTGTATATTTAGTAGAGACGAGGTTTCACCATGTTGACCAGGCTGGTCTTGAACTTCTGACCTCAGGTGATCCACCCGCCTCGGCCTCCCAAAGTGTTGGGATTACAGGCATGAGCCACCGCGCCCGGCCCAAGGAGGTCTTTCAACGGAGTCTGCCCATTTTATCCTGGCCCTTGTATCTCTGCAGTTCTGAAGTCTGGATCTGTGGTCACCTGGCCTGGGGCAGCCCTTTTTGGCAGTTTTGGGTGCCAGAACCCTTTCCATTTGCCGTGGGGACCTGGTCTTCCTCGGGCTCCCTGGCACTCACCAACCCCTGCCCTCTCTCTGGATTGGGGCACCCGGTTGTTGGGACACACACACACACACACACAGACACACACACACACACACACACACACGAGCACTTTGTAAAGCACTTTAAAGTCTGCACAGGCTTTGCAGCCCTGGAGGTGGGTGTATTATTACTGTATCGACATGCCCATTTTACAGAGGGGACAGACACCCTAAGGCTCAGGGAGGGAAAGTGGGGGAGGAGGCTGGCAGCTCCTTGGCCTAGAGGGTGAATCAGGAGGCAGGGGGTGGTAACAAAAGGAAGGAGGCAGCAACATGATGATGTGGATAGTTGGCCTCGTCAGGAATGTTTTCTGTGCTAGGCCTGTGCCGGGTGGGCTGTTTCCTGACTATCTCACCAAATCCTCACAGTTCTGTGGGATTGAGTTTTGTTTGTTTGCTTTTGTATTGCTCTGTCACCCAGGCTGGAGTGGAGTGGCATGATCTCAACTCACTGCAACCTCTGCCTCCCAGGCTCAAGCAATCCTCCCTCCTTAGCCTCCCAAGTAGCTGGGATTACAAGCATGTGCCACCACACCCAGACAATTTTTGTATTTTTTGTAGAGACAGGGCTGGTCTCCAACTACTGGACTCAAGCGATTTGCCTCCCTCCGCCTCCCAAAGTGCTGGGATTATAGGCGTGAGCCACCACGCCTGGCTCGAGATTGAGATGTTGTCACCCCCATTTTACAGATGTGAAGACCAAGGGTTAGAACGGTGGAGTGGAGAGGCTCGTCCCACATGTCAGAGCCAGGCTCCAGCCCAGGTCTGCCTAGCTCCAAAGCCTTCTCTCCTGCCCCCTGGAATGCCCCTCTCTGGGTGCCAGGCTCTGGGCATCACTGGGAACAGTTCAAAGGATGTAATCTGTGACCCCCACCCTTCCACTTGAGGGGCCATCGTCCGGCAGAATGTTTTTTGGCAGGGCTTGGTGGTGAGGAGGCCTGTGCCGGGGGACCTGTCCAGCTGCTCCCTTGGGCAGTGACCCGGGTGCGGTTGGTGGCCCAGAGCAGATGGAGCTGTGAAGCAGCAGGTGGATAACTGAGGGCTTTGCTGGGATCCCGCTGTTGGAATAGCCGGCCTGGGCTGTCTATCTCACATGCAGAGGAGCAAGGGTGATTGTCATTCCAGGATTCGCCCACCATGTCACCAAGCACGTCCATGTAGCCCTTCCTGTCAGGTCAGTGCACCATCTGACCTTGTCCTTCCCCTGCATTAGTACTCTCCGGGCACCTCCCAGCCCTGCTTCCCTCTGCCCCCCACCCTGTCACTCACACCCTCATTCCTTCAGTTGATCATGCACAGAGTGGGATTGGAATCTGCCTGCACCCTGTCCTGCTGTGTGACCCCAGACACGCCTCTTCGTGCCTCTGAGCTCCAGGCTTCTCATCTGGACGTCGGGGATGATAGTGCTGATCACCACAGTGTGTCCAGGGTTGGAAACCCAGCTGGCAGACAGTAGCAGTGTAGGAGGGTCCCAGACCTGCTCGTGGCTTTCATGGTATGACTCCAAGCCAGGCATCTTAACTAGCAGGACAGGCGTGTTGCTCATAGTCCACATCAGCCAACAGATGTGTGAACCACGCCCACAGGCTACGCAGATGGCAGGTGTGATACGATCACATGTATATTGGTTTTCATCCGCAATTCCTGGCTCATAACTCCCATAGCCCTTATTACAATGTTTTGTTATCATGTTGGGTGAGTTAGGCCTCAGGAGCAGGCCCCAGGAAACAGAGTCTCTCTCTTTGACCTTCTCCTGTCCTCCTGTCACCTGCCTAAGGCAGGACTCTAATCTGATTGTGGGTCAAGAGACCGATTCCAGAGGGGTCTTATAGGAAGGCATGCCACACAGAGAGGCCAAGAAAAGTCTGAGGCTGGGCACAGTGGCTCACGCCTGTAATCCCAGCACTTAGGGAGGCCAAGGCGGGCAGATCACGAGGTCAGAAGTTCGAGACCACCCTGGCCAATATGGTGAAACCCCATCTCTACTGAAAATACAAAAAGATTAGCTGGGCATGGTGACATGTGCCTGTGGTCCCAGCTATTCGGGAGGCTGAGGCAGGAGAATGGCGTGAACCCGGGAGGCAGAGGTTGCAGAGAGCCGAGATTGTGCCACTGCCCTCCAGCCTGGACGACAGAGCAAGACTCTGTCTCAAAAAAAAAAAAAGAAAGAAAGAAAAGTCTGAGCAGCAGGTCTTGCTGGGTTTAGACCGTGCACTTTTTTTTCCAATCACGTCTCTGTACACGGTTGTCAGTCATGCCTGTGTAACGAAGTCTTCATAAAATCCCAAGAGGATAGGGTTCAGGGAACCTCTGGACAGCTGACCAGGTGGAGCTTCCTGGAGGGTGGTGTACCCAGGGAGGGCATGGAAGCCCCTTGCCCCTTCCCCCAGCCTCACCATACACATCCCTTCATCTGTATCTTTTGTAATATCTTCTATAATGAATCAGTAAACATAAGTAAATGTTTCCATGAGTTCTGTGAGCCAGTTCCAGCAAATTAACCAAATTCAAAGCAGGGTTCGTGGGAACCCCAACTGGAAGCCAGTATCTCAGAAGGTCCAGAGGCCTCGACGTGCAACTGGTATGTGGGGTGGAGGGCGCAGTCTCGGGGCCTGAGCCCTCAGCCTGTGAGATCTGACGCTGTCTCCCGGTAGATAGTGTCGGAATTGAATCGGAATACACACAGCTGGTGTCCACTGCCTGTGTGTGGGGAAAACCCCCACATTTGGTCACAGATGTCTTCTGTGTTGATGATTGTGGTGTGAGAACAGAGGAAAAACAAGGTTTGAAAGTTATTCCTCAACAGCAAGCTTTTTGTACTATTTGAATTGGTGTGGCCCTTTATACATCCACACCTTTCATATAAGAATCCAGACATCTGACTTGGCCCCACGGGCCCTATTCCCTCGCAGGCTCTGTGCGCCAGGCTGGGTGTGGCTGCCCCTCTACATAGGTACATGCTCCCTGGTTTGTCCTGCCCCGGCCAGGTGACCACTCTGGATTCATGCTCCTTCCTGTATGAGATAGGAGCAGATGATTCCAGTGCTGTGGGAAGGAGTGTGGAGACAAAGGAGGTAGAGGGGGCTGTGGGGCTGTGTTCCGTTTTCCTTGTGTTTCTTGAGCTGCTTCCTTCTTCCTGGCCTTGGGAGTGGGTTGTCTCTGGTGGAACCTTTAGCAGTTGCAGCTATCGTGGCCTCTGTCCCCGTCATGATAATACCTACCTGTGTCTGGCATTCCACATGCATGATCTCATGTGATTGGCCTCCCACCTCCCTCGTTTAGACAGGGTAGCAATGATTCACTCAGTCATTCATTCACTCACCAACACATGCTTCCCCGGGGAGCACCGGCTGTGGGCCCGGCAGTTTAGGTGCTGGGGCACAGACACGAAGGCCTGCCCTCTGGAAATTTACATTCTACAGGGGGCAGGGAGGAGGGGGAGGCAGACAACAGACAATAAAAGTAAGGCGTATAGTATGTGAGTTGGTGACGTGAGTTGGTGACGTGTGCTGTGGACAACAGATGGACGCCACACAGTGTGTGTGTGTGCGCAGTGTTTTACTGTCCTGTGGGAGGTGTGAGCTTGCCCAGGACACCTGTTGTTTCTCCAGCCTTGCACGGGGCAGGCGCTGGTGCAGGGCTGTCTCTATGGATGGTGATTTCGGTTTCCAGCATGGACACAGCACGGACACAGCATGGACATGCTACTAATGGCTGTGCTGTACTCACTGGACACCAGGTTCTGAGCTACAGGCTTTCCCTGTGTGATCCCATGTGATCACAACCAGGGAGGCAGCCTCTACCATCACCCCCACTTTACAGATGAGCATACTGAGGCTTGGATCTCCGAAGTTACTTGTCCCAAGGTCATTCTGTTAGTGTCCGGCCATAATTGGGACCCAGGTGTGTCTGGCTCCAGAGTGGAAACCCAGTGCTCACCTTGGTTCACGTGGGAGCTTTGGTTCTTTGGAGACATATGTCCCTTGACTAATGAATCCGGGAAGGCTGGGGGTTGCCCTTAGGGAAGTGCTTCTTCCCTGGCTTTCTGAGCAGGCTCTGAGCGGGCCAGCGCGTGCTCTGCCTGCAGTGGCCACCGCCCCACACTGCCCCACCCCCGCCGCCTTGGTTTGACTCCTACCTGTCCCTCAAGGACCAACTGAAAGGTTACAAAACATTTAGCAATTTGAGTTGAATGTGCCGCCTTCCAACAGCTGGTGTGCTTTTCCCTGTCCCTTCTTACCCTTGTCCTGGGATTTGTGAGTCCATCTCCTGACCTCCTCCTTGGGGGTCACTTTCCTCAGGGCAGGGGCATGGGCCTGGCTCCTTCCCCTTTGTGTCCAGCACTGTCCTTAGCAGAGCTGGCTTTAGAGAACAGTGGCCAGAGAGACAGATGGTCAAATGGATGAAAAATGTCCCTGCAGACACAGAACTGCCTTTGTCTCTCCGCTAGGGCTGAAGTCCGGTTAGCATCTGCACAGAGTCTGATCTTAGCCCTGATCTTGGCATTTCTGGAAGATGGGATGGACTCAAGCTCAGGGGACTTTGACCCCAGAGCCAGTGCTTGCGACCTGTGGGCCAGATAGTACCTGAGGGAGTTAGGTCCCCTGAAATTGAGTCGCCTTGGTTCCATCCTGAGGTGCCTTGGGACTTGGGCACGCGTAGTTAGGTGTGCAACCACCTGAGTCTCCTCATCTGTAAAAGGGGGTGGGGGGTATCTAAGTCATCCCTTAGATGTTCCCTCCCCTTTGCCTCGGCAGGACTCCCTCCACCCGGCCCCATGGCACGTACACGCTTAGGAACCTCAAGGTCACTCCCTCTGTTCCAGATGCCCTTGCCCATGGGTGAACTCAGTTCACCCTGCTCAAGGGCAGTCCTAATTCCTTCCCCAGGCTTCCTTCGAATGTGGTGGGTGAGGCTGGGGGTGGAGGAACACGCCTGGCCCAGCGTTCCTGGGAGGCCTGGGGGTGTAGGCTGCCTAGTAAATGGCAGCATTGTTTGGCCTGGAGCTCAGAGATGGGGAGATTCTGGGACTCCACCCACAGCAGCTGGCTGCAGATATGCTAAGGACATTTCTGTGTTGACTGTTGCGTTTTTTGGTGTCTGCCTCCAGGGACTTGCTTCTCAGGCAGAGGCCTTGGTTGGATAACTTTTGTCTTCTGTGCTGTATTGGAGAGGCTAAGGAGGTTCCCAGCACCGCCCCACTGACAGCATCTCTCAGTGCAGGGAGGCCTGGGGGGCTGATGGTCATGCCTACCTCTGCTTCCGCAGGAAGAAACAAGCCTAGAGAGGGAAAGCAGCTTGCCCGTGGCTACACAGCTAGGCTGTCCGTGTGTCTTGGAGTCAGACTGACCTTGGTCTATACTCTGGTTCTGTCACTTATTAGCTGAGTGGCTTTGGGGAAGCCCCTTCCCCCACCAAACCTCAGTTTCCCCATCTGTAAAACAGGAATATTTGTATTGCTTATGAAATTAAGTGAAGGAATGCTTATCAAACACTTAGCGCCATGCCACGTATGCACTAGCGGCTCAGTAATGGCAGCCATCATCTCTTCTCTCTTGGTTGGCAGTAGAGGGAGGGACTGGCTTGCCTTTGTCCTGCTTCGTTTGCACAATCTGGCTGTCATCTCTGTTAGCCATCTTTTGGCTGTTCTGCCCCTGATTTCTGGGCATCTTAAGGCTACTGAATTTTTTCATTCATGTTTATTCATTCATTTATTCAACAAACACTTATGATGATGTACTAGGTCCCGGGCTTTGATATTGGATCGTATGAAGGGAATTTTTTTAGATGTAAACTGCTTCTTCAAGGATAAAGTGACTTCGCTCACTTTGAACCTACATAGTCCATGTTGCAAATGACCTTATTGCTGTTGAGAGCTTCATTTTCCAGATGGGAAAACAGCGGAGGCTCAGAGCAGGAAAGAGGTCAGGACAGCCCCACAGAAGGATGGTGGCAGACCCAGGACCATGTCCACATCTCCTGGCTGTGGCTTATTTAATTTGAGTTCTAGGAGTTTTGCTAACATTTATTTATTGAGCACCTTTGTGTACCCAGGACATGCTCTTGGCCTCAGGAAAGCCCAGGGAGGTGAGGGGATCCAGGCCCAGAGCACGGTGTGGTCACTGCGTGTTGATGCCTCACCTCTGGAGTCAAAGTGCCTTAATTTTCTTTCTTTCTTTTTTTTTGTTTTGTTTTTGAGACAGTGTCTTGCTGTGTTGCTTAGCCTGGAGTGCAGTGGCACGATCTCGGCTCACTGCAGCCTCTGCCTCCCGGTTCAAGCTATTCTCCTGCCTCAGCCTCCCGAGTAGCTGGGATTATAGACATGTGCCACCACACCTGGCTGACTTTTGTATTTTTACTAGAGACAGGGTTTGGCCTTGTTGCCCAGGCTGGTCTCAAACTCCTGAACTCGTGAACCACTGCGCCTAGCACTCGGTTTTTTCTTGAGGACAGCTGGGGCTGTGACAGTGCCAACCCAATTCCTGCTGGTCCTACTGCCTATACGCTGTAAAAGTTAATGTCTAAACCCTGTGGGTGGTCCAGGCTCACCCTTATCTGGGACATCCTGGCTTCCTTATCTCTGGTGAGCAAGCTCACTTGGTATGTGTGTGCTGACCAGTAGGGCCCAGAGAGGGCTGGAGCAAAGAAGCAGAGGGGCCTTTCCCCCCACCCACCCAGGGGCTGTGACCCAGCCTGTTTGTGGCTTCCTCCTTGAGGCATGAGGAGGGATGGGGTGCTTAGATCTCTGCCACTTATCTGTGACCTTAATCTTCCTGAGCCTCAGTTTCCCCATATGTAAAATGGGAATACAATAATACCTAGTGCTGGTAATACTCGATAACATTTATCAAGCATTGACTTACTATGTACCAGGCAATGTCTTTTGTTCTGACATACATTATCCTACTTAATCCTCACAATAAATCTTATGAGGTCCAGGCATTTTTTAGGATACCTACCTCAAATAGTGAGTGTGAGATAATCCATGGAAAGCACTTAGCATACGGCCCGGCACAGAGTAAGCTCTCAAATTGCATTAGGTGTCGTAGATAGGGATACCGAGGTTGGCCCAGGTTAAACTGCTAACTGCCTGCCTTGTGGGGATGTTGAGGACATGATGTAAAACCTTAGAACACCTGCACACATCGGGTTCTCTTTGTGCGCATTACTTAGAAGGGTGGAAATCAACTTGGCACAGCACTTTGGTGTCAATATTTATTCCCAGAGGGCTGGTCTGGTGGAGAAGAGAGATTTTAAAATCCTAGCTCTGTCAGTCCTAAGCAATATTGAGCTGATTCCTAATTTGCACAGCTCTAAAGACGTTTGTGTAGTAATCAGTCCCACGGCAACTCTAAGTGGACACTGGGCCAAAAAGGCAAATAATTACTTAAATTGAGGTGTGCAGGTCTAATGCTGGGTGTGTGACGTGTGCTGTCTCATTTATCCCCGCCTAGCAGGTGGAGATAACCATCCAGACCCATAGATTGGCCTCCTGAATGTGAACTCCCAGGAGATGGAAACTGTTTTTTCACTGCTGTATTCCCAGTGGCTAAAACAATGCCTGGTACAGGGCAGGTGCCTGATAAATTTATGAATGAATGGACGAGTTACCTTAGAGGTGTTGCGGCCTGCCAGGATCCCGTAGCAAGGCCCCAACCCTTACACGGCACCACGACAGCTGCTCGATCTAAACTGATGGGGGTCATGGAACACAGGTGTCCAGTTTCCTTTGGCCCTCAGCCAGAGAAGAAAGCCGGCGATTACAGGCTGCTGTGACATCCCCCATCAGACACCCTCTGAGAGCGCATATAGGCTGAGGTTGCCAGGGAAACAAGGAGTTCCTGGGTGCAGAGACCACACCTCTGACAAGAGGGCCCAGGTAGAGCAGGCACCTCCCTTACCAGAGTGTATTACCTGTATCTAAGCCCATGCAGGACCACCTTATTTTTCTCTCTTTTAAATTTTTTTTTTTTTTTTTGAGACAGGGTCTGGCTCTGACACACAGGCTGGAGTGTATGTAGTGGCACAATCGGCTCACTGCAACCTCTGATTCCTGGGCACAAGCCATCCTCCCACGTCAGCCTCCTGAGTAGCTGGGACCACAGGCACGCACCACTATGCCTGGCTAATTTTTTTTTGTATTTTTTGTAGATACGAGGTCTCACTTTGTTGCCCAGGCTGGTCTCGAACTCCTGAGCTCAAGCAATCTTCCCGCCTCGGCCTCCCAAAGTGCTGGGATTACAGGCATGAGCCACCGCGCCTGGCCCTAAATTGTATTTTCTTGTGATAAGAACACTTAGCGTGAGACTACCCTTTAAACACATTTTAACGTGTACAGCACATTGTGCAGACCATAGCTATAGCGTTGTCCAACAGATCTCCAGAGCTTATTCATCTGGCTTAACTGAAACTTTATGCCCAGTAATGAGTAACTCCCCATTTCCTCTACCATCAGCCCGTGGCAGCCACCATTCCACTCTTGATTCTAGGATTTTGACTGTTTTACCAGATTCCTCATTTAAGTGGAATCTGCAGTACTTGCCTTTCCGTGACTGGCTTATTCCATGTAGCATAATGTCCTCAGGGTTCATCCATATTGTCTCACTTTGCGGAATTTCCTTCTTAAGGCAGAATAGGGATCCATTGTGTGTACATACTACATTTTCTTTATCCATTCATCTCTTGGTGGACATTTAGGTTGTTTCTACATCTCGGCTTTTATGAATAGTGCTGCGATGAACATGGGGGTGCAGGTATCTCTTCAGGATCCTGCTTTTAATGCTTTTGGATAAATACCCAGAAGTGGGATTGCTGGATCATATAGTAGTTCTATTTTTATTTTTATTATTTATTTATTTATTTTTGAGACAGAGTCTTGCTCAGTTGCCCAGGCTGGAGTGCAGTGGCACAATCTTGGCTCACTGCAACCTCCGCCTCCCGGATTCAAGCGATTCTCCTGCCTCAGCCTCCTGAGTAGCTGGGATTACAGGCATGTGCCACCACACCAGGCTAATTTTTGTATTTTTAGTAGAGACGAGGTTTTGCCATGTTGGCCAGGCTGGTCTCGAACTCCTGACCCCAGGTGATCCACCTGCCTCGGCCTCCGAAAGTGACGGGATTACAGGCATGCACCACCACACCTGGCCAAGTAGTTCTGTTTTTAATTTTTGAGGAACTTCCATACTGTTTTCTATAGCAGCTGCACCGTTTTGTATACCCACCAACAGTGTGCAAGTGCTCCCTTTTCTCCACATCCTCATCAACACGTGTCATCTTTTGTCTTCTTGATGATAGCCATTTTTACAGGTGTAAGATGATACATATCTCACTGTGGTTTTGATTTGCCTTTCCGTGATGATTAGTGATGTTGAGCATCTTTTTATTTACCTGTTGGACATTTGTATGTCGTCTTTGAAGAGGTGTCCATTCACGTCCTTCATTCATTTTTTAATTGGGATATTAGGGTTTTTTTTGCAATCAAGTTGCAGGAGTTCCTTATATATTTTGGAGATTAACCCCTGTTAAATATATGGTTTGCAAATATTTCTCCCCATTTTGTAGGCTGCCTTTTCATTCTACTGATTGTCTCCTTTGCTGTGCAGAACTTTTTAGTTTGATGTATCCCACTTGTTTATTTTTGGGTTTTTTTTTTTTTTTTTTGGCTGTGCTTTTGGTGTAATATCCATGAAATCATTGCCAAGATCGATGTTAGGAAGCTTTTCCCCTATGATTTCTTCTAGGAGTTTTATGACACATTTATATGTGTCATCTTTAATTTCTTTTGGCAACAATTTGTAGTTTTCAGTGCACAGGTCTTTTGCCTCCTTTTTTAAGTTTAACACTTCACTTTGTAATTCATTTTGAGTTGGTTTTTGTATATGGTGTAAGGTAGGGCTCCAGCTTCTCTCTCTTTCATGGATATCCAGTTTTCCCAGCTCCATTTATCAAAAAGACTGTTCCTTCCTTATTGATTGGTCTTGTTGGCATCCTTGCCAAAACCCATTTGACTATATATGTCAAGGTTTTATTTCTGGACTCCCTCTCTCTTTTCTTTTTTTTTTTTTTTTCCAGAGATGGGGTCTCACTATATTGCCCAGGCTGGTCTTGAATTCCTGGACTCAAGCAGTCCTCTCACCTCCCAAGGTGCTGAGATTACCAGTGTGAGCCACCATGCCCAGCCTTATTTCTGGACTCTCTATTCTGTTCTCTTGATCTATATGTCTGTCTTTATGCCAGTACCACACCGTATTGGTTACTGCAGCATTGTAGTACATTTTGAAATCTGGAAGTGTGCGACCTTCACCTTTGTTTTTCTTTTTCAAAATTGTTTTGGCTATTTAGGGTCCCTTGAGATTCCATAATATTTTAGGATAGATTTTTCTATTTCTGTAAAAGATGCCATCAGGATTTGACAGGGATTACAATGAATCTGTAGATCATGTTGGGTAGTATTGACATCTTAACAATATTAAGTCTTCCGGTCCATAAAGCTGGGATGTCTTCCATTTATATGTGTCATCTTTAATTTTTATTTTTTATTTTATTTTGAGACGGAGTCTCGCTCTGTCGCCCAGACTGGAGTGCAGTGGTGTGATCTTGGCTCACTGCAAGCTCCGCCTCCTGGGTTCACACCATTCTCCTGCCTCAGCCTCCCGAGTAGCTGGGACTACAGGCACCCGCCACCACGTCCAGCTGATTTTTTGTACTTTTTTAGTAGAGACGGGGTTTCACTGTGTTAGCCAGGATGGTCTCGATCTCCTGACCTCGTGATCCGCCCACCTTAGCCTCCCAAAGTGCTGGGATTACAGGTGTGAGCCACCGCGCCTGGCCAATCTTTAATTTTTTTTTGCAACAATTTATAGTTTTCAGTGCACAGGACTTTTGCCTCCTTTTTAAGTTTATTTCTTCTTAAGTTTTTAGGAATACTATATAAACATTCCTAAGTATATTCATTTTTTGATGCTGTTGTAAATTGAATTTTTTGTTTATTCATTGTTAGTATGTAGAAACACGGTTGATTTTTGTGTGCTTATCTTATACCTGCAACTAAATGTGTTTATTAATTCTAACTTTCTTGCATAATCTTTAGCATTTTCTACATATAAGATTATGTTGTATACCAACAGAAATAATTTTATTGGCTGGGCGCAGTGGCTCATGCCTGTAATCCCAGCACTTTGGGAGGCCAAGGTGGGCGGATCACAAGGTCAAGAATTCAAGACCAGCCTGGCCAATATGGTGAAACCCCCTCTCTACTAAAAATACAAAAAAATTAGCCAGGCGTGGTGGCACATGCCTGTAATTCCAGCTACTTGGGAGGCTGAAGCAGGAGAATTGCTTGAACCCGGGAGGCGGAAGTTGCAGTGAGCCAAGATTGTGCCACTGCACTCCAGCCTGGGTGACAGAGTGAGACTCCATCTCAATAAAAAAATAATAATAATAATTTTATTTCTCCTTTCCAATTTAGATGTCTTTTATTTCATTTTGTTGCCTAAGTGCACTGGCTAGGACTCTCAGTGCTATGTTGTATAGGAGTGGTGAGCGTGGGCATTTTTGCCTTGTTCGTGATCTTGGAGGAAAAGCTTTCAGTCTTTCACCATTAAGTGCGATGTTAATTGTGCATTTTTAATATATGGCCTTTAATATATGGCCTTTTTTTTTTTTTTTTTGAGACAGAGTCTCGCTCTGTCGTCCAGGCTGGAGTACTGTGGTGTGATCTCGGCTCACTGCAAGCTCCGCCTCCAGGTTCATGCCATTCTCCTGCCTCAGCCTCCCGAGTAGCTGGGACTACAGGCGCCCGCCACCACGCCCGGCTAATTTTTTTTTTTTTTTTTTTGTATTTTTAGTAAAGATGGGATTTCACTGTGTTAGCCAGGATGGTCTCGATCTCCTGACCTTGTGATCCGCCCGCCTCGGCCTCCCAAAGTGCTGAGATTACAGGCGTGAGCCACTGCGCCTGGCCCAATATATGGCATTTTAATATATGACCTTTATATATGTTGAGGTTGTTTTCTTCTATTTTGTTTGTTGAGTATTTCTCATGAAGTGGTGTTTAACTGTGCCAAATGCTTTTTCTGCTTTAACTGAGATGATCACGTAGTTTTTTTTTATCTCCTTTCATCGTGTTAATGTGGTATATTACATTGATAGATTTTTGAATGTTGAACCATCCTTACATTCCAGGAATAAATCCCACTTGATCATGGTGTAATCTCTCTTTTAATAGTTGAATATGATTCGCAAGTATTTTGTTGAGTATCTTTGCATCAGTATGTCAGAGGCATTCAAACCAGAGTGACTTTATCTTGAATAGGGGCTGGGTAAAATGAGGCTGAGACCTGCTGGGCCACATTCTCAAGAGGTTAGGTATTCTTAGCCCTAAGACGTTTATAGTTAAGGGAACAGAAACAGACCCAGGATATAACAGACCCAGGAACTGTCCTGATGTCCTTATATCTTAAGAACAAAAACATTCCTAGTTTTAAAATAAGTCTCACTTTAAAGATAATAATATATGCACAGTGAGAACACGTGGACACTGGGAGGGGAACATCACACACCGGGGCCTGTTCGGGGGTGGGGGGCTAGGGGAGGGATAGCATTAGGAGAAATATTTAATGTAGATGATGGGTTGATGGGTGCAGCAAACCATCATGGCATGTGTATACCTATGTAACTAACCTACATGTTCTGCACGTGTATCCCAGAACTTAAAGTATAAAAAAAAAAAATAGATAATAATAAAGGCTCTCATGAAAGACAGTAGTTACACAAAGATTAGCAATCCTTTATCACAAACCCTTGTAGTAGAGCACATCTCCTCCATGATTTTTGTTATATATAAGCAAGCATTGTACCTAGGTGGGCACATTCCTCCTCTTATTTTTTGGAATGCCATGCTCTGCCTATGGAATAGCTATTCTTTCACTTCTTTACTTTATTTATTTATTTATTTATTTATTTTGAGACGGAGTCTCGCTCTGTCGCCCAGGCTGGAGTGCAGTGGCGCGATCTTGGCTCACTGCAAGCTCTGCCTCCTGGGTTCACACCATTCTCCTGCCTCAGCCTCCCGAGTAGCTGGGACTACAGGTGCCTGCCACCACACCTGGCTAAGTTTTTGTATTTTTAATAGAGATGGGGTTTCACCATGTTGGGCAGGCTGGTCTCGAACTCCTGACCTCACGTGTCCACCCGCCTCGGCCTTCCAAAGTGCTGGGATGACAGGCGTGAGCCACTGCGCCCAGCCTGTGTGGAGGTTTTAAATTACTGTTCAGTCTCCTTAGAAGTTACATCTATTCAGGTCTTCTGTTTCTTCATGATCCAGGCTTGCCAGGTTGTGTTTCTAGGAATTTTTCTATTTCATCTAGTTTATTCAATTTGTTGTCATACAGTTGTTCATAGTACTCTCTGATAGTCCTTTCTGTCAAATCAGTAGTAATGTGTCCCCTTTTTCATTTCTGATTGTAGTAATTTGAGGTTTTTTTTTCTTTTTTTCTTTTTCTTTCTTTTGTTTGTTTGTTTATTTATTTATTTTGAGACAGAGTCTCACTCTGTTGCCTAGGCTGGAGTGCAGTGGTGTGATCTCGGCTCACTGCAACCTCCACCTCCTGGGTTCAAGCGATTCTCATACCTCAGCCACCCAAGTAGCTGGGATTACAGGCGTGTGCCACCAAGCCTGGCAAATTTTTGTATTTTTAGTAGAGACAGGGTTTCTCTATGTTGGCCAGGCTGGTCTTGAATGCCTGACCTCAGGTGATCCACCCCAAAGCACTGGGATTATAGGCGTGAGCCAACGTGCCTGGCCATAATTTGAGTTTTTAACTTAGTCTGTTTAGCTAATGAACATATTTTAAAAATTCTTTTGGATCTATATGTAGGAGGGAATTGCCATTTGGATCAATAGTAATGCTACGTTTAACATATTGAGGAACTGCCGGACTCTCCCAAAGTGCCTGGACTGCACATTTTACATTACCACCATCAGTGTATGAAGGTTCCAATTTCTCCATATTCCTGCCAACACTTACTGTTGTTTATCTTTTGTTTTTTGAGATGGAGTCTCGCTCTGTCTCCCAGGCTGGAGTGCAGTGACGTGATCTTGGCTCACTGCAACCTCCGCCTCCCAGGTTCAAATGATTCTTTTGTCTCAGCCTCCTAAGTAACTGGGACTACAGGCGTGTGCCACCACACCTGGCTAACTTTTGTATTTTTATTAGAGACAGGGTTTCACTATGTCGGCCAGGCTGTCTCAAACTCCTGACCTCAGGTGATCCACCCACCTCAGCCTCCCAAAGTGCTGGGATCACAGACGTGAGCCACCGTGCCCAGCCTTGTTCATGTTTTTAATTCTGAGCATTCTAGCATGTGTGAAGTGGTATCTCATTTTGGTTTTGATTAGTGTTGCCCTAATGACTAGTAATGTTGAGCATCTTTTCATATGCTTAGTGGCCATTTGTACATCTTCTTTGGAAAAACATCTATTCAAATCTTTTGCCTATTTTAAGATTGGGTTATTTGCTCTTTTATTTTTGAGTGCTATGAGTTCTTTATGTATTCTGGATACTAGTCCTTTATCAGATATATGATTTGCAAATATTTTCCATTTGTGGGTTACTTTTTCTTTTTCTTTTTTTTTTTGAGATAAAGTCTTGTTCTTTCTCCCAGGCTGGCGTGCAGTGTCACAATTATTGCACGCTGCATTCTCGACCTCCCAAGCTCAAATGATCCTTCCACCTCAGCCCCCCAAGTATCTGGGACCACAGGTGTGTGCCACCATACCCCGCTAATGAAAATTTTTTTCCTTTTTTTTTTTTTTGTAAATATGAGGTCTCCCTATGTTGCCCAGGCTGGTCTCAAACTCCTGGGCTCAAGTGATCCTCCCATCTCAGCCTCCCAGAATGCTGAGATTACAGGCGTGAGCCATTGTACCCAGCCTTTACTTTCTTGATACTGTCCTTTGATGCACAAATATGTTCAATGTTGATGAAGTCCAGGGTATCTATTTTTTCTTTGGTTGCTTGTGCTTTTGGTGTCATTTTTGTCCATCTGGTCTTTTACTAACCCCCATATACCCTTTGACACATATTTAGAGGTCCTCAAAATTTTTATTTAAAGATGGGAGGATATGGAAATATTTTTTTAAAAAACTCATTGAAACAGACTGCAGTACGGTCTTTAATAATGAAGATCCCCAAAGCTTCTGTGTGAATACTCAGGGCTTCTCAAACCATCTCTTGGTAAAGGCTGATGAGGATGATCATACATCCTACCAAAGCCCCTCACTCTTTGGTTTGAGGCAAGATAAAAAGGAACACTGGTGATGAAATTTAGGATAACAAGGAGCATAAAAGAGGCAGTACTTCTGCCAGTTTGCCCCCAAGTTTCTCTACCAACATCTTACAGTGCCTTTTGTTAAGGGGAGGACAGATGTGGTCCCAGGGTCCAGGCCTCTTGCTCTTATAAATTCCCATTGAGCAGTAGTTCTCAAAGTGTGACCAGGGGTCCAGCAACAGCAGCAGCATCTGAGCACTTGTTGGAAACCAGATTCTTGGACCTTGCTTCAGACCCACTGAATCAGAAGCTCTGGAGTGGGACCCAGTGATCTGTTTTAACAAGCACTCTGCTGAACGTTCAAGTTGGAGAGCCGTTGGTGTAGCATTTTCAGCTGGTACAACCTGGAGTCTGCCACCTGGAGAGTGTGGTTACTCATCATCTCCTGCCAAGCGTGGGATCAGGTACTTTTGGTAACAAGTGACAGCAAACCTTAAACTAACCTACTAAACAGCGCAGAAATTAATTCGTTTGCATATTCTGCCTAAAAAGTCAGTAGGGAGCAGGCTTGTTCTCCGTTTTCCTGTGATTCTCTCTGTCTTCCTCTGTGTATTAGCTTTGTCTTCACACCCACTTCTCTCGTGGTTGCAACATGGTTTCCTGCAACCATCAGAGTTGTGTGCTTCCTAATTAGCTCCAGAGTGAGACGACGTGGCATTCCACACCATCAAGCACAACTCACCAGCTTAGCTCTGATGACACCAGCCCTGAGTCAGGGCACGAGGCAGAAAATTTTCCTGACTGGCTTAGCACCCTGCTTCTACCCCTCCCTTGCAGGGGATGAGTAAGTCCTACCCAGTTCTCATGGCTATTTCACAAAGGGGAAGGAAGACATGGTGTATGTGGAGGGGGAGGTAGCCATGGTGCCCAGGACATCAGGACTCATGAAATGGCCTCTTCGCTGTTTGTCCCCAACCCACTGTTTTTTCCTTAATAATGCATCTAGAGGGATCTTTCCAAAGCAAAAGCCTGTCTACAACACCTCTTGCTTAAACCCTTTGGTGTATCTCCCCAGACACACACGCACACACGCACACACAGCTCTCCAGATTAGGTTCATACTTTGAGATGTTCAAGTTCTAGTTCTAATTGACCTCCAGCCTGCTGGATTCCCATCCTTTGGAACCCCATGGAATGCTCCGCCATTACCCGCTTCCACGCTTTTCCCTGCTGCCCCACCTCTGCTTCTGTGTTCTGCCAGGAGTGCCTTTACCCTTCCCCACGTGGTAAATTCACCCTTCAAAACTCAGCCTGGATATCTGCTTCCTCTGGGATAGCTCTAAGGCAGGTTAATGACCGTGTCCACAGGCTTCTGGGTTACATAGTCACCGTGTGCCTGCACCACTCATTTCTATATCTCCCTCAGCTGGTGATTTTGGGGCAGGGACCTGTTTGATTCTCCCTGGGTCCTCAGTCCCCAGGCTTGCCACGCACTAGGAGCTCAGATAGTGTTTGTTGATCACATACTACTTTTGTGTCCCCTACTGTTGCCTAGCAAAGTAGGGCCCCTGGTAGACACTCAGTTTATAATGATCAATGCATTAAACTGACCACAAATCTCAGTTCTTCAGGTCCTAGGAAAACCGTGAGCCACCTGCAAATATAGGCTGCTTATGCCCTTGACAGGTTCAGGGAATCCGTCCTTTTAGCACTGGGGCGGTTTCACTTTGGACTTGATCAGGGCTTAGAGGCCTTTAGCTTTCCGATCCTGAGGAGCCTCCCTTTATCCAGGAAGCAGGGGACTGGACCACTGGGACCTTCATCACGGGTGGGCACGGATTCCCCATCCCAATCAGAAGAATAGCTGTATCTGTAGCAGTAGGTTATTCTAGGCCAGTTCTTTCCATTAAAAAAAAACTAAAGCCCCTAGGTTGAATTAAAAAAATTAAAAAAATTAAAAATTTAAAAGTCATGTTTATTTCTAATATACAATTTGATAATACATATTTATTGAATATAATACATAAAAGTACAAACTACCTGTAATCCTCCTATGGGTTTTGTGCTTCCAGTCTTTTTTCTAAGCATGCATATGTAGTAATTTCCTAAAGCATTGAGATTATTATTTTATTCATATTTATTACCATCGTCTCAGTGCATTTTATGCTGCTATAACAGAATACCTGACACTGGGTAATTTGTAAACAATAGAAATTTATCTAGCTCATGGCTCTGGAGGCTGGGAAGTCCAAGGTTGAGGGCCCTGCATCTGGCGAGGGCCTTCTTGCCATCGTGGAAGGTGGAAAGAGCAAGAGGGCATGCAGGAGAGAGCCAGCAACTGAACTCACAGCCTCTAGCCCTTTTATAATCAGCACTAATTCATTCATGAGGGTGGAGCCCTCATGGTCTAAACACCTCCCATTACTGTTGGTCCCACCTCCCAACACTGTTACATTGGGGATTAAGTTTCCAACACATGCCTTTTGGGAGATACATTCAACTATTATTTTATCTGTTACTGTTGAGACTATTGTTTTATTAATTAAACCCCATGTATTTCTGCAAAAAGCCCTGACAAGTTTATAATACCAATCCCCTGTAGCCCTCCTGCCACTGATAAGCTGAAGGTAAAAATGTTAAGACCCAGATACTAAAAAAAGCAAGTAAGGCCTGGGAGTCAAACCAAAGCTGAGGAACTTAACCCAGAGCTTCCCAGCAGCCAAGGCAAAAAAATAAATAAATAAAAGGGAAGCTCAAGGGGTTGTGGAGCTCTTGAACTAAAGAAGAGGAAGCAAGCCAGGTTGTCAGAATGCACGAGCTTTCCTGGTGCTGACCTCTGGAGAGGGCACAGGGACGTTGTATAAGAGTGTTGTGTAAGGGACAGTTTCACTGAAAGATGCAGGAACTGCCTGGGTTTGGTCACTTCTCATACTGACTCTTAAGAATAGCTGATGACAGGCCAGGCGCGGGGGCTCACGCCTGTAATCCCAGCACTTTGGGAGGCTGAGGCAGGCAGATCGCGAGGTCAGGAGATCGAGACCATCCTGGCTAACACGGTGAAACCCTGCCTCTACCAAAAAATACAAAAAATTAGCCGGATGTGGTGGCGGGCGCCTGTAGTCCCAGCTACTCGGGAGGCTGAGGCAGGAGAATGGCGTGAACCTGGGAGGCGGAGCTTGCAGTGAGCCAAGATCGCGCCACTGCACTCCAGCCTGGGCAACAGAGTGAGACTCTGTCAAAAAAAAAAAAAAAAAAAAACAGCTGATGGCATGTCCATAACTTTTAGTTCTCAAAAATAAATAAATACATAAAGAAATTGTAGTTCTGGGAAGACATTTCTTTGTTTTGTTTTGTTTTCCCTAGGAATCAGACTGAGAGGAAGGCATATTTTTGTAGGAATCCTAAGTGACGTGATCTAAGCATGAAACTTACTGGTGATTTCATTTGGTAGAGATTTAACAAACACATATTAACTGTGTGGCTTTTGTGCTGTTCTTTCATGTAAGGAATCTCATTTAACTTTCTCAATGAAGTTGGAGGCAAGAGATGATTAGGCCATTTTACAGATGGGGAAATGGAGGCTCAGGGAGATTGACTTATCCAGGGTCATGTAGTCAATTAAGTGGCACACCAGGACTCGACCCCAGGTTTACAATCTTTTCCTCTGTGTTGGCACCTTGTTGGAGAAGCGGGAAGTGTCTGACCTTGTTACATATCCACGGTGTATTAGGACTGGGTTTTTCGGTTTTTTTTTTTTTTGGAGACAGAGTCTTGCTCTGTCACCCAGACTGGAATGCTGTGGTGTGATCTCCGCTCACTGCAGCCTCCGCCTCCTGGGTTCAAGTGATTCTCCTGCCTCCGCCTCCCAAGTAGCTGGGATTACAGGTGCC
Organism: Homo sapiens; assembly: GCF_000001405.40. Lineage (NCBI taxonomy): Eukaryota > Metazoa > Chordata > Mammalia > Primates > Hominidae > Homo > Homo sapiens. The sequence goes on along the minus strand of NC_000005.10, from coordinate 172,130,400 downwards.
CGCCACCACACCTGGCTACTTTTTGTATTTTTAGTGGAGACGGGGTTTTGCCATTTTGGCCAGGCTGGTCTCGAACTCCTGACCTCAGGTGATCTGCCTGCCTCATCTTCCCAATATGCTGGGATTACAAGAGTGAGTCACTGCCCCCAGCCTAGGACTAGGTCTTTATAAGTACCACCTCATCTGTTCCTTACAGTAAATCCTAGAGCCACGTAATATTAGCCCATTTTACGGAGAGGATTGGCGGTTGTCCAAGGCCATACAGATGGTAGGTGTTAGGGAGGCTAACCAGGGGTTCCCAGCCAGGGTTTGGTGATGGAACTTCAGGATGTGGAAGGATTCAATAGAATGGCACAGGAACATTTCTGGGTGAGAGGGGAGAGGATGGCTTTCACAGAGCCTCAAAAAACCCAAACAAAAATAAATGAGAAAAACAGACCCATGAACTCAAGGAAAGAATCATAGTGACAGCTCACATAACTGAGTCCCGACCTGGGGCCAGGCACGTGTCAAGGCCTGGATGAGCTTATCATTCCCATGAGGGTTAGGGTGTATCATCCCCATCTCACAGGTCGCCCAGCTAGTAAGTGGCCTTGCATGGTCACTGAGTTTTGCTTCTTTTCCATCATCACCTCTTGTGGCTTGTTTTTTTTCTAGCAGTTAGTAGAATTTTTCTTCCTCTTTCGTGGAGCTGAGAATTACTACAAGGCAGAATGATATGCTGTGCTTCAAAAGGTCATTGCCTGTTTCCAAGTCACCTCTGTCTGTTCCCTTGCCACTGGGAACAAGCTGGTTAGGTGGTGGTTGGGTAAGAGGGAACAAATGAATGGACGAATGAATGAATGAACAAGTGGATGGAGGAAGTACCTCTTCCTTGGCGTTCGGGATCAGCATGCATGGATCCATTTCTGATGACTTTTATTCAAGGGTGACAGGTCACTGTAGTGTTAGAGAGAAGTCTTGGGGAAGCTGAGGTCAGGCCCGTTGTTGATGACCAGGCAGGACCAGAGTGACCCAGAAGGCCTCCTTCCTCCTCAGCAGGGAGTGGTGTGGAAGTGGGCCGTGCCGCCTTCCACAGCTCTCTGCCGTGGCACACAGCCCTCCAAGGCAAGTGGCAAGCCTGGCAGGGCCTGGAATGGTTGCTACCCCTGGAACCTAGTATCTCTAGTATCCCTGGCCCACGTTAAAGTCCCCTGTTTTATCTGCTGTGGTTTCGTGCATCCCAGCCCGGCTTATACCCCTAGTGTAGCCCAGCCATGGGGTCCCAGTTCAGAGCAACAGCATCAGCAGCCCCATTTTACAGCTGAGGACACAGTCTCAGAGGACGGAAGTGACCTGTCCAAGGCCACACTAGTGAGCGGTGGACCTGGGCCATGAGCCCAGCCGTGACTGGCTCCAAAGCCACGCATCACCACATCCTCATAGGACCCACATGACCTCAGGGTCATATTTACATTGCCAGGAGGCTCCTGGAAGGTAAGCCACAAACTGGAGGCTTCATCAAATTCCTGAGGCTGCTCCACCCTCCTCTGGCTGGAGAGCTGTCTCTGGTCCAGCTAGACCATGGTTGAGAGTTTCTTTCCTGTTTAGAGACAGCGTGGGTCTTCTTGACTGCCCCACTCTCCAGGGCCTCTGCTGAGCTGGGTTGAAGGAACTTCACAACAAGCAGGGGCCAGGAGCTGGAAGCTAAGAGGTGATTCTGCCTGTCCTGAAGTTTGTGACGCCATCCCTCTTCCTCAACCACCTGTAGCCCTACTTTAAGAAAAAAGAGGTCAGGCAGGGTGGCTCACGCCTGTAATCCCAGCACTTTGGGAGGCCAGGGCGGGTGGATCACCTGAGGTCAGATGTTTGAGACCAGCCTGGCCAACATGGTGAAACCCCATCTCTACTAAAAACACAAACATTAGCCAGGTGTGGTGGCAGGTGCCTTTAATCCCAGCTACTCAGGAGGCTGAGGCAGGAGAATCACTTGAACCCCAGAGATGGAGCCAAGATTGTGCCATTGCACGCTAGCCTGGGTGACAAGAGCGAGAGTCTGTCTAAAAAAAAAAAAAAAAAGGAAAGAAGAAAGAAAAGAAAAAGCATCTATGCAAAGAGCCCGGAGTGGGCCAGAAAGAGTGAGAATGGGAGTGAACCAGGGCTGGAAGAACCTTTCTTTTTTTTTTTTTTTTTTTTTTTTGAGACGGAGTCTCCCTCTATTGCTCTATTGCCCAGGCTGGAGTGCAGCGGGTGGATCACGAGGTCAGGAAGGACCTTTCTACTGTAATCGTCCTTTCTGCCCCTCCACTAGGCTGGGAGCCCCTTGAGGGCCTAGACCTGGTTGTTCTCCCGGGGCCTGCAGCCTGTCAGTGTGGAGTAGGTGTATGATGAATGAATGAATGACCTGAGGGTTTGGAGCTCTGCTTCCAGTCCAGGAACAATCTCTGTGGCCTTGGTCAGTTACATCCCCTTTTTTGGCCTCAGTTTCTCCATCTGAGCTGATCTTCAAGGCCCTGATGTTCTGAGCCAGCAAGGTCCAGGGTTCTGGAAGATGGAGAGAGCCTGAGACAGGTGCTGGGATTCTGAGAGGACTTGGCCAGCTTGGCCGGGGGAAGGCATCCTGAGGTTCTTGGCTGTGGAGCATAGGAAACAGGGCAGCTGGCAGGTGGGCACCAGGCGCATAGGCGGGAGCGAGGAGGGAGGGTGTGGGCTTGGCTGAAGAGGCTGTTTGCTGAAGCTTCAGGTCTTCGTAGCAACTTAGTTTTCCTTCTTCAGAAAATGAAGCAGCCAAGAAGCTCCTCTGGGTGTCAGAGCCTCCAGTGAGGTTTGAGGCCCACTGGGGGAGGGGGACGGGCTCCCAAGGCAGGAGGAGGAAGGGCTGGAGAGCAGGGGCACCCAGGCATTGGGCATGGGTGGACCCTGCCCAATGGGCCTGTGGGGTTCCCGTCTCGACGGCTGGGCAGCCCCACTCATTGTCACTTTGCCCTGTGTTTTCTGCAGATCATGATTGAGTTCTGTCCAGGGGGAGCCGTGGACGCCATCATGCTGGGTGAGTCTTACTTGATTCGGTGCATTGTCGGGACCAGACGACTCGTTTGGAGTCCTAAGCCTGACTGCTGGACAGCTCTGTCTAGGACTGGGACCTCCACTCTCCCATTCCATCAGTTCCCATGGCCTCTTTGAGCACCTCTCTACTATGTCTGCTTTTGGGAGCAGGGTGTGGGTTCTTTTTTTCTTTCTTTCTCTTTTTGAGACAGAGTCTTGCTCTGTTGCCCAGGCTGGAATGCAGTGGTGCGATCTCAGCTCACTCACTGCAGCCTCCGCCTCCCGGGTTCAAATGACTCTCCTGCCTCAGCCTCCTGAGTAGCCTGGGATTACAGGTCCGTGCCACCACGCACGGCTTGTTTTTGTATTTTTAGTAGAGATGGAGGGGTTGGGTTCTTGAAGAGAACGCAGGACATTCGCTGGAAGACCATCACTCCCTGTTCCAGAAGCCGTGTGTCCTTGAACTGGCCACTCTCCCTCTTGAGGCCTCTTGATCTAAGATGGGTATGATGCCTTCTTTGCGGGACCCCACACACTCTCAGGAGGTAAAACCGAGATACCCGAGGAAGGTCTTTGAAAAGTGGGGATACCCACACATTCAGTAAATGCTCTGTGGGGACAGTGTCAGGTCTCAATGTCCTGGGCAAGCTTGAGCAATAATGACGACGATGATCACAGTGAAATGTTAGTAGTGGCCATTCCTTTGTGAATAGTCACTATATGCCAGAGAGTGTGGTAACCACGTTCCCATATGCGGTCCTCCTCTAATCCTCAGGTATAAAATCAGGAAGAGTATTTTATTTATTTATTTTTGAGATGGAGTCTCACTCTGTTGCCCAGGCTGGAGTGCAGTGGCGCAATCTCAGCTTACTGTAACCTCCACCTCCCGGGTTCAGGTGATTCTTCTGCCCCAGCCTCCCGAGTAGCTGGGACTACAGGTGCCCACGACCATGCCCGGCTAATTTTTGTATGTTAGTAGTGATGGGGTTTCACCATGTTGGCCAGGCTGGTCTCGAACTCCTGACCTTGGGTGATCCACCTGCCTCTGCCTCCCAAAGCGCTGGGATTACAGGCAAATATCACTTTTATTTTTGATTGGGCTGACACTTGAAAGGTTAAGGGACTCACCCAGATCACACAGGAGAGCTGTGAACCCAGGTCTGGGTGACCCGCTCCTAACCATGGACCATGGCCCATCCTGCAGCATCCCCGGCTCATGCTACCCTTCAGGGCAGTGAGTGCAGAGAGGCTGAGGAGAGGCCTGGAAGGTTGAGTGACATGTCCAGGATTCTGGGATGGCCCAGAAGAGGAGAGGCACTTAGGATAATGTCACACCATTCAAGGTATTTTCCCTGAGTTTACCTCAGGAGGGAGCCAACTGTAGTCCTGACATAGCCTTGAATGCCATAAACCTGAATGTTGAAATCCAAAAAGAGCAAAATGCCTAAAGTCTCAAATCCTGTCAAGTACAATCCCGAAAGATCAAAATCCCAAAAATATAATGCTAAAATTTTTTTTAAAATTCTTGATATTTACTTATATTTTAAAGGGGAATTTGAGAAATATAAAAACTTCAAGGCGCTTCATAGGCCACTTTACACAATCAAATAGGCAGTAGTAACATACATACTTTGCAAGCATAAACAGCTATACCAAAGATGGTGGTACAGCTGTAACAATTATGAGCAGATTGGCTGGGTGTGGTGGCTCACGCCTGTAGTCCCAGCACTTTGGGAGGCCGAGGTGGGCGGATCACCTGAGGCCACGAGTTTGAAACCAGCCTGGCCAACATGGCAAAAACCCATCTCTACAAAATATATGAAAATTAGCTGGGCGTGATGGCAGGCGCCTGTAATCCCAGCTACTTGGGAGGCTGAGGCAGGAGAATCACTTGAACCCAGGCGGTAGAGGTTGCAGTGAGCCAAGGTGATGCCACTGCACTCCAGCCTGGGCGACAGAGTGAGACTCCATCTCAAAAAAAAAAAAATGAAAAAAAGTCATGAGCAGATGACTTGTACCCATAAAGAGGTAGGTCAAAAAGGGAGATGTATAAGTGCATATCACCAGGATTGGTGATTGTGTACACACAGCTTTATAGCTGTTGTCTGAAATACTGTAATGAACAACCAAAGCCTGTTGACGAGATTGATCAAAACCCTCAGTGGGTCACTAGGGCATATGCAGATGCCGAAAGAGCCAGGATCTGGAGAAAGTTTATCTTCCACAAATGCGGATGTACCAAAAGGACATCCCTATGTTTACTGAGGAACTTTCAGCATTTTTCCATACATGCACAATGCTTACACACCAGCAATGCTGAGATAATACACTTTCAGGGAGTCAAATTTGCAACAAACGCATAAAAGGAATTAGAACTCTCTCAAAGTCTCTATACCATTTATACCTCCAGTATTGA